>NC_000021.9:37054295-37364249 GCF_000001405.40 Homo sapiens | reverse complement strand
TAGACTGTTCACCTTGAAAAGCAAAGGCCCTCAGCTCATAGGTAGTAACAGCCTCCACTTACCCAGCATGTTCTAGAGTATCTCTAATCCTCACAGCAACATTACATCCCCATTATGTGGATGAGAAAACAAGTCCTGAGTGATTACATGACTTTCTCAAGGCAGTCACCACTCACCAGTAAGTGGTGAAGCCAGGATTCAAACACAGGTATAATTGCAAAGCCCATGTTCTTTCTACCACACCAAGATGATTCAAGATTATATGGAGTTAGAGTCTTCACAGAGGTAATCGAGTTGGGTCTCTAGATTGAACCCTAATCCAAAATGACTGCTGCCCTTATAAAAAGGAGAAATTTGGACCAAGACAAACGAACACAGGGAAGAACGTACAGACACCAGGAGAAGGTGGCCATCTACAAACCAAGGCACACCTGAGGCTACCAGAAGCTGACAAAGAAGCATGGAACAGATTTTGTCTTACGGCCATCAGAGGGAACCAACCCTGCCAACATCTTGATTTTGGACTTCTGGCCTCCAGAAATTCAAGACAGTACATTTCTGTTGTTTAAGCCACCTAGTTGTTTGTACTTTGTAGTGGCACTAAGGGAAACTAACACACAGATGCGTGCCAAGATGGTGGTTTCTTTTGGTTGGCTTCATATCCGTTAGTGACCACTCCTGGTGAGGCACTATTCTAAGCCTGAAAGTCCAGTAGTTGGAATCTCGCTGAGAGTTATAACCCAAATAAATATTCCAAGGACAAACAAGCAAACCAGTATTCCTATCAATGCTCCTCACGCCAAGCGAGAAGGTGAACAATTTGCATTTGGTCCCTAGACAGTGGCATGGCGTGGCATCTGACACCCCTACTGTTCTTACAGACTTCTGGGTAAAAGTCTTCACTTGCTGCCCTTGTACAAACTTTATTGTTCGTTCGTTCTTTCTTTTTTTTTTTTTTTGAGACAGAGTCTCGCTCTGTCACCCAGGCTGGAGTGCAGGGGTGTGATCTCGGCTCACTGCAACCTCCACCTCCCCAGTTCAAGCGATTCTCCTGCCTCAACCTCCTGAGTATCTGGGATTACAGGTGCCCGCCACCACACCTGGCAAATTTTTGTATTTTTAGTAGAGAAAAGGTTTCACCACATTGGCCAGGCTGACCTCGAACCCCTGGCCTCAATTGATCTGCCCACCTCGACCTCCCAAAGTGCTGGGATTACAGGTGAGAGCCACTGCACCCGGCCTTGTTTATTCTTATTTTTAAGGTAATTCGTTATCTAAAACAGATTACAAAGAAACAAAATTAATTAAAACAAGAAAAAGGCCTTCTATAAACTGACAATGGTAGTATGCTATGAAATAAGAAGTTAATTCTTTTTTTTTTCCTTTTTTTTTTTTTTGAGATAGGGTCTCACTCCGTTGCCCAGGCTGGAGTGCAGTGGCAAGATTACAGTTCACAGCAGCTTCCACCTCCCAGGCTCAAGCAATCCTCCCCACCTCAGTCTCCTGGGTAGCCGAGACTACAAGCGCATGCCACCACGCCTGGGTAACTTTTTGTATTTTTTGTAGAGATGAGGTTTTTCTGTGTCAACCAGGCTGGTTTCAAATTCCTAGACTCAAGCCATCCTGCCTCCTCAGCCTCCCAAAGTGCTGGGGTAACAGGTGTGAGCCACCACGCCTGGCCGAGGAGTTAATTCTTAATTCTTTGTACCTAAGGTCCAAAAACAAAATGTAACAGTCATGCATGGTCATTACAGACGATTTTACAATATGGAAAACAATGAAGAGGGAATGATTACTCGTAGATATCACCCAGGAAAAAAAAAAAAAAAACCTTATTGGTATTTTCATATTAGCATATGTCCTTCCAGATTTTCTTAGGGAGACATGAGTACATTCACCCACATACAACACTGCAGATATGTTTCATGCCGTTTTTACTTACAATTATACTATGAGCACATTTTAGTGTTAATCAACTGAAATTTAGATAATCATTTTAACAGCTACTAGTATTCCATCAGTTGAATAGGCCATAATTTGTTTACCTGCTCCTCTATTTTTTAAGGAAGTTTTTCCTTTTTGTTGTTGTTGTTACTACAGATAAAGTTGTATAAACATGTCCTACATCCATTTTACACACCTGTCCAATTATCTCCTTCAGATAAAAGTATGCGTCCTTAAAAAGCTTTTGATTCATGTTACCAAAATATTCCTCAGAAGTGATTCCACCAATATGCACTCCCTAAAAGTAATGTGTGACAATGGCTTTTTCCTACACCCTGCCACACCCTCTTATTTTTATTTGCATTTATTTGGACATTTTGTGACTTTTTAAAAATATGTTTGTTGTGTATTTGTGCCCTGCCTGTGTATATCTATCTGATGCCTATTTGGGAAAGCAGAGAAGTATTTGGGGTTTTTGGTTTTTTGTTTGTGGTTTGTTTTGGTTTTGTTGTTGTTGTTTTAGACAGAGTCTCCCTCTGTGGCCCAGGCTGGAGTGCAGTGGTGTGATCTCAGCTCACTGGAACCTCCGCCTCCCAGGTTCAAGAGATTCTCCTGCCTCAGCCTCCCGAGTAGCTGGGACTACAGGCGCCCGCCATCATGCCCGGCTAATTTTTGTATTTTTAGTAGAAACGGGGTTTCACCCATGTTGGCCAGGATGGTCTCGATCTCTTGACCTCATGATCTGCCTGCCTCAGCCTCCCAAAGTGCTGGGATTACAGGCGTGTGCCATCACGCCCAGCCTTTTTTTTTTTAATTGATTTCTTTTTTGAGATTTTACTGTAAAAAGAAACAGGAAGAAAAAAAAAGAAAAATGGAAGGCCATGGGATGCTGTTAGATTGATACATGAATGTCACCCCAGTCAATGTGTCTGTGGCCATCTTCATTCTCCTAGCCATCTCCCAAGTAGGGCTAGCCCGACGCCTTTCTTGCTCTCACTGTCCTTCCCCCCCCCTTTTTTTTTTTTGAGACAGAGTTTTGCTCTTTTTGCCTAGGGTGGACTGCAATGGTGCGATCTAGACTCACTGCAACCTCCACCTCCCGGGTTCAAATGATTTTCCTGCCTCAGCCTCCCAAGTAGCTGGGGTTACAGGCATGCACCACTACGCCTGGCTAGTTTTGTATTTTTAGTAAAGATGGGGTTTCACCATGTTGGCAAAGCTGGTCTCAAACTCCTGACCTCAGGTAATCCACCCGCCATGGCCTCCCAAAGTGCTGGGATTACAGGCATGAGCCACGGCTCCTGGCCTCCTTCCTCCTCTTAACCAGACACCTGCAACCAAGGACTCTCTCCCAGAATCTTAAGGTTACAAAGTTGTTTATGTCAAGATGTGGTTCTCATGGTGCCATTAAAAAAGAGAGAGAGAGAGAGAGAGGACAATATTCATTGCCTTCCTTATCATGTAAGCATGTTTACCAATATTATTTTATGAATTGCCATTAACATTTTCTTTTCTTGTGACATTAAGATAAAGCTTAAATAGTAAATATGTAATTATTAAAGTGTGTATTCCACAGTTTCAGAATATCTTGAAATCATATTTTGCGGCCGGGCCTGGTGGTTCACGCCTGTAATCCCAGCACTTTCGGAGGCCGAGGCAGCCGGATTGAGGTCAGGAGTTCGAGACCAGCCTGGCCAACATGGTGAAACCCTGTCTCTGCTAAAAATACAAAAATTAGCCAGGTGTCATGGCAGGTGCCTGTAGTCCCAGCTACTCCGGAGGCTGAGGCAAGAGAATCGCTTGAACCTAGAAGGCAGAAGTTGCAATGAACCAGCATGGCGCCACTGCACTCCAGCCTGGGCAACAGAGTGAGGCTCCGTCTCAAAAAAAAAAGAAAATCGTATTTTGCAACATTTTGGCAAGACTTGAAAAGAAATCCACTTTTGTATATTGATTCATACGTATATATTAGCTTCCTCAAAATTAACAGGTTGAGGAAAATGCCCTAATGAAACTGTGAAAAACAATTAAGTAATGGAATTTAAAATTAGGCAGGAGGCACAGAGTTCTACAAAGATAACTTTCTGCATTGGCTCATTAGCTCAATAGTTCCTGAGAGTTTTGGCTTATTTTCCTGGCTTTTTAATCTAAGTATGTAGTGAACATCTTTTAATATTTCTACAGTATTTATTGATCTGCACACTTACTGCTATCATTTTCAACATTTTTCCTATTTTTGCTTCAATTCAATGCAAAATATGTTTATAGTTGTTATAGCATTAGTACTATTTTGTTATATTGTATTTCCATGTCTGTTTCTAAACTAGAAGTGCTTTTAGGGCAAGCATCCTGTATTTTCATCTTTGTGTCACAAGCACCATATCTGGAATATTATAAATACTGTTTGATTTAGTTTGGTTTGGTTAGGATTGGAGTTTTTTGTTTGGTTGGTTGGTTTTTGGTTTTTTTTTTTTTTTTTTTTTTTGAGACAGGATCTTACTCTGTCACCCAGGCCAGAGTACAGTAGCACAAGCATGCCTCACTGCAGCCTCGACATCCTAGGCTCAAGCAATCCTTTCACCTCAGTCTCGTGAGTACCTAGGACTACAGGTATGCCTCACCATGTCCAGCTAATTTTTTTATTTTTTTTTGTAGAGATGGGGGTCTCCCCATGTTGCCCAGGCTGGTCTCAAACTCCTAGGCTCAAGCTATCCTCCCACCTCAGCCTCCCAAAGTGTTGAGATTACAGGCATGAAGCACCACACCTAGCCATGACCATTTGTTTTCTTATTTATTTATTTATTTATTGAGATGGAGTCTTGCTCTGTCTCCCAGGCTGGAGCAGTGGCATGATCTCAGCTCACTGCAACCTCCGCCTCCCAGGTTCCAGCAGTTCTTCTACCTCAGCCTCCCGAGTAGCTGGGATTACAGGCATGCGCCACTACCCCCAGCTAATTTTTGTATTATTGTTAGAGATGAGGTTTCACCATGTTGGCCAGACTGGTCTTGAACTTCTGACCTCAGGTGATCCACCTGCCTCGGCTTCCCAAAGTGTTGGGATTACAGGCATGAGCCACTGTGCCTGGCCTGTTTGTTTTCAAGATAAAAAATAATCAAGTACATGGTTGAAACATCCAAACAGAACAGAAAAGAGTCAAATAAACAGTCCAAGCCTCCCACCAGCCTCCCGGACTCCTTTGTCCTTCACCCGGTTCCTCAAGGCTTCATGGGACTCTACAGTTGGGTATCACATCATTGCCCACTGAAAAGCTTAGAGGACTTTAAGCTTTTGTTTTGGGGATAACATTCTTACATGTTAGTTTGGTGCCAAATCCCTTCATGATCTGACCTCTCAGGCCTTCTCTGCTCAGGGTCCACCACTTTACACTCCCAGAACACAACCCATTCTTTCTCATCTCCTCTGCTGTCTCCAGGAAAGCCTCATTCCCTTGTCAAGTCACTTATCACTGTATTTTCACGGTAGGTTTCTTCTTCCATGCACTAGGAGAAAAGGGAACCCTCCAGGGGTACAAACCTAGCTCCCTGGGAATTTTTATTCTCAGTGCTTCGCCCAGTGCCTGGTATCTACTGATCACCAAATGAATGTTTTTGCAAGAACAGAGTCACCAGAGAATTGCAAAACAGCACGGGCAGGATGGAGTAGGCAAGCAATTAAATCCAGGAAATGGTTAAAAGCAAGAGAACTACACTTCACTCTGGAGTTGAAAGAGGGACCATCTGCATCCGGCCTTCCTCTCGCTCCCAGCTTGGACGCTGGCTTCCTGAAGATAGGGAGGGCTGTTCGGTGGGAGGGCTGTCAGCCCCACAGATGGCTGAGGTGGCGTTAGTGGAGTGCTGGATGAGGGTGCCTTTTGGATGGGGTAGGTCATGGCACAGAGACCTTCTGATTTGCTTTTGCTAGAAAGGCTGGGTGGGAAGGGACACCTCAGCAGGGGCAGAAGGGAGCTGGTTTCCTGAGGGTGGTGACAGCCCACTCCTGTAGCCAAAAGGGGACCTCCACATTTCCTTCTAGCTTGTCTAGCCCAGAAGAACTGGGGTGGAGCCCAGGGTTCAGGGTAGATGCTGGAAACAGGAACACATTCGTGGACTACGAACTTTGCAGCTGCACAGGTAGAGTGGAGGATGGAAGCCCAGCTTTCCAGGGTCCTGAGTTGACAGAATGGAAGGCATCTGTGAGACATAGGGCTAATGTGGGAAGTACCTTCATTCACGGGTCTCAGACCACCAGGGAAGGAGGCCCGCCCTGAGCAGAAGGCAAGCAGAGACATCATAGACTCACACATAGATGCTGGAGTTGAGGGGAGCCCAATCGTTACCTATCATAAACTCTAATCATCCAGTGGCTGCTGTGGGAAAGAAAGGGAATGGAATTTCCATGCAGGAAAACTTACCTGACAACACTGACATTTTGTTCACATTAGTCATTGGAGACATTTTCATTTTATTGTAATGAAGCAGGGCACAGACAATGTCTTGCAAGTCTGGATGTTTTAGAAGGGATTGGTGAGCTTGATAATAATAATAATAGCAACTGGAAACAAGAGTTCTCTGTTGGGACAGAGAACATGGGGGATTCTCAACTACCTCCTTGCCGCAGGAACTGGGGTAGTGTACTTACCCTCTCTGAATTTGTTTCCTCATCCTTTAAGGGAAGTCTTTAATCCTTTGTGAACTATAAATCATTGTGTAAATATTGGGCCCCGATGTAAAGAATAAGAGGATTTGATTCGATTCAAATTTTAACTTTTGAAGCCTTTCCCAAGACCCTTTCCCCTTTCAAAAATAAATGAAAGGCCAGGCGCAGTGGCTCATGCCAGTAATCCCAGCACTTTGGGAGGCCGAGGCGGGTGGATCACTTGAGCCCAGGAATTCGAGACCAGCCTGGCCAACATGGTGAAACCTCGTCTCTACTAAAAATACAAGAATTAGCCAGGCGTGGTGGTGGGCACCTGTAATTCCAGCGACTCAGGAGGCTGAGGCAGGAGAATCGCTTGAACCTGGGAGGCAGAGGTTGCAGTGAGCCGAGATCACACCACTGCACTCCAGTCTGGGCGACAGAGCAAGACTCTATCTCAAATAAATAAATAACATCTTCCGTGTTCTCAAAACACTCAGGTCATTCTGCTGTAAACACATTTAACCCATTATATTCCTGTAAGTTATTATTTTTCTTTGCCTATATTTGAATGTCTTCACCAACCGGTAACTCACTACCTCCTAAAGCTGCCCAGACCTTCTTTGGTCACCCTCAACTACAGGAAATTTGCCTTTGCATTCTGTGAATGGATCTTCTTCCCAGGCTTTCCACCCAGTTTCTAAATCTTCCCATTTGAGACCACATAGACCAAGTCTCACTGTTCTTTCAAATGACAACCTTCAAACATTTGAAGCAAGCTGTGACTTTCCCAGGCTAAACACGTTTTCTTCTCTCACTTGCTCATCCAGTATGTTTCCCCAGACCAGCCCCCACCCTCGTATGACTCCTGTTGATAACATCACTAAGTGAAACCTTGGAAACAACCTAAGTGTCCAGCGGTGGAGCCTCAATTTTAAAATATAGCTCATCGACTTGTGGAAATAGAACACAAAATGAAGAATATTTCACAACATGAGAAAAATGATTACAGCAGTTAGTATACTTTGCATGACTTCAACTTTATAATAAACAATGTATATAATAAAAAATTTTTGTAACATTTATCTCTGGAGGGTACAATCACAGGTGATAATTTGTCTTCTTTGTGCTTGTTTTTCAAATTTTGTATAATCAACTACTGGTAATCAGGAGAAAAAATAGACCCCGTGTCCCTGTAATTTTTACCTAATGACCTGAGACCTTAATTTTTAGAATATCACAAAATAGGCTTCTTCCTACTTCTCATTTCAGAAATTAATATGTGTAGCAAATAGCCTCAGAGTACCAGGAGCCCAGTGGGCACTCAATAAATATTTGTTTTCTTCTTTACTTGCCTAAGTACTTGAAAAGCACTCTCGCATCCTTCCATCTCATTAAACCTTCTCTCAGCTGCTTCCTATGGCTTGATTTCTACTCCGTATTACAAAGGACATTTGCTGTATGTTTCACTTTGGGCTTTTTAAAATTATTATTATTATTTGAGACAGGATTTAGCTTTGTCCCCCCCGGCTGGAATGCAGTGGCACGATCATGGCTTACTGCAGCCTTAACCTCCTGGGCTCAATCTATCCTCCCATCTCACCCTGCCAAGTAGCTGGGACCACAGGTGCTCATCACCACATCCAGTTAAATTTTGTATTTTTTGTAGAGATGGGGTTTCACCGCATTGGCCAGGCTGGTCTTGAATTCCAGGCTTCAAATGATCCATCTGCTTCTATCTCCCAAAGTGCTGGGATTACAGGCGTGCCCCACCACACCTGGCTTGTCTGGGCTATTAATCAGAGGTCCCTAATAGTTACCAGCTCCAACAGCAAGAGAAAGACACATCCCCTTTAAAGGGACATAAGTATAGAAGGAACAACAGCTTCACCATTTTTGCAGTATTTTTAAGCCAGTAAAATTAAAATAGAATGGCCAGGAGTTAATCCTTCCATCATACGGGTGATGTCCTTATCAGAGCGTAGTCTAGTTTCTGATCCCTGGATCACCAAAGGGACTGACATTATTTGCCTTGGAGAGAGAAAAGCAAGTATCATGTGCCACTCGCAATTTTGCATGTTAAAGGGTTTTCCAAGAAGGAGGTCAAGACAGTGAGAACCAAAACAAATGGAACAAAAAGCCCAGAGGTCTCAACTTGTCACACCAGAGATCACCTTTTCCCAAAACCGGCTGTCTTAGACGGTGCCTTCGTGGATGCAGTCACCATTCTCTCAAACCCCATAACCTGTAAAATCTTTCTACAGTTGAGTCACAGGTTACCTGCAGTGAAGTGCATAGCTATTCATTTATACCACATGCACTCGTTGAGTGTCTGCACTGTGTCAGTTACTCTGATCGGTGCTGGGGATGCAAAGATGGTTGAGATTGGACCCCAGTCCTGAAAACGTCCAAGACCAGTAGGGAAGACCAAATGGGTCAAAGAAACTATAACGTGATAAATTCTGGAGTAAGAAGGAAGAGGCCCCTGAACCCCATCTGGGGGAATCCCAGATCAACGGCCTGAAGTTTTTGTCACTTACCCTCCCAGCTTGTGATAGATCTGGAATGCCTGATAGAGAGTGGGGAGGAGGAAGGAGTTTGTATAAAGGTTCTTTCTCTTTGGGTTAAATTTGGTCTCATTTTTCTAGCATTTTCAGATGGAAATATATATAGCTTTGAACTTTTCTTCCAGTTTATTCATTAAGGCAGTAAATTCCATCTAAGCACTGTTCTGGCTCTGTCCTACACATTTTGATATGTTGTATTTAAACTATTTTTAAATTATTATTTCAATTTAAAATATTTCTTTCTTTCTTTTTTGTGAGACAGAGTCTCGCTCTGTTGCCCAGGCTAGAGTGCAGTGGCGCGATCTCGGCTCACTGCAACCTCCACCTCCCGGGTTCAAGTGATTCTCCTGCCTCAGCCTCCCAAGTAGCTGGGATTACAGGCACGTGCCACCACGCCCTGCCAAGTTTTGTATTTTTAGTAGAGACGGAGTTTCACCATCTTGGCCAGGCTGGTAATTCAAAATATTTCTAACTGTGCTTTTTTCTTTGATATGGGTTATTTAGGAATATGCTGAATAATATTCAAATATTCAAATTAAGATATTAATTTTTGTTACTGATTTCAACTTTAACTCTATCGTTTTTAGAGAATATTTTCTGTATGATTTCAACACTTCAAAATGTGTTAAGACTCAGTTTATGGCTCAGTGTATACTCTATTTTGGTGAATGTTTCATGCGCACTTGAAAACAGTGTGTATTTTTTAGTGGTTAGGCAGAAAGTTTTTAAAATGTCAATTAGGGCAATTTGGCTAATAGTGCTATTAAAATTTTCTGTGTCCTTACTGATTTTTGTTTGCTTGCTCTATCAGTTGAGAGAGAAATTGTGGATTTACTTCAATTGCGATTGTGGATTTGCTTGTTTCTCTTTTAATTTCTGCCAAATTTTGCTTTTTATATTTTGAAGATTCATTATTAGATATAGATACATTTATAATTGTTATGTCTTCCTGCTGAATTCCCCCTTTTATTGTTATAAAATGCCCGTTTTTCACTAGTAGTACTTCTTGCCTTTCAATCTAGTTTTTAAGATTAATTTGTCGGACCAACCTTACTTAGTGTTTACATGGTGTGTCATTTCCCATCTTGTTACTTTCACCTTTCCCCTACCTTTATATTTAACGTGTGTCTCTGTGAAATTGTATATAGTTGGAGCTTTTCTTATTGAACCTGACAATCTTTGCCTTTTAATTGCGGGATGTGGTGCATGTTAAGTTAACCCTCTCCATTTGCCCCAAGAATACTCGTCTCCGGTGCTTACGGCTGCAGTGTTTATCCTAAGATAACTTTGCCATGAAATATCTTGCTCTTATTATTATTTTTGCATCGCTCTAGTTTATCTACTTTGGAAACAAAAGACATCATTCTATTTATAGCATTCATTTTGTTTTTAGTAGTGGTATTTCCATTACAAAATATCGTAATTCTCGATCACTGAAAAAGTCAAATGCTAGAAAACGTAGCATTCCTATTTACGATGTTAACATCATTCTCGAACAGTTGTTAGCCAAAGATTCATTTGATGAATCCTATTTTTCCGAAATAGACGATTCTGATGATTCTGTTAGTTATGTTTAGAAGTAACTCCAAGAACAGTTTTTCTATTTTATTTCCACATTGAAAATCAATCAGCAGGAGATTGAGGCAGGAGAATCGCTTGAGCCCGAGAGGTCAAGGTTTCCGTGAACTGAGATCGCAACACTACACTCCAGCCTGGGCAACAGAGCGAGACTCTGTCTCAAAAAGAAAAAAAATCAGTCAGATTTGCTTCAGCCTCAAAGAGAGTGTTTATGTAAAATATGAACACTGGCAGCAAGATGCACTTTTTTTTTTCCTAAAGGAGAAGGGTTAATTACATGTCTGATATAACTGAGTTTACACCTCTGTCTTGGCGTTTGTTTTCTACCTGTGCAATGCAATCTGTACTTTGTCTCTTTTTTCTTCAGTGGTTTCTCTTGGGTAAATCAAGCACATGTATAAATTTCATCATGTGTATTTTCTCTATTAGCTTTTCAGCATCACCTTTTTGGGATTTAAGTAGTTTAAATGGACATGGTTTTTTGTTTTTTGGTTTTTTTTTTGAGACAAGGTCTCGCTCTGTCACCCAGGCTGGAGTGCAGTGGCACAATCACTGTTCACTGCAGCCTCCACCTCCCAGGCTCAAGTGATCCTCCTGCCTCAGCCTCCCAAGTAGCTGGGACTACAGGCATGTGCCACCATACCTGGCTATTTTTTGCATTACTATTACTTTTTTTTTTTTTTTTTTTGCCGAGTTTCCCTCTTGTTGCCCAGGCTGGAGTGCAATGGCGCGATCTCAGCTCACCGCAACCTCCGCCTCCTGGGTTCAAGCGATTCTCCTGCCTCAGCCTCCCGAGTAGCTGGGATTACAGGCATGTGCCACCACACCCAGCTAATTTTATATTTTTAGTAGAGACGGGATTTCTCCATGTTGGTCAGGCTGATCTCAAACTCCCGACCTCAGGTGATCTACCTACCTCTGCCTCCCAAAGTGCTGGGACTACAGGTGTGAGCCACCACACCTGGCCTTTTTTGCATTTTTTGTAGAGAGTTTCACCATGTTGCCAAGGCTAGTCTCGAACTCCTGGGCTTAAGCAATCTGCCCGTCTTGGCCTCCAAAAGTGCTGGGATTACAGGCGTGAGCCACCATGCCCAGTGTAAGCATAGATTCTTGATGAACAAGGAATATGTTACCAAATAAAGCCTCACACAGAAAAGTCATATTTATAGGAGACATCTTGTAGAGGAGTGGTGGACAGAGCAACTCTGTATTATGAACAACAATGCAGGGCTGAGCTTTGATAACTGGGAGAAATACAGGCTGAAAAAGCTCACTAGGGCACATCACATATTGTCTAATAGGTGAGGAACATAATCCTCACCTCTCCTCCATCTGAACTTCCTGAAATGAGCTTATCCCTAGTATATTTAGTTTATTTAAGCAAAACTCATAATTGTAAAAATGAATTAAAATAATCTATATAATTATATTGGCAGAAATAAATGATAGAAAAATGACAAATAATGGACATTAAATAGAAAAATATTGTCATGGAACAGATGGAAATTGTGATATAGTAGATGAAAATTGATTCCAAATAGATAAAACTGAATTACAAAAGCCCAACAAAACTATTTTCTCCACAGTAAAAAAGCACACATAGAGATCAAGTGCTCAGGAAAGATGCCCAGGCAACCAAAGAAATGAAAGCCCAGGAGAGAAACTGAGAAAATAATCCTAGAAATAAAGGTCAAATAGGAAGTAACACAAAGGAGAATAAACACTGAAAAACGTAATAAAGCATATGGAGGATCTGGAGGAGAAAAGCAAAAATAAATAAATGAGAATAAATATTTTAAAAGATTAGAGAGAATATGTTTTAAATATGGAAGACAAAGAAGATTCAATACACATAGCCTTCATCTCACTAGAAATAAGAGGAGGAGAGTATAGGAAAAGTTATTTAAAGATATAACTAAAGAAAACTGCCCTAGAATTAAAAGAACACTTCAATCAACCAATTTTTTTTTCTTTTTTTGGGGAGACGGAGTCTTGCTCTGTTGCCCAGGCTGGAGTGCAGTGGTGCGATCTTGGCTCACCACAAGCTCCACCTCCCGGGTCCATGCCATTCTCCTGCCTCAGCCTCCTGAGTTGCTGGGACTACAGGCGCCCGCCACCACGCCTGGCTAATTTTTTTTTGTATTTTTAGTAGAGATGGAGTTTCACCGTGTTAGCCAGGATGGTCTTGATCTCCTGACCTCGTGATCCGCCCTCCTTGGCCTCCCAAAGTGCTGGAATTACAGGCGTGAGCCACCGCACCTGGCTAGAGATATTCTTAAAGTGTGTATAAGCACTTATCCCGCTTGTCCAAAGTGAGACTGCCAAGCCTGAGAAACAATGAACTCAAGGTTGCATTGTCTGAGACCCGTTGGCCACTACCTGCTATGGAGAACTGATAGGTAACCTTGCTTGACTTTGTCCTTTGCAGGAAACCAGAGCTGATATCAATCATGGAAGCCTTGTTTCCTTCTAACTCCCGGATCCATACCATGCCTTGGTTTTTCTGACTGGAACCTTTATTGTTTAAAAGGCAGAAAGAAACAACTATGAGAAATATTCAGAGATCCTCAAATGTTAGGTGTGTTAGAGATAGAGAGGAGGGTATCTGGCCTTTTATCCAGTTATTCCTTCTTTCTTTAAATAAGCCTCAGAAAGAGAGAGAAAAAGGTTGGTACAAAACCAGCCATGGTCTAATATAAGGGTTGATAAACTTCATCTGTAAAGTACTAGACAGTAAATATTTTAGGCTTTGAGGGCCATACAATCCCTGTCATAAGTACTCAACTCTGCCATTGAAGTGTGAAAAACAGTCATAAACAGTATGTAAACAAGCAGATGTGACTGCATTCCAAATACAACTTTATTTACAGAAAGAGGGAGCAGGCTAGATGTGGCTTATGGGTCACAGTTTATCAGCCCTTGGTGTAAGAGAATGTGGGGAGAACTGGCAATAAGAAAACCTTTGGATGACTAATTTTTAGGCATTCTTTAATTCTTAACTAGGGAATGAATGCATGAAGGGGACTATTTACTCAAATGAGGTTGGTGATTCTGCCTCAGCGTTGTGGCCCTATCAAGAACACAGTCCAGTGCATGTTAGAGGAGGAATACCTTTTCCCACTCCTATTTTCTACAGTGAAAAATTTCCCCATAATACAAGGGAGGTGGAATCATTAATTTGATTGATAAATTTAAGATAACTGAGCATGCTCAACTCAACTCTGCTCTACTTCTTCTTGGGAGGAAGTTGCTTGTAGAACCAAACATTCTCTGCTGTGCCCTCATGCCTACACAGTACTCCGGTATAAGGAGACTTGATCCCATCTAGCATTATCTGGTTCTAGGTAAGAAAGTTTGCCTAATTTGAGATTTAATACAGACAAGCTAACTTGTTCAGCAAGCTTAAAGCCTTGTTCTCCAACAGGGCTTCTAACACTAATAAGTATAATATTTTGGCCTCCATAATTTCTCTTCAAACTATATAATTTGGTATGGAAGAAAGGACATTGATTGAGTGCCAACTCCAAGTCCCCAACACACAAAACAAAAATTTAATTTAATGCTTTCATTTGAGAGAGACCAATGAAATCCTATAAGTCAGGCTGAAGATTACCCAAGATACAGAGATGAATCAGAGGTGAATTGAATCTTCTTAAAACTGCAGCCTAGGACCGGGCATGCTGGCTCACGCCTGCAATCCCAGCACTCTGGGAGGCCAAGGCTCTACTAAAAATACAAAAAATTAGCTGGGCGTGGTGGCAGGCACCTGTAGTCCCAGCTACTCAGGAGGCTGAGGCACGTGAATGGCACAAACCTGGGAGGTGGAGCTTGCAGTGAGTCAAGATTGTGCCACTGCACTCCACCCTGGGCAACAGAGTGAGACTCTGTCTCAAAAAACACAAACAAACAAACAAACAAAAACTGCAGCCTAGCCCTGATCCACTTTAATTTCTAACTAGATTGAAGTGATTAGTGCTTCACCCTGTGTACTTCACATAGGAAAAAATGAAGCCCTCTCTGTTGGAAAATAATATCATCTGGAGGCTCTACACTTCTTTTATGTACAATGCCTAATATATAATTAAAAAACAGTTAACTTTTCAATGAGACAAGACCATATAGCCAATAATAAATAAAAATATAAACAGACAATAGAAGCAGACCAACAGACAATCCAGATATTGGAATAAGCAGACTAGAACTTTAAAATAACTAAATACTGTGTAAAAGTAAGTGGAGGAAAAGGTGGACAAAATGGATGAAAAAATGGAGAATTTAAATAAAAACTTCAACCTATAGATCTAAATCTATAAAAGAAACATAGACTGAAAAATACAATGATGAAAATTAGGAATTTATGGGAAGAATTTAACAGAAGACTAGACATAGCTAAAGACAGAAATGGCAAATGTGAGGAAAGGTTAATAGAAAATTATTCAAACTGACACTCAGAAAAAAGTAAGAAAACTTGCTATAAGAGACTTATGAGTCACAGCAAAAGGTCTCACAAATGTAAAATTGGAGTCCTGTATGGAAAGGAGAAAGAAAACGGGGCAGAAGCAATATTTGAAGAGATGATGTCTGAGAAGGAAGAATGTTAAACTACAGATTCAAGAGGTTTTGCAAAATCTAGGCAAAATTAAAAAAAAATCACCAATGTTATATCCAGACTACTGAAAACTGAAGACAGACAGAAAATCTTAAAAGCTGTTAGAGTAAAAAAACACATCTGTAAGAAGCTACAATTAGACTGACAGCTGATTTTTCAACAAAACTATGGAAGCCATAAAATCATGGAAGAGCATCTTTAGAGTGCTAAAAGAAAACGAAACTGACAACATAGAATTCCATACCTAGTGAAAATATCCTTCAAAAATGAAGGCAAAATTAAATCATTTTCAGACAAACAAAAACTGGGAGAATTTGTTGCCATCCAATGTGTACTCAATGAAATACCACAGGAACTTCTGGAAATTGAAGTAAAATGATCACTGAAAGAAATATGTTACTAAAAGAAGCACCAGACAGCACCAAAAAGAGTAATGTGGGAAAATATAAAGGACTATTTCCATATAAATTAGCAATAATAACACTGTCCTATGTGTTCTGTAACACATGCAGGAGTATAATACGTGACAACAGTATCACAAAGCTAAGGAAGGAGTGAAAGAGTTAAGCCGTTGTTAGATTCTTGCATTGTTTGTAAGTGGTAAAAGGACCAATTCAAAGTAGACTATATAAGTTATTAGGTCACACTGTGATCTCTCTTACTGAAAAAATATGTAAGAATATCTAATATAAAAGCTAATAGGAAAAATTGAATAATACAATAGAAGTGGCAATGGTGGTTATTTTGTGAAGGGAATTGATCAGGAAGGCAGCACAAGGCAGTCTACTGATATGCTGGAAAAGTTTTCTATTTTGATCTGACTGGTGGTTATGCAGGTGTATTTAAATTACGTATGTTATATTATAAATACATATAACTTATAAATAATATAAACATAAATCATACATAAGAATATAAATCATATATACAAATATGTCACATCATATATGATTTAGTTTCTTGTAATATATAACTTATTATATATAATAAAATAATGTTTAGTGATATAAAATTTAAAATTCATTACAAATAAATATGTAAACTATATAAATATATGATATATAAAATATTTAACAAATATATAAACATAATAATATGTAATAGATCTAATATATGTTTATATATAAATTCATTATGTTTTACCCCTAAAGTTTGTGTATTTTATTATATAGAGATTAAACTTCAATAAAAAACAAAAAAAAGAAAAACCAGAGAAATATTATATTCATAAAATGAAAATAGAATGCTTAAAATAGAATGGATTAGAAAAAAAGAAGGAACTCTTGAAAACTGAAAATATGGTGACTATAAATACAAATAAATACACATGATAGCAGAAATTTAAAAATAGTAAAAGGACTGAAGGATTACATTTAATATATCTATCTGAATGTAGAGCAAAAGGAAGATGATCATAGTGAGAAAAAAAGTAACACACTCAGAAGTTCAATATAGAAACTCGATATCTGACTGACAAGAGTCCTGGAAAGATAGACCAGAGAAGATGGAAAGAAGAAAATTATTGAATAATTTCATAAATTTTCCCAGAGTTGAAGAACATGTCCCTCTAAATGAAAAATTCCAAGCAATGTCCAGTTCACTGAATGGAAAACACCAACATCAAAGAACATCATGGTGTAATTTCAGGACATCAGATAGAAGAAAATATCCCAAGAATTTTTAGAGAGAAAAAGTAGGTGACATGCAAAGAGTCAGGAATTGAAATGGAATTCAACTTCTCAACACAACGCTGATAGCCGTAAGATAGGGAAGCAAGGAAGCATGGAACCCAAGAGCCAGAGGGGATCCAACATAGGAGCAATGCAATGGGAATTCCCAGGGCAGGGGTGGAGGAAAGTCCCAGTTAGGAATTATGGAGCAAACCTGGTGAGCATGCACTCCAGACCACAGCAGGTGGTTAGAGAGCTCCACACCAGGTGTTCTCAGGAAAAAAAAAAAAAGGAACTGGAAGAGATTTTAGGGGAAAAAATGGCCTTGGGTGAAGTTTAACCAAGCTGTTTTCTTCAGGTGAGGAAATACTTAACAATGGATTATAAAAGCAAAGCAACTGAAGAAACAAAGCAATGATTAAATTCAGTAAAAAAATAGCAGGTGTCATAATAAAGGAACTGTAATCATTATATGCTTTTTTGTTAATCAGTACATGATCCTGTATCATTTAGTAATAATAATGAAAATATTGAATATGGATCTCAACACAAAATTTGATAGAATAATTCTGAGACCATGTGGTGAAAAGACATGGGGTGTAAAAAGAGTTAAAAACATCACCTACTATCAGAGAAAATTATTAGAACTATCTAAAGTTATAGACTCAAGAAATAGCAGTATCTGTATTTATTTTTTAATTTGGAGTTAAATACTAGAACAAGCAACTAGATACATTACAAGTAGGCGAGGCACAGTGGCTCATACCTGTAATCCCAGCACTTTGGGAGGCAAGGCAGGCAGATCACCTGAGGTCAGGAGTTCAAGACCAGCCTGGCCAACATGGAGAAACCCCATCTCTATTAAAAAATACAAAAATTAGCCAAGCGTGGTGGTGTGTGCTTGTAATCCCAGTTACTCAGGAGGCCGAGACAGGAGAATTGTGTGAACCCAGGAGGCAGAGATTGCAGTGAGCTGAGATTGCACTACTGCACTCCAGCCTGGGCAACAGAATGAGACTCTGTCTCAAAAATAAAATAAAAATAAAATATAAAAGCAGATATCCCAGGGAACAGAAAAGGATAGGGTGGAGACCATATTTTTTGTAAAGAGTCTTTTTGCATTAGACTTTTTTTTCCTATTAGCTTGAAATTTTTCACATCTATGTAACAGTTAAATAGTACAAGAAATACCAATATACCTTTAACCTGGATTCCACATAAGCTTTATCTCTCCTCCTTTTTTTCTGGACCATTTGAAGTGAGTTAAAAAACATCACAATGCTTCATTCGGAAATATTCCAGATGCTGTCTCTTGAGAACAAGGACATTTTCCTCCATGCCCAGAATATCATCTTCACATCTAAGGAAATTCACAATAATCTCCCATGATCATTGGATATCCAATCCACAATCGAATTTCCTCAGTAGTCCCCAAAATATCTTTTATATATCTTTTTTCATCCAGGATCTAATTAAGTTTCACACTTTGCATTTGGTTGTTTTGTCTTTTTGGACTTTTAAAATATGGAATAGTCCCTGTCCCATCAGGCCTTTTTGCTTCTCATGACACTGACTTTTTTGAAGACAGCAGTCTAGTTGTCTCAGAATGGCTCACATGCTAAGATGTTTCTTCATGATTAGATTCTGGTTCCTAGTGGAACTGTTCCTATATGCATATGTTACTTTCTTTTTGTTTGTTTGTTTTATTTTATTTATTTATTTATTTATTTTTGAGATCTCACTCTGTCACCCAGACTAGAGTGCAGTGGCGCAATCTCTACTCATTGCATTCTCTGTCTTCTGGGCTCAAGCAATCCTCCTGCCTCAGCCTCCCAAGTAGCTGGGACCACAGCTGCATGTCACCATACTTGGCCAATGTTTGAATTTTTATTTTTTATGGAGATGGGATACCGCTATGTTGCCAGGACTGAGCTTGAGCTCCTGGGCTCAAGCGATCCTCCTGTCTTGGCCTCCCAAAGTGTGGGGATTATAGGCATGAGCCACTACACCCAGCCATATATTACTTTAATAAATAAAATTAGGCCAGGTGTGATGGCTCCTGCCTGTTATCTGGCATTTTGGGAGGCCAGGGTGAGCAGATTGCTGGAGCCCAGGAGTTCAAGACCAACTTGGGCAATATAGTGAGACTCTATCTCTACAAAACAATACAAAAATTAGCTGGGCATGGTGTTGTGCACCTTTAGTCTCAGCTACTCAAAAGCTGAGGTGAGAGGACTGCTTGAGCCCAACAGGTCGAGGCTGCAGTGAGCCACAATCGTGCTACTGCACTCCAGCCTGGGCAAGAGAGCGAGACCCTGTCTCAAAAAAAAAAAAATTAAATGGAAAAATGAAGATAGCATTTGTTTACGTTTATTAAAAAGAGGACTCCTTCTCTTTCAGGTCACTTGTGCCTGGAGTTTGATACTTCCTACATTAACTGGGTCAGCACGCACTTACAAACTCATTCTCTAACCCAAGTCACTCCAGGAAGCAGCTGAAACATCTTTTCTCAGAGAGGCATACATTTTCACATCTTTTCATTTTAAGTTTGTTCCCAGTGGGGATTTTTTCCCACTTCTACCCAAGAAATCCTGTTACTGAAAATTCTCGCATCAGTTATCTCAACCACAAATGGAAGTTGTTTCTGCACAAATCCCTAGGCAGCTGAGTAGATTTGATTCTCTTGTGTATAAGATCCAACGATAGAGCACTGCAGAGACCTGGGCTCTGTGCCTGGATCTACCACTGATACCTCGAGTTACCTTGAGCAAGCCCTCTGCCTTTCTGGGTTCCTGTGGTCTTACCTGTGAAAAGAGGCAGCTAGATCTAGCTACCAATGAAAGCGACCTTTCAAACTATAATTTTGAAGCAAGCAGAAACGAAAGTTTAAGTTTAAAGGCAGACGGCCACATGCACCACTGGTGGACGTCCCTCTTGACCTTCCTACCAGCAGGCACGGCCACTTTTGTACAAAATAAGTCAATCCTTGGCTGTGAATGGGAGACGAAGAGATGGGTTGGAGGATGGCGAGGAGAAAAGCAAATAATGGACCATAAATGGTGCCAACACGAGTGGTAAGTTTGATGAAAGGAATCTCTACCTCCTATATGTGACAGTAAACTGTGGCATTAAAATAACCTGAGTGGCCAGGCGCGGTGGCTCACGCCAGCACTTTGGGAGGCCGAGGCGGATGGATCACTTGAGGTCAGGAATTCAAGACAAGCTTGGCCAACACGGTGAAACCCCGTCTCTACTAAAAATACAAAAATTAGCTGGGTGTGGTGGCGGGCACCTGTAATCCCACTTACTCGGGAGGCTGAGGCAGGATAATCACTTGAATCTGGGAGGCAGAGGTTGCAGTGAGCGGAGATCGCATCACTGCACTCCAGCCTGGGCGACAGAGCGAGACTCCGTCTCAAACAAACAAACAAACAAACAAATAAAAAACCTGAGAAAAAGTGTAATGTTAAAAGCAAAAGAAACTTCAAAGTATTCTTATAACCTGGTGGTAGGTACCCAACACATTTAATAAATTTAATTGAAACTCCAGATTCAAGACTATTGCTGATAGCAAATTACCTTTATTGCTAGCGTTATTTCCGTAAAATTATGGCCAACACTTTGTAAATTCTCTCAAAGCATGATAGAAAAAAGGAGGAAAGAGAGAGAAAGAGCTTTGGATTCAGTATCAGGAGACCTATGGCTTACAACCCACAACACAGTTAAATGGCTCTTCAACTTTGGGCATACCTCATAGCCCATCTAGGTCTCCATTTTCTCATCTGTGAAAAAGATGGGGAGGCTGGGCATGGTGGCTCACGCCTGTAATCTCAGCACTTTGGGAGGCCGAGGAGAGTGGATCACCTGAGGCCAGGAGTTCGAGACCAGCCCAGCCATAATGGGGAAACCCTGTCTCTACTAAAAATACAAAAATTAGCTGGGTGCGGTGGCGTGCGCCTGTAATCCTAGCTACTCTGGAGGCTGCGGCAGAAGAATCACTTGAACCTGGGAGGCGGAGGTTGCAGTGAGCTGAGATTGCGCCACTGCACTCCAGCCTAGGCAACAGAGTGAGACAATGTCTCAAAATAAAAAAAAAAAGAAAAGAAAAAGAAATAAAGAAATAAAGAAAAAGATGGGGATGCGGGAATGGCAGATTGAGTTGTCTCTAAAATTCTTTTTTTAATTTTTTTTTTAGACGGAGTCTCGCACTGTTGCCCAGGCTGGAGTGCAGTGGCACAATCTCAGCTCACTGCAAGCTCCGCCTCCTGGGTTGCCCCCGGAGTAGCTAGGACTACAGGCACCCGCCACCACACCTGGCTAATTTTTTTGTATTTTGAGTAGAGATGGGGTTTCACCATGTTAGCCAGGATGGTCTCGATCTCCTAACCTCATGATCCGCCCGCCTCGGCCTCCCAAAGTGCTGGGATTACAGGCGTGAGCCACCATGCCTGGCCTGAATTTTTTATTTTATTTGTTTATTTATTTATTTATTTGACACAGGGTCTCACTCTGATGCCTAGGCTGAAGTATAGTGGTGCGATCATGACCCAACGCAGCCTTGACCTCCCCAGCTCAAGCGGATCCCCCCACCTCAGCCTCCCAAGTAGCTGGGTGATATGGTTTGGCTGTGTCCCCACCTACATCTTATCTTGATTTGTAGTTCCCAAAATCTCCACGTGTCACAGGAGGGACCTGGTGAGAGGTAATTGAATCATGGGGGCGGTTATCCCCATGCTGCTGTTCTCATGGTAGTGAGTGAGTTCTCGCGAGATCTGATGGTTTCATAAGGCGCTTTCCCCCCTTTTGCTCTGCACTTCTCCTTCCTGTCATCATGTGGAGAAGCACATGTTTGCTTCCCCTTCCACCACAATTGTAAGTTTCCTGAGGCCTCCCCAGCCATGTGGAACCATGAGTCAATTAAACCTCTTTCCTTTATAAATTACCCAGTCTCAGACAGCCCTTTATAGCAGTGTGAGAACAGACTAATACACTAGGACTACAGGCGTGCACCACCACGCCCAGCTAATTTCAAAATGTTTTGTAGAGATGGGGCCTCACTATGTTGCCTAGGCTGATCTCCTGGGCTCAAGTGATCCTCCCATCTCAGCCTCCCAACGTGTTGGGATTACAGGCATGAGCCACTGCGCCCAGCCCTAAAATTCTTCACTACTCAAAAAACTGTGAGCCAGTTTCTGTAAATTTGAGGGAAGAAAGAGAATATTTTTGCATCATTTGTACCACTGTCATATCAAATAACTTGTTGGATACCTACTTAATGCTATTTCCCCGTCTTCCTTTACTTACAGGATCTGCTCCCTAATTGCTTTTCCTCTTTTAAATGGGTATTTTTAAAAATACGGCTTTTTTTTTCTTGGCTTATAGCCATGGCTTCTTGTCCCATAGTGTTCAGAGCCCGGGAACAATTATCTGGCTTAATTTATGGTTGCCCTGAAGGTAATAACATAAATTGCTCATGATTCAGTTTTACTTGTACTTCCGCTTGCTAAGATCTCCCCCTGTAAAACATTCTTGAATGATAACATAACCATCAGCAGTCCTTTACATTTACATGACATTTTCCACTAGAGTATCTTTCGCATCTATTATATCAGTGATCTATACAGGTTTTGGTAAAGAGTAAGAAAAAGTAAATGACCTCAGTAGTGTGGAGGGGCCCTTTAAAACAGTTTTCTCATTCATTCCTAGATTCTAAAACCTTTTCCAAATCCTCAGAGCCATTACAGCTTGGGCAGAACAGAAAAGGAAGGAACTCAACGAAGTACAGCATCTTTTCAGGCAGAGAGTTCAATGCGCGTCAATCAGATGACCACTGCTGCCTGGTCAGACCTGCTGGGTTTGAGGGTGGAGGGGGTGGGAGAGAAAGAGTGGGAGGAGGAGGGAGAGAGAGAGAAGGAGGTTGTGCCAGTACCTCCAGGCTTAAAAAATCTAAAGAGACACCTCAATCAATCACAATGAATGGGAACTTTTTTGGATCCTGATTCGAACAACTTGTTTAAAAAATTACAGGACAATCGGGGAAATGGAGCACTGACTGGATTTTGGTGATATTCAAGAATAATTGTTATAGTAAGGTCCTTTCTTTCTTTCTTTCTTTTTTTTTTTTTGACAGAGTCTTCCTTTGTCACTCAGACTGGAGAGCAGTGTTGCAATCACGGCTCACTGCAGCCTCAATCTCCTGGGCTCAAGCCATCCTCCAGCCTCAGTCTCTCCAGTAGCTGGGACTACAGGCGCAGCCACAATGCCAGGCTAATTTTTGTATTTTTTGTAGAGACTGGGTCTCTCTGTGTTGCCCAGGCTGGTCTCAAACTCCTGGGCTCAGGTGATCCTTCCTCCAGGGTCTCCCAAAGGGCTGAGATTATGGGTGTGAGCCGCCACGTCCAGCCTGTATTCTTTTTTTTTTTTTTTTTGAGATGGAGTTTCGCTCTTGTTGCCCAGGCTGGAGTACAATGGAGCAATCTTGGCTCACTGCAACCTCCACCTCCCAGGTTCAAGCGATTCTCCTGCCTCAGCCTCCCAAGTAGCTGGGATTATAGGTGCCTACCACCACACCCAGCTAATTTTTGTATTTTTACTAGAGACGGGGTTTCACCATGTTGGACCAGACTGGTCTCCAACTCCTGTCCTCAGGTGATCCGCCTGCCTCTGTCCCGTGTTCTTTTTTGAATAGTTTTTATCTTTTAGGAATTCTAATGGAAATGACAGGATGTCTGGCATTTACTTCAAAATAATCTGAGTTGGAAAGTAGGTGGGATTATAGATGGAATAAGACTGGCCAAAAAGCTAATAACACATGTAGAGTCTGAGGGATGAGGACATGACGTTCATGATCAAATTCTCTCTAACTTGATGTCTGTTTGAAATTTTCCATAACAATTTTTAAACAACAACCAGGAAAAACAAATATTGTGACAAACGAACAATAAGACAGGAAGAAAAAGCCGGATTTTGTGTGTGTTCCATTTCCTACTAGGCAACTCCTCAGGTATATTGAGAAGAAATAAACTTGTATTTTAAGGTAAATAAAAGGAATGAGAAACAGGAAAAGGGAGAAGCCCAGTGCTTTTATTTTCCCAAATAACGCTAATATCACTGCACATTTGCATAACGTTTTATGGTTTCAAAGTACTTTTATCTCATTTGCTCTTGGAAGAAGCCTGGTAAGCATATTTGCTGTCATATATGACATGTGATAATATGTCTTGATTATGTTGTTTTTGCATTAAAAAAACTATTTGCTTTAAACCCCTGAAAATATTTCCTTATTAGTCTCTTAGTTATGCTTAAGGATTTATTTCCTGTCCTAGCTTTTGGATGGAAAACTCAGCCTGAATGTCTATTTACAATATTAGAATGCTTAAATGTTCCCCTCTCATGGTTTGGTGCAATTTTATTTTCCTTTTTAGCTCCTATTTGAGGGAATGTACAGGGGTGGGGGAAACCCCTTTTTTATTTCCTTTGAGTCTACCCAGCTGTTTTATTTTGCGTTTGCTTATTTCCCATCCTTCCAGAGTGTGAAGCCATCAGAAGTGTTCTGTTCTTTTTAATACTTTATCAGCATGTCATTTATTAGCCACATTATTCTTTATCTCTTTCCTGTGAAAGCTTTTAAAGTAGAAATTGATGAAGCCATGTCTTTTGTTACTTACATATTATGCCATCAACATTTACAAGTACATTATAAGATTTAAACATAATATCCTAACTTAATGATCCAATTTTTCTTTTCCTTTTTTTCTTTTCTTTTCTTTTTTTTTTTTTTTGGCAACTCAGGTTCCAGGATTCTACCCTGAGCACAGGAAACAACTAGAGTCCATCCCCCACCGCGCCTCCGCACTACTCCCCGGGTATTAAAAATTCTGAGCCAGTCACAGACCTTTAACAAGGTCAAGAGCACTAAATGCCTTATCTTTATGAGGGCAACACATTCCTAAATTGACATGAAAGACCTGGCTGTGTTTGGCCGGCACTGGTGTTTATGGAGACACAACTGCCATTCAAGCATGCGAGGAATGATACGTCATACCAAGACCGTCCTACAAGGATCCCTAAGCAGTGCATGGATGGTGGAGAAGGGAGTTGCCCCAGGGTGAAGGCTTCCCTGGGCTCTGACAGGGGTTACTGGATGACTCTGCAAATATTAAATATAGCTGCATGAATCACACTACAAAATTCCAGGCCTGAAATCTGGTGTCAGGCATAACAATTTGTTCTCCCTCCCTTGCTCATGAATAGCAAAGAATCAATTGAAGAAATTTTGGTCTGTTTAGAGAGCACTCGTGTTTTGTTCCTCCCTCTGGAACACACGTTCTGCATTTGACATGACACATGCTTCTCAAGTGTTATTTTGTGTTTATTAATCTTTGAACTGAATTGCCAGTCCTTCAACTAGAAAGACATTTTCCCAGAACCCTCCTGACTCATGCTAAGGGTACACAACAGCTGATAAACTCCAGTGACCTCAGAGGAGACAGATGGGCCATGTGGCTTCTAACACCCACGTGGCTGTCTGGACCATGGATGACAGCATAGCCCAGGTTAAGCTGGTTGGCAGAAATGCTCAGGACTTTTCCACATTTACCAAGCTGAAAATAGTGGTTATGTCACCTGCTCTTCCATTCTGTCACATCACTTTCCGTATTATCACCTTCTTTACCACTATCCCTCCTTCCTTGCGTGCGTCCGTGCATAGTTTTCCTTATAATTACAAAATAATATGTGCTCATTGTAATAGTAACAAGAGCTAACATTTATTGATTGCTTATATGGTGAACTCTGCTAAAAGCTTAAAAGTATGAATTCGTTCATCTTCAGCAATTCTGTGGGATAGGTATTTTGATCTCCATGTTGCAAATAAGAAAAGCTTGACCATGAAGGGCTCAGAAAGTTTATCACCCAACCATCCTTTCTGAAAATATTTCCTTCGGGGGGGAAAAAGTAATTCAAGAAAGATAATTAAATTCAAAACATGAAAAAGTGGTAACAAATATAAATAAACTGATAAAATTTATACTGAGATCTTAAGATTAAGACATTTAAGAAACTATTTTAAAGAGAAAGAGAAATGTAGAAAGAATTTTATTGCTCAATTGGAACTGAAATTTTAGATTATTCCTACAAAGCATGAGATGTTTAAGATCTTATCTTATTCCAGAGGGAAAAATTATGGATACTGATTCATTCTAAATGTTTATGGAGAAAGATGTTTAAAAGGTCTTATTAAATTAAAGGCCATCTCCTCTAAACTGCCAAGGTCATCGAAACAAAGAAACTGTCATAGCCAACAAGAACCTAAGGGAGACAGGAGGCTGATGTCGTGTGGTATGTTGACACAGATTGTAAAATTTTGACAAAAACCTGGGAAATGTGCATAAACTACAGATTTTAGCTAATAAAATGTGTCACTATTGGTTCATTAATTTTGGCAAGCATACCATATCCATGGAAGCTATGAATACTAAAGGAAACTGGGTGTACTAGGTGTAGAGTAAACAGAAACTCTCTGTACTGCCTACAGCACTTTCCTTTTTCTTTTTAGAATCTAAGTCCTAAAAACATTACTCTAAAGTAAAAATATTTATTCTAAATAATTCTAAGTTAATTCTAATTTAAAATTAATTTATTCTAAAATATAAAGTTTATTTTTAAAAATAGGAGCAACCTCATAGGGCTGTCGTAAGGATTAAATGAGATCATCAATATAAAAAGGTCTGCATAGGGGCTGGAACATAGCAGGTGTTCAAGGAACATGAGCCTTTACCTGAAAATAGACAAATAGGAAGAAAGCCCAGCTCCGTGGGGTGCACCTGTAGTCTCAGCTACTCTGGAGGCTGACGGAGTAGGATCCCTTGAGGCCAGGAGTTCAAAGGCCAACCTGGGCAACATAGCAAGATCCCATCTCTAAAAAAAAAAAAAAAGAAAAAAAAAGAAATAGTACGTATAACTTTTCAAACAACCAGAAGAGAGTTTTAAAAAAAGAAAATTCAGTGTATAAAAAAAAAATCCTAGGAAATAAGAAAGTAAAAGAAATAATAAAGAGAACAATGTAATAAAAAACATAAAATATCAGAAATCAGTAACTATATTAAATGTGAATGGGTTCAACTCACTATTTATTTATTTATTTATGACAGGGTCTCACTCTGTCACCCAGACTGTAGTGCAGAGGCACAATCATGGCTCACTGCAGCCTCGACCTCCCAAGCTCAGGTGACCCTCCCGCCTGTCACCTGAGTAGCTGGGACTACAGGCATGTGCCACCACGCCCAGTTAATCTTTGTATTTTTGGTAGAGACGGGGTTTCGCCATGTTGTCCAGGCTGCTCTCGAACACCTGGGCTTAAGCCATCCACACACCTCAGCCTCCCAAAGTGCTGGGGTTACA
This sequence comes from Homo sapiens, assembly GCF_000001405.40. NCBI lineage: Eukaryota > Metazoa > Chordata > Mammalia > Primates > Hominidae > Homo > Homo sapiens. The sequence continues at coordinate 37,336,844 of NC_000021.9, read as the reverse complement.
GGTGTGAGCCACCACACTCAGCCTCAACTCTGTTAAAGGGAAACATTTCACACCCCTTAAGACGTCTACTATAAAAAATAAAAATAAAACCAAAAACTCCACAAAAATAACAAATGTTGGCAGAATGTGAAGTAATTAGAACGCTTGTGCACAGTTGATGGGAAAGTAAAATGGTGAAGCCACTATTGAAAACAGTATGGCAGTCCCTGGAAAAATTAAACAGAATTACTATGAGATCCAGTAACTCAACTTCTGGGTATATACCTCAAAGATTTGCAAGCAAGATCTTGAAGGGATATTTACATATCTATGTCCATTGTAGCATTGTTCACGAGAGCCAAAAGGTAGAAGCAAATAAATGGATAAACAAAATATAAGGCAGGCGAGGTGACTCATGCCTGTAATCTCAGCACTTTGGGAGGCCAAGGTGGGAGGATCACTTGAGCCCAGGCATTGGAGACCAGCCTGGGCAACATAGCGAGACCTGGAATTTACAAAAATATTTAAAAATTAGCCAGGCCTGATGGTGCACCTCTGTAGTCCTTGGGAGACTGAGGTGAGAGGATCACTTAAGCTGGGAGATCAAGGCTGCAATGAGCTGCGATAGTGCCACTGTACTCCAGCCTGAGCGACAGAGTGAGACCCTGTCTCAAAAAAAAAAAAAAAAAAAAAAAAAAAAGGCTGGGCGCAGTGGCAGCTCACTCCTGTAATCCCAGCACTTTGGGAGACTGAGGCAGGTGGATAACTTGAGGTCAGGAGTTCAAGACCAGCCTGGCCAACATGGTGAAACCTTTCTCTACTTAAAAATACAGAAAATTAGTGATAGGCACTTGTAATCCCAGCTACTCGGGAGGCTGAGGTAGGAGAATCACTTGAACCCGGGAGGCAGAGCTTGCAGTGAGCCAAGATCGAGCCACTGCACTCCAGCCTTGGCAACAGAGCAAGACTCTGTCTCAAAAGAAAAAAAAAACGTAGTTTACACATGCAGTGGAGTATTATTCAAACTTAAAAAGGAAGCAGATTCTGACAAATGTATGGCATGGATGAACATTGAGGACATTATCCTAAATGAAATAAACCAGTCACAAAAAGACAAATAATGCTGTATGATTCCATGTACATGCGATGCCTAGAATAGGCAAAATCATAGAAACAGAAAGTAGAATGGCGGCTCTCAGCAGCTAAGGGTAGGGGGCAATGGGGAGTTGTTTAATGGGTACAGAGTTTCAGTTTTGCAAAATGAAAAACCTCTAAAGATGGATTGCGACAGTTGCACAACAATGTGAGTATAGTTAATGCTACTAAACAGTATGTTTAAACATGATAAAGATGGTAAATTTCATGTGTCATTTACCATAGTTAAAAAACTTTTAAATACTCTTAGGCTGAATGAAAACATAAACATCCAGCAATAACATAATTGTCATAAGGGAAATGCAAATTAAAACAACAATGAGATACCACTACATACCTATCAGAATGTCAGACACTGAAAACACTGATATGGTTTGGACTTGTGTCCCCACCCACATCTCATGTCGAATTGTGATCCTCAGTGTTGGAGGAGGGACCTGGTGGAAGGTGATTGGATCATGACCCCCTCACTGTTCTCGTGATAGTGAGTTCATTCTCATGAAAGCTGGGGGAGGTTTTTGTGTGTTTTTGTTTTGTTTTGTTTTGTTTCTGAGATGGAGTCTCGCACTGTCGCTGAGGCTGGAGTACAGTGGCACAATCTCAGCTCACTGCAACCTCACCTCCCAGGTTCAAGCGATTCTCCTGCTTCAGCCTCCCAAGTAGCTGGAATTACAGGTGCCCAATACCACCCCCAGCTAATTTTTCTGTATTTTTAGTAGAGACAGGGTTTCACCATATTGGCCAGGCTGATCTAGAACTCCTGACTTCAAGTGGTCTGCCTGCCTCAGCCTCCCAAAGTGCTGGGATTACAGGTGTGAGCCACCATGCTGGCCAAAATTTGGTTGTTTAAAAGTGTGTGGCACCTCCCGCTTTGCTCTCTTTCTCCTGCTCCAGCCATGTAGGACTTGCCTGCTTCCTCTTTGCCTTCTGCCATCATTGAAAGTTTCCTGAGGCCTCCCCAGCCATGCTTTCTGTGCAGCCTAAGGAACTGTGAGCCAATTAAACCTCGTTTTTTCATAAATTACTCAGTTTTGGAAAGTTATTTAGAACAGTGTGAGAACAGACTAATACACACCAACAGTAAATGCTGGCAAGGACATGCAGCAACAGGGACTCTCATTCATTGCTGGTAGGAAAGCAGAATCAAGAGCCCCTTTGGAAGACATTTTGTCAGTTCCTTTTTTTTTAATACCTGCAGATTTTAGTATCAAGGCAACTTCTTAAAATGCTATTCTTCTTTAAGTAGAAGAATTTCAGTTTCTCTTCTCAAATATTTTATTTTATTTTTTTATTTCCATAGGTTATTGGGGAACAGGTGGTATTGGGTTACACAAGTAAGTTCTTTAGTGGTGATTTGTGAGATCTGGGTGCACCCATCATGCGAGCAGTATACACTGCACCATATTTCTAGTCTTTTATCTCTGATCCTCTTTGCACCCTTTCCGCCCTGAGTCCCCAAAGTCCATTGTGTCATTCTTATGCTCAATGCTTAACTCATAGCTTAACTCTCACTTATGAGTGAGAATATACAATGTTTGGTTTTCCATTCCTGAGTTACCTCACTTGAATAATAGTTTCCAATCTCATCCAGGTTGCTGCAAATGCTATTAATTCATTCCTTTTTATGGCTGAGTAGTATTCTGTTTTATATATACATATATCTCAATCACAGTTTCTTTATCCACTCATTGATTGATGGGCATTTGGGTTGGTTCCACATTTTTTGCCATTGTGAATTGTGCTGCTATAAACATGCGTGGGCAAGTATCTTTTTCGTATAATGACTTCTTTTCCTCTGGGTTAACATCCAGTAGGGGGATTGCTGGATCAAATGTTAGTTCCACTTTTAGTTCTTTAAGGAATCTCCACACTGTTCTCCATAGCAGTTGTACCACTTTACATTCCCACCAGTAGTGTAGAACATTTTGACAGTTTCTTACAAAACTAAACATGCTCTTACCAAATGACCCAGCAATCACACTCCTTAGTTTTTCCCAAATTAGCTGAAAACTCGTGTCTACATAAAAACCTGTACATGGATGTCTATAGTAACTTTATTCATAATTGCCAAAACTTGGAAGCAAACAAACTGTCTTTGGGTAAGTAAATGGATAAATACACTGTGGTACATCCAGACAAAGGAATATTATCCGGAGCTAAAAAGAAAGGAATTATCAAGGCATGAGAAGACATGGAGGGTGGGGAGGTGGGCAAGGGTAATGGGTACAAAAGAATAGAAAGAATGAATGTTATCTACTATTCGGTAGCACAATACGGTGAGTATAGTCAATAATAACTTAATTGTACATCTTAAAATAACTTAGAGTGTAATTGGATTGTTTGTAACTCACTCGAAGGATAAATGTTGGAGGGGATGGATACCCCATTCCCTGTGATGTGCTTATTTCACATTGCATGCCTGTATCAAAATGTTTCATGTATCCCATAAATATATACACCTACTATGTACCCACAAACATTAATTAAATTAAAAATAAAAATAAATAAGGCATGGAAGAAACATAAAGGCAAATTACTAAGTGAAAGAAGCCAATCTGGAAACGCGATATACTCTGTGATTCCAACTCTATGACATTCTGGAAAAGGCAAAATTATGGAGACAGTAAAAAGATTAGGGATTGTCAGGGACTTGGGGAGAGAGAGGAATAAATAGATGAACACGGGGGATTTTTAGGGCAGTGAAACTCTCCTGTTCAATACTGTAATGATGGTGCATTTCATTCTACATTTGCCCAAACCCATGGAATGTACAATGCCAAGAAGAAGCCTTAATGTAAACTGTGAACTTGGGGTGATATTCATGCATCAGTGTTAGTTCATCGATTGTAACAGCTATACCACTATTGTAGGGAATGTTGAGAGTGGAGAGCCTATGCATGTGGGGGTGAGGAGTGTGTATGGGAACTCTCTGTACTTTCCATTAAACTTTGCTATGAACCTAAAACTGCTCTTAAAAATAGTCTATTAAAATTATTTTTAAAGCCAACAATATGATGTTCATCAGATACACAGTAACCAAAACAGTTTTTGAAAATAAGAAATAGCTAGGGGCAGGCCAGGCGCAGTGGCTCTCGCCTGTAATCCCAGCATTTTGGGAGGCCAAGGCGGGCAGATCACCTGAGGTCAGGAGTTTGAAAGCAGCCTTGATCAACATGGTGAAACACCATCTCTACTACAAATACAAAAATTAGCTGGGCACTGTGGCATCCGCCTGTAATCCCAGCTACTAGGGAGACTGAGGCAGGAGAATCGCTTGAACCAGGGAGGCAGAGGTTGCAGTGAGCTGAGATCTCGCCATTGCACTCCAGCCTGCGCAACAACAGGGAAACTCCATCTTAAAAAAAAAAAAAGAAGAAGAAGAATAAATAGCTGGGGGCAATGGCTCGCACCTATAACCCCACCACTTTGGGAAGCTCAGACGGGCAGATGGCTTGAGTCCAGGAGCTGGAGACCAGCCTGGCCAAAATGTTGAAACCCTGTCTCTACAAAAAAATGCAAAAAAAAAAAAAAAAAAAAAAATTAGCTGGGTATGGTGGAACATGCCTGTAGTACCAGCTACTTGGGAGGCTGAGATAGGAGGATCACTGGAGCCGAGGGGTCGAGGCTGCAGTGAGCCATGATCATGCCACTGCACTCCAGCTTGGGCAACAGAGTAAGACTCTGTCTCAATTTAAACAAAGAAAAGAAAGAAAGAGAATAAGAAAATAATGGATGAACAACAGCAAATGCAAACTAAAAGAAATATAGGTGGCAATATGAATATCAGACAAAATATAATTTTATGATAAAGCACCTTAAGAGAGAGAGCTAAAGAGAATATATACATTGATAAAAGATCCAATGCACCAAAAAGATGGTAGCTCTGAATCTTTATAAAACAATATATTATCAAAATACAAAATTTAAAAATTCTTCTGGGATAAAGTAAGAGAGAGAGCTTTTTCTTTTTAACCTCTGTGTCAGTATTGGATCCATATTTTATGGTCAATCTACCACTCTAAATAAGCGCTCATTTGTCAAAAAGGATCTAGTCTTAACGTTTGATAGATATGTTAATTTGTCCTCCAAAAATGCTGTATCAGTTAATATTTCCACCAATGATAAGGATTTTTCTCCAAGTCTTCACTGACACTAGATAATATCCTTTTTTTTTTTTCTTGAGACAGGGTCTCACTTTGCCACCCGTGCTGGGGTACAATGGTGTAATTACGTCTCACTGCAGCCTCAGCCTCCTGGGCTCCAGTGATCTTCCTGCCTCAACCTCTCAAATAGCTGGGACCCCAAGTGTGAGCCACTACACTGGCTAATTTTTGTATTTTTTGTAGAGACTGAGACTCGCTATGTTGCCCAGGCTGGTCTTGAACTCCTGGGCTCCAGAGATCTGCCTGCCTAGGCTTCCCAAAGTGCAGGGATTATAAACGTAAGCCACCGCACCTAGCTTGGATAGTATCATTTTTAAAAAAGCAATTGTTAAATTGATAGGAGGAAAATGGTTTCTTGATTTTCTTTGCATTTTCCTATTCACCAGTGATGTTAAACTTTTTCTCCTAATCACATTTGCCAGAAATGTTAATATTTTGTGTCTGTATTGTTTTTGAGTTTAGTGTCTTACTTAGACTATCCCTGGGCATAGTCTCTTTGATTTTCTCTTGGTGCTCTTGTTGTTTCGTTTGGAACTATGATTCATTTTACTTTTATTTTTTGTTTGAAGTGGCTATCTATTCCACAGTTTACAACTGAATAGCCATTTATCTCCAAACCATTTACTGAATTTACTTTACCCCAAAGTTGAAATACCCGTACAACCATAACTCTTCCTTTTCTTTTCATTTCTTTTCTTTTTTTTTTTTAAATCAGCAGGGTCTTGCTCTATTGCCCAGGCTAGAGTACAGTGGCATAATCATAGCTCACTGCAATCTCTGCCTCCCAGGCTCAAGCGAACCTCCCATCTCAGACTCCCGAGTAGCTGGGACTACAGGCCCATGCCACCATGCCCTGCTAATTTTTTTCTATTAACACTTTTAATTCCATTACTTTGGTAGTCTCTTTTTATACCTAATAGGGCAATTTCCACCTTGTCATTCTTTTCAAAAACATCTTGACAATATTTAGTATTTACTCTCCCAGCTGAACTTTTAAGTTAAAAAAATTCCTGTTAAGGTTTTGATAGGAATTGCATTGAATCTATAACTTTTGTTTTGTTTTGTTTTTGAGACAGAGTCTTGCTCTGTCTCCCAGGCTGGAGGGAAATGGTGCAATCTTGGCTCACTGCAACCTCCGCCTCCCAAGTTCAAGCGATTCTCCCGCCTCAGCCTCCCAAGTAGCTGGGATTACAGGCACCTGCCACCGCGCCCAGCTAATTTTTGTATTTTTAATAGAGACGGGGTTTCACCATGTTGGTTAGGCTAGTCTCAAACTCCTGACCTCAGGTGATCCACCTTCCCTGGCCTCCCAGAGTGCTGGGATTACAGGCGTGAGCCACCGTGCTTGGCCAAATCTATAACTGTTTAGGGAGAAATGATGCAGTATGATGCAGCCATGGTTAAAAAGACAGGAGACAGGCACCAGAAACTCAGTCTTTCTGCTCTGACAAGTTAGCGCAACTCAGGAATCTTTAATTTATTTATCTCTAAAGCAGAAGTAATAACAATACTCATGTCATGGGGTTATGATGAGAATTCAGTGGAATAATGCATTTAAAATGCCTGCCACATAATAATGCACCATAAATGTAACCCTCCTATCCAAGAACAGACAGCCCTTGGCCATATGTTCAGAATGTCTTTCAATAATGTCAGCAGTTTTCTTCATATAGGTCTCAAACATTTATTAAACTTGGACTATTTTTTAGCTTTTGGTTGCTGTTGGGAATGGAATTTTTTCCGTTTAGGAACTATTTTCTGATTGGTTTCTGCTGGTATATAGAAATATTATTTTTAATAAAATTGAAATTTGTTTCCTCTTAGTTGGTATGGGGAGGTGTTTATCTGGTAGCTGGTTACCTTAATGACCTCTACTGCTGGTTCCAATAGGTTTTCAGTTTATTTTTTCAGATTTTCTGGGTAGACAACACTGTCATGCACAAATAATTTCTTTCACATACATATGTGAAATATATATATAAAATATATGTTAATGTATAATACATATAATATATAATTATACATATAATTGTATATTATTATAAATATAAATTTATAAATATAAATATTAAGTTATAATATTTTATAATATAAATATAAATATAAATTATAAATATAAATATATTATTATAAATATAAATATAGTATATAAATATATATTTATATAATATATAAATATATTATATATATTATATTTTATATATTATATATATATTATATATATAATATATAATATATAATATATAATATAAAATATATTATATTATATATATAATATAATACCATAATATAATTTATATAATATATATAATATAATATATATTATATAATATATATTATTATATATATTATATTATATATATAATATAATATATATAAAATATAATATATTATATAATATATATATTAAATATAATATATTGTATAATATATATAATACATATAATATATATCATATGATATATTATATATAATATAATATATTATATATTATATTATATAATATATTATATATTATAATATATAATATATTATATATTATATTTTATATTATATTATATTATATATTATATTATATTGTATATTATATTATATAATATATAATATAATATATATTATATTATATATTATATTATATATATTATATTAAATATATTATTTAATATATATATTTATATATAATATATTAATATATAATATATTAATCAATCAATGCTATAGATATATGTTTTATATATATCTATAGCATTGATTGGAACCTCCAAAATAATTTCAAATAATCCCAGTAGTAGGGAATGTGCATATCTTCTCATAACATTTTTGGAAAGCTTTTACATAAACTTTAAAAAAACAATACATTGTATGTTTAGAAAAAGGCAAGTGGGAAATTAATAAACATTATAAAGGGTTTGATTCCAAAACACTCTGAATAGATTAGAATAGTTTCAGTCCAGTCACATATCTAAGTATTTATTGTGCAAATAGTGAAACCCTGAAGAGCAGATGATGACAATGCATCAAATGAAGATTAATTTATACAGGTTGAGGCTTCATAATCTGAAAAATCCAAAATCCCAAATGCTCTAAAATCCAAAACTCTTTGAGCCACTGACATGACACCACAAGAGGGAAATCCCACACCTGACCATCCTGATGGGTTACAGTCACAGCACAGTCAAAAGTTTGTTTCAGGCCAGGCGCGGTGGCTCGCGCCTGTAATCCCAGCAATTTGGGAGGCCCAGGCGGGTGGATCACCTGAGACCAGGAGTTTGAGACCAGCCTGACCAACATGGTGAAACCTCGTCTCTACTAAAAACACAAAAATTAGCCAGGCATGGTGGCATGTGCCTGTAATTTCAGCTACTCAGGAAGCTGAGGCAGGAGAATCGCTTGAATCTAGGAGGTGGAGGCTGCAGTGATCCGAGATGACAGAGCAAGACCCTGTCTCTAAAAAAAAAAAAAAGTTTGTTTCATACACATCATTATTTAAAATATTGTATAAAATTACTTTCAGGCTATGTGGAGAAGGTGTATATGAAACATAAATGAATTCTTTTTTGTTTAGACTTGGATCTCATTCCTAAGATATCTCATTGTGTGTATGCAAATGTTCTAAAATCTGAAGAAATTCCCAAATCTGAAACACTTGCTGGTCTCAAGCATTTTGGATTAGGGATACTCAATCTATGCTTAGTAGATTCAGCCGAGGCAAGAATGTATGACCACACATGTTCATGAAAGATTTTAAAATAACTTTTACAAAAATTATTGCATATTCATTGAAAAAATATCATGTACAAAAATATATAAAGAAAAGCTTTCCCTTGCTGTGTTCTCCATTCCACTTCCCAGAGGTTGAAGGTATCAAGCTGATAACTTCAAGTAAATTAACTGCCTATTGAAACAAAGTCTTTAAAAGATGACAACTCGACCAGGCGTGGTGGCCCACACCTGTAATCTCAGCACTTTGGGAGGCCAAGGTAGGACGATGACTTGAGCCCAGGCATTTGAGACCAGCCTGGGCAACATAATGAGACCTCATTTCTACAAAAAAATCAAAACATTAGCCAGATTTGGTGGCGTGTGCCTGTGATCCCAGCTACTTGGGAGGCTGAGACGGGAGGATCACTTGAGCCTGGGAGATTGAGGCTGCAGTGAGCTGTGATCACACCATTGCACTCCACCTTGTCTCAAAAAAAAAAAAAAAAGATGAGAACTCAGTCCAGACACCTGCATTGTAACACACACAATGTCCACCATTCAACTGCAAATTCTAGATATATAAAAAATCAGGAATATGCAGGAATATGTGACCTATACCCAGGAGAAAATTGGTCAATGGAAGAGACCCTGGAATGACAGCTATGAAGAAACTAGTAGACAAAGACCTTAAAACAGATAATACAACTATGTTTAGAAAAGTTAGTGAAAACATGTACATAACGAAATGAGCAATTTTAGAAAGTAAAAAAAGAACCAAATGAAACTGCTAGAGATGAAAATACAATATACGAAATAAAAATTTTACTGGCTAGAACTAAACAAAATTAGACCTTGCAGAATAAAAAAATATCAGGCAGCTCGAAGACATAGACATAGAATTCACCCCATAAATACGTACAATTATTATGTATCAATGTAAAATTAAGAAATAAATTTCCCATCAGAAAAAAGGAAATGAGATACATCTGCAATAAAACATATAGAGAAAAAAAACGGGAAAAAAAACCGAACAGATTTTGTGACCTTTAGAAAGTATAAGCTAGTTTAACAGACATTTAATTGGAGACCTAAAAAGAGAGGAAGGAGCGAAGAACAGAAAATGGGTTTGAAAAAATAATGGCTAAAATTTTTTTCTAAATTTGAAAACAATAAATACATAGACCCAACACCCAACATACACACAACATCCACCAATCTAAATACATTATAATCCAGTTACTGAAAACTAATATTAGAAGAAAGATTTTAAATGCAGCTCTAGGGGAAAAAAGACACATTATATACAAAGCACAAAAAACATTACAGTAAACTGTTTTTCTTTTTTCTTTTTTTTTTTGGAAATGGGGTCTCGCTCTGTTACCCAGGATGAAATTCAGTGGCACAATCACAGCTCACTGTAGCCTCGACCTCCCAGGTTCAGGCGGCCCTCCCACCTCAGCCTCCCAGGTAGCTGGGACTACAAGCATGCAGCACTGCGCCCAGCTAATTTTTTAAATTAACTGTAGAGACAGTTCTCACTATATTGCCCAGGCTGGTATTGAACTCAGGGGCTCAAGCCATCCTCCCGCTTTGGCCACCCAACGTGCTGGGGTTACATGTATAAGCCACTATGCCCAGCCCCTTTTTTGTTCCTTTTCCAACTTTTATTTTAGAATCAGGGATACATGTGCGTGTTTGTTATGAAGGTATATTGCATAATGCTGAAGTTTGGGGTATGACTAAACCTATCACCCGGTAGTGAGCACCCAATAGGTAGTTCTTCAGCCCTTGCCCCGCTCCTTCTCTCCCTTATCTAGTAGGCTCCATTGTCTATTTTTGTCATCTTTATGTCCATGCGTACTCAAATTTAGCTCCCACTTGTAAGTGAAAACATGCAGTATTTAGTTTTCTGTTTCTGTATTAGTTTTTTTAGGATAATGGCCTCCAGCTGCAAACACATTGCTGCAAAGGACATGATTTCCCTCTTTTTAATGGCTACATAGTATTCCATGGTGTATTTGTACCGTGTTTTCTTTATCCAATCCACTATTTTTTTTTCTTCGAGATGGAGTTTCAGTCTTTTGCCCAAGCTGGAGTGAAGTGGCGCGATCTCGGCTCACTGCAACCTCTGCCTCCTGGGTTCAATTGATTCTCTTGCCTCAGCCTCCTGAGTAGCTGGAATTATAGGCACCCGTCATCATGCCCGGCTAATTTTTGTATTTTTAGTAGGGGTTTTGTCATGTTGGCCAGGCTGGTCTCGAATTCCTGACCTCAGGTGATCCACCCGCTTAGGCCTCCCAAAATGCTGGGACTACAGGCATGAGCCACCGCGTCTGGCCCCAATCCATTATTGATGAGCACCTGGGTTGACTCTGTGTCTCTGCTATTGTGAATAGCACTGTGATGAACATACGGGAAGCGTGTGTCCTTTGGGTAGAAAAATTTATTTTCCTTTGGGTATATTCCTAGTAATGGGATTATTGGGCAGAATGATAGTTCAACTCTTACTTCTTTCAGAAAGCTCGGGTGGGCACAGTGGCTTACGCCTGTAATTCCAGCACTTTGGGCGGCTGAGGCAGGAGGATGGCTTGAGCCCAGGAGTTTAGGATCAACCTGGGCAACATAGTGAGACCCAAAAAAAATTAGCCAACCATGGTGGTACACGCCTGTAGTTTCAGCTACTTGGAAAGCTGAGGTGGGAGGATTGCTTGAGCCCAGGAGGTTGAGGTTTCAGTGAGCCATGTTGACACCACTGCATTCCAGCCTGGGGGACAGCGTGACACCCTGTCTCAAAAAAAAAAAAAGAGAGAGAGAGAGAGAGAGAAATCTCCAAACTGTTCTCCACAGTGGCTGGATTAATGTACATTTTCACTAACAGTGTGTAAGCATTCCCTTTTCCCCTCAGCCTTGCCAACATGTTATTTTTTGACTTTTTGATCAAAGGCATTCTGACTGTGTGAGATGGTGTCGCACTGTGGTTTTGAGCTGCATCTTTCTGATGATTAGTGATGATGAGCATCTTTTCATGTGTTTGTGGGCCACTCGGATGTCTTCTTTGCAGAGGTTCATGTCCTTAGCCTCTACAGTGGACTTCTTATCAGAAACTATGAAAGCCAGAAGGAATTGGAGGACACCTTTAAAGTCTTTAAATTTGTTTTTAAACCTGTCAATTTAGAATTTTATATCCAGCAAAAACATCCCTCAAAAATGAAGGTGAAAAAAAACTGTTTCAGATGAATAAAAGCTGACCAAGCCTGTCAGCAGCAAGTCTGCACTAGAGGAAATATTAAAGAAAGTTCTTAAAGCTGAAGGAAAATGATACCAGATGCAAACATGGATCCACACAAAGGAATAAAAAGCAGTGGGGGCCAGGCACAGTGGCTCGCGCCTGTAATCCTGGCACTTTGAGAGGCCGAGACAGGCAGATCAGAAGGTCAAGAGATCGAGACCATCCTGGCCAACATGGTGAGACCCCATCTCTACTAAAAATACAAAAAATTAGCCGGGCGTGGCGGCACACACCTGTAGTCCCAGCTACTTGGGAGGCTGAAGCAGGGGAATCGCTTGAACCCAGGAGGCAGAGGGTGCAGTGAGCCAAGATTGTGCCACTGTACTCCAGCCTGGCAACAGAGCAAGACTCTGTCTCAAAATAATAATAATAATAATAATAGTAATAATAATAAATAAGTAAAAAAATAAAATAAAATAAAGCCGGGCATGGTGGCTCACGCCTGTAATCTCAGCACTTTTGGGAGGGTGAGGCAGGAGGATTGCTTGAGGCCAGGAGTTTAAGACCAGCTTGGACAACATAGTGAGAACCCATCTCTATATAAAAAAATAAAATAAAATAAAGCCAGGGGTGGTGGTCCATGCCCATAATCCCAGCACTTTGTGAGACCAAGGCAGGAGGATCTCTTGAGCCCAGGAGTTCAAGACCAGACTGAGCAACATAGTGAGACCTTGTCTCTACAAAAACTACAAATAAAAAATTAGCTGGCCATGCCTGGTGGCATGCACCTGTAGTCCCAGCTACTCAAGAGGCTGAGGTGGGAGGAAGGCCTGAGCCTGGGAGTTCGAGGCTGCAGTGAGCCATGATCGTGCCACTGCACTCTAGTTGGAGCAACAAGCAAGACTCTGTCTCAAAAAATAAAATAAAATATAAAATAAGTAAATAAGCACTGGGAAATTGTAAATATGTGGGTATGAATTAAATGTAGTTTTCTTGTATATTTAACTTTTCTTTAAGAGATAATTGACTCTCTAGAGCAATGTTTGTCACTTTTGTATTAACATCCTCCCAAGCAGCTTTTTAAGGCATTTTAATAGAATCTTCCCCACCCCTGGTGACAGGGGAGCAATATCATTTCTGCTAGAATGCATGGGCTAACAAAAATGATAATAACAACAACATATTGTGGAGTTACTTACATATGTGGCACTAAAATATCTAACGTTAACTGCAGAGAGGATTGGAAGGGAGACAACGGGAGTTCAAGATTCTTTGACTTTTTCCAGAAATAAGGCCCCCAGAAGCCTGCTACTTCCATTCACTGGCCAGAACTGTGTGTCATGCCCATCCATAAATGCAATCGAGGCTGGGAAAGTGAAACATTCAGTTTCACTCTACAATAATCACAGGAAGTAAGGGGAAAAGACTGGGATTGGAGGTTGAGTCAGATAGCCTGTACGGTGTCTGTCACATCCCACCAATGCTTGGAGCTGATGACTTTCTGTAGCATGTGGGTTACAGCCCCCAGACATCAGAACTTTCACTTATAAGATGAATGCGCAAAGTTCGCAGTTGAATGGCATTTCTTTGAAGCAAACATGAGCAACAGTTGAACCCATTTTTTTCCCATTAAGTTAATTATCTTGTAGTTAACTGTTCAAATAATTATTGGTTTCTTAGCTATGTATTTTTCTGTTTGAAAAAGCTTTAACATGACTCTTTAAGATGTAGTAAGAATTTTTTTTCTTTTTTTTAGGTTAGAGCATACTTACATATTGCTTTTATGTTGCAAAATTGTGATATTCACATCCATGTTGGCACACTTGTCAGTTAGAGCTGTCTACCATAAGGACCCATCCTTCCTAAGACCCCTTAGGTTTTTAAAGAACTTTTAGGCTTCACGGAACATGGTTGAGAATCCAACTAATCTACTGTTTGATTTCTAATATAAAAATTGTCAATATTATTAAGAGAGGCAGTATATTTTAAAACAGTGCCATCCAATAGAAGTTTCTGTAATAATGGTAATATTCTATGCGTGTAGTATTGAGTGGCTTGTACAAGCCACTACTAGCATGTGGCTAGTGGCTACAAGCAGAATTTTATAATTTGGGGTAATAATTAAGTTAGTAATGAAACTTTAATTAACTTAAATTTAAATAAACACATGTGGCTAGTGGCTACCATATTGGACGGTGCAGCTCTGGTAGATAAGGCCATACATTAACCCCGGAGACAGATTGCCTGGGACATACTGGGACAGCCTCCATCACTTGCTAGTGATGTGGCAGATTGTGGCACCTTGTCGTGGCAGATTGTGAAATTGTCCACACTCCATGTATTGTGAAATTCTCCCACTCCATGTATGAAGATCTTTGAGTTGCCTCCTCCACATAAACCCGTGGCTTGGTCTTGCTTTGTTCAGTTGAACTATAGCAAATGTGATACAAGCAGAGACTCGCACTGCTCAGGGCAATGGGGCTTGCCCTCTCTTTCTGCTTTTGGAGCTATGTGACCACCACTAAATGAACAAAACTAAATCCCTCTACTATTATCCCTTTATAGTTTCATTAACATTTTAGAATTAGCTTGTCAAATTCACACACACACACACACACACACACACACGCACACCCCAAATATACACACCGTTAGGAATTTGACATCGCATTGAGTGCATAAACCCATTCAGAAGGAAATGACAACTTCTTAAAATTGAATCTTCCAACTCATGAACACAATGTATCTTTCCATAAACTTAGGATCTCTTAAATGTTTCTTAATAAAGTTTTATAATTTTGTCCTTCTATTCTTAGTTTGCCAATAAGGTTTTTTTTGGCACTTTTCTGTAGATTTAATTTAAAAAATAAAATAGAAAAAAGAAATGAACAGTATATTCTGTTTTCTGGAAGATATTGTGGAGAATGGGTATCATTTCTCTCTCGAATATTTGATAGAACTCACCAGCAAAACCAACTGGACATGGAACATTTTTTGAGAAGGTTATTACTTATTGGTCTACTCAGATTATTCTTTCTCCTTGCATGAGCGTTGGTAA
The DNA here is from genome assembly GCF_000001405.40 of Homo sapiens. NCBI lineage: Eukaryota > Metazoa > Chordata > Mammalia > Primates > Hominidae > Homo > Homo sapiens. The sequence continues at coordinate 37,321,558 of NC_000021.9, read as the reverse complement.
CTTGTGTGTTTCATGGAATTCACTGACATCATCTGAGTTATCATATTTGTTGCATGGAATTGTTCATAAATTTTTTTAATTATTATTATTTATTTATTTATTTATTTATTTATTTATTTATTTATTTTTAAGACAGAGCCTCGCTCTGTCGCCCAGGCTGGAGTGTAATGGCCTGATTTCGGCTCACTGCATTCTCTGCCTCCTGGGTTCAAGCCATTCTCCTGCCTTAGCCTCCCAAGTAGCTGGGATTACAGGTGTCCACCACCACGCCCAGCTAATTTTTTGTGTTTTCAGTAGAGACAGGGTTTCACCATGTTGGCCAGTCTTGACCTCAAGTGATCCACCTGCCTTGGATTCCCAAAGTGCTGAGATTACAGCCGTGAGCTGCCTCGCCTGGCCCTCTTTATTATCTTTTTACTGTCCATGGAATCAACAGTGATGACCTCTTTCTCATTTCTAGTATTAGCCATTTGTATATTCTTTCTTTTATTCTTAGTTTGGCTAGAAGTTAATCATTTGTATTGATCTTTTCAAAGAATCAGCTTTTGGTTTTGTTAATTTTCTCTGTTGTTTTTGATTGCATTGGTTTCTCCTCTAATTTTTACTAGTTCTTTCCTGCTTGCTTTAGGCTCTTCTCTTCTCTAGTTTCCTGCAGTAGAATCTTAGATTTTTTATTTTAGGTTCTTTTTTTCCCTAATATGTGCATTTCATGCTATAAATTTTCTTGCAGCTCACAAATTTTAATAAATTGTATTTCGTTTTTCATTTAGTTCAAAATAGTGTAAATTTTCTCTTAAACCTTCTTCTTTGACTCATATGCTATTTAGAAGTGTTTTTGTTTAATGTCCAAATATTTGGGAATTTCCAGCTGTCTTCTGTTATTGGTTTCTAGTTTAATTCTATTGTGTTGTGAGAATATCCTTTGTATGATTTCTATCCTTTTAAATTTGTTAAGGTATGCTTTATGACCAAGAATATGATCTCTGTTGGTGAATATTCCATGTGAACTTGAGAAGAATGGGTATTCTGCTGTTTTTGGATGAAATAGTCTATAAACATCAATTAGATCCAGTAGATTAATGGTGCAGTTGACTGATGGTTGATTAATACACAGTTCAGCCATATCCTTACTGATTTTCTGCCTGCTTGATCTATCACAATAGATCTTAATTTGTCTATTTTTCCTTGCAGTTCTATCCATTTTCGTCTTAGCTATTTTGGTGCTCTGTTGGTGGTTGCATACATTTTAAGGATTGCCACATCTTCCTGAAGAATCATGTAAAGTCCTATTTATCCCTGAATGTTTTCCTTTCCCTGAAGTTTGCTCTGTCTGAAATTAACATAGTTACTTCAACTTTCTTCTAACTAGTGTTAATATGGCATATTCTTCCCCATCTCTTTACTTTTAACCAGTCTATGTCTTTATGGTTAAATTGGGCTTTTTGTTGATGACATGTAGTTGGGTCATAGTTTTGGGTGTGCTTTTCTTAATTGTAGTAAAAGACACAAAACACAAAATTTACATCTTAACCATTTTTAAGTGTACAGGTTAGTAGTGTGAAGTATATATTCACATTATTGTGCAACCAATCCTCAGAGCTTTTTCATTTTGCAAAAACAAAGCTATATACCCATTAAACCACTCTCCATTTCCCCCTCCCCTTAGCGCCAGCAATTATCATTCTGTTTTCTGTTTCCATGAGCTTGACTACTCACAATACCTTAAATAAGTGGAATCCTATCATATTTGTCTTTTTGTGACTGGCCTGTTTTACTCAGCATAATGTTCTCAGTGTTCATTCATGTCATAGCATATGTCAGGATTTCCTTCCTTTGTAAGGTTGAATAATATTCTATTGTATGTATATGCCACATTTTGTTTATCCATTCATCCATTGATGGATATTTGGATTGCTTCCATCTTTTTAAGTTTTTGTGAATAACAACGCTATGAACACACATGTACAAATATCTCTTCAAGCTTCTACATTCAATTCTTTTATATCTATACCTAGAAGGGGAATTGCTCAATCATATAAAACTCTATTTTAAGTTTTTTGTAGAATTGCCATACTATTTTCTATAGTGGCTACAACATTTTACATTCCCATCAACAGTGCACAGGATTCCAACTTTTCCACATCCCTGCCAATATTTGTTATTTTCTGTATTATTGATAGTAGCCATTCTAATGGGTGTGAATTTTGGGTCTTTTTTTAATTATTAAAAGGTGATCTCTGCTATTATTATTATTACTATTATTATTATTTGAGACAAGGTCTCATTCTGTCACCCAGGCTGGAGTGCAGTGGCATGATCATGGTTCACTGAAGCCTTGATTTGCCAGGGTCAAGCAATCCTCCAGCCTCAGCCTCCTGAGTAGCTGGAACTACAGTCATGCCCCACCATGCCTAGCTAATTTTTTATTTTTTATAGAGACAGAGTCTCACTATCTTGCCCTGACTGGTCTCAAACTTCTGGCCCACTTCAGCCTCTCAAACTGCTGGGATTACAGGTATAAGCCACTGCTTCTGTCTTTTGATTGGTGTATTTAGACCATTTGCTTTTTTTTTTTTTTTGACGGAGTCTCACTGTGTTGCTCAGGCTGGAGTGCAGTAGCACAATCTTGGCTCACCACAACCTCTGCCTCTGGGTTCAAGCGATTCTCCTGCCTCAGCCTCCCAGTTAGCTGGGATTACAGGCATGAGCCACCATGCTCAGCTAACTTTTGTATTTTTAGTAGAGATGGGGTTTCACCATGTTGGCCAGGCTGGTTTTGAACTCCTGACCTCAGATGATCCACCTGCCTCAGCCTCCCAAAGACCATTCACTTTTAAAGTAGTTTTCAATATAGTTGAATTAATATTGACCATGTTTGTAACTTTTCTGTATTCATTGTACTTGTTCTTTATTTCTTTAAAGAAAAAATGAAGTATTTTCTTAATGTTTAAAGCCATGTTGCCCAGGCTGGTCTCAATCTCCTCGGCTCAAGCAATCCTACTGCCTCAGCCTCCAAAGTGTTAGGATTACAAGTGTGAGCCACTGCACATCGCCATATGTATTATACTTTATTTCTGGTTTGGGTTTGCCAATATTTTGTTTAGTTTTGGATTTCTTTTTTTTTTTTTTTTTTTTGAGACGGAGTCTCGCTCTGTTGCCCAGGCCAGACTGTGGACTGCAGTGGCGCAATCTCGGCTCACTGCAAGCTCCGCTTCCCGGGTTCACGCCATTCTCCTGCCTCAGCCTCCCGAGTAGCTAGGACTACAGGCGCCCGCCACCGCGCCCGGCTAATTTTTTGTATTTTTAGTAGAGACGGGGTTTCACCTTGTTAGCCAGGATGGTCTCGATCTCCTGACCTCATGATCCACCCGCCTCGGCCTCCCAAAGTGCTGGGATTACAGGCATGAGCCACCGCGCCCGGCCAGTTTTGGATTTCTTATGTCATCCCTGCCAGAATTTGGTATCATTATTATTAAAGTCTTCTAAAATAGATTGAGGAGTCTTTTCCTATTTTCTAAATGGTTTTTCATAAGATGATAATAATTTCTTTTTTGAATGTTTGATATAACTCACAAACGAATTCATATCAGCCATGGAGCTTTTGTTGTGGGAATATTTTAAACTGTTGATTTGATTTGATTTCTTTTCTTTTCTCTTTGAAGAGGAGTCTTGCTCTGTCATCCAGGCTGGAGTGCAGTGGAGTGATCCTGTCTCACTGCAGTCTCAACCTCCTAGGCTCAAGCAATCTTCTCACCTTAGCCTCCCAAGTTGTGGGGACTGCAGGCATGTACCACTATGCCCAGGACATTAAGAAATTTTTTTTTTTTTTTTTTTGTAGAGACAGGGTCTTGCTATGTTGCCTAACTCAGTCTCAAGCTCCTAGCTTCAAACAATCCTCCTGCCTCAGCCTCCCAAAGTGCTGGGATTGCAAGTGTGAGGCACCATGCCTGGCATTGATTTGATTTCTTTAAAGGTTATAGGACTATTCATTTTTTCTATTTCTATTTATGTCAGTTTTATACATTTTTTTCTGATTTGTTTCCATTGTGTCTAATTTTAAACATTTATTGAACACAGTGTTGCAAAATACAACTTTATTATTTATTTAATGTACACCCTGTCTGTAGTAGTATCCTCTTACCTCACTTCTAATATATTCTTTCTTTCTCTTTTTAATATCATTGTCACCAGAGGTTTGTCTTTTCAAAGAACCAACTTTTAGGTTCTCTTTATTTGCCCCCTGCTTTCTTTTCTTTTTTGTTTGTTTGTTTGTTTTGTTTTTAGACAGGGTCTTACTGTGCTGGACTGGCTGGAATGCAGTGCCCCAATCGTGGATTGCTGCAGCTTTGACCTCCTGAGCTCAACTGATCCTTCCACTTCATCCTCCTGAGTAACTGTGACTACAGGTCCATGTCACCATGCCCGTCTAATTTTTGTACAGATGAGATTTTGCTATGTTGCCAAGCTGGTCTTGAACTCCTGGGCTCAAGTGATCCTTCCACTTTAGCCACTCAAAGTGCTGGTATTACAGGCTGGCCCTTGCTTTCTATTTTATAATATCTTTGCTTATATTTAATTTTTATAATTCTATTTATTTGGGAGTTATTTTGCTTTTTGTTTTCTTACTTCTGAAGAAAGATATTTAATTTGATTTTCAGCTTTTTAGGCTGGGTGTGGTGGCTCATGCCTGTAATCTCAGCACTTTCAGAGGCTGAGGTGGGCAGATCATTTGAGCCCAGGAGTTTGAGACCACCTTGAGCAGCACAGTGAGATCCCATCTTTATAAAAAATAAGAAAACTACCCAGGCATGGTGGCACGTGCCCATAGTTGCAGCTACTTGGGAGGTTGAAGCAGGGGGATCTTGTGAGCCCAGGAGTTTGAGGCTACAGTAAGCCATGATCATGTGAGGCACAGTCTAAAAGAAAAAGTAAAAGAAAAAATAATTTGAGTGTTTTTTTTCACTTCTAATGTTTTCATCCAAGGCTATAAATTTCCCTAAATTAGCATTTTAGCCACAATCACCAACTCTTAGGACGCAATCCTTTATGAATCTTTTAATTCTAATATCTCTAAAGATTACTTTTTTATAAATTATATAAACTACACTTCTCAATTTTTTAAATTGTGGATATTCTAATTGTTGTTTATTAAATTCCTACCTATGAGTGAGAACATGCCGTGTTTGGTTTTCTGTCCTTGCCATAGTTTGCTCAGAATGATGGTTTCCAGCTTCATCCATGTCCCTACAAAGGACATGAACTCATCCTTTTTTATGGCTGCATAGTATTCCATATTGTATATGTGCCACATTTTCTTAATCCAGTCTATCACTGAGGGACATTTGGGTTGGTTCCAAGTCTTTGCTATTGTAAATAGTGCAGCAATAAACATACGTATGCATGTGTCTTTATAGCAGCATGATTTATAATCCTTTGGGTATATGCCCAGTAATGAGATGGCTGGATCAAATGGTATTTCTAGTTCTAGATCCTTGAGGAATTGCCACACTGTCTTCCACAATGGTTGAACTAGTTTACAGTCCGACCGACAGTGTAAAAGCATTCCTATTTCTCCACATCCTCTCCAGCACCTGTTGTTTCCTGACTTTTGAATGATCGCCATTCTAACTGGTATGAGATGGTATCTCATTGTGGTTTTGATTTGCATTTCTCTGATGGCCAGTGATGATGAGCATTTTTTTCATGCATCTGTTGGCTGCATAAATGTCTTCTTTTGAGAAGTGTCTCTTCATATACTTTGCCCACTTTTTGATGGGGTTGTTTGATTTTTTTCTTGTAAATTTGTTTAAGTTCTTTGTAGATTCTGGATATTAGCCTTTTGTCAGATGAGTGGACTGCAAAAATTTTCTCCCATTCTATAGGTTGCCTGTTCACTCTGATGGTAGTTTCTTTTGCTGTGCAGAAGCTCTTTAGTTTAATTAGATCCCATTTGTCAATTTTGGCTTTTGTTACCATTGCTTTTGGTGTTTTAATCATGAAGTCCTTGCCCATGCTTATGTCCTGAATGGAATTGCCTAGGTTTTCTTCTAGGGTCTTTATGGTTTTAGGTCTAACATTTAAGTCTTTAATCCATCTTGAATTAATTTTTGTATAAGGTGTAAGGAAAGAATCAAGTGTTAGCTTTCTACATATGGCTAGTCAGTTTTCCCAGCACCATTTATTAAATAGGGAATCCTTTCCCCCTTTCTTGTTTTTGTCAGGTTTGTCAAAGATCAGATGGTTGTAGATGTGTGGTATTAATTCTGAGGGCTCCATTCTGTTCCATTGGTCTATACCTCTGTTTTGGTACCAGTACCATGCTGTTTTGGTTACTATAGCCTTGTAGTATAGTTTGAAGTCAGGTAGCGTGATGCCTCCAGCTTTAGTTCATTTATTCTATTGTTCAAATGTTCTATATCAATACTGACTTTTTTGTCTGCTTGTTTTATTAATTACTGAGATATGTGTCTTAAAATCTCTTGCTGTGATTATAGATTGTTTAATTCTCCTTATAATTCTGTAAATATTGCATTATGTATTTTGAAGTTATATTTCTAAGCCCACAAAAATTTAAAAAAATATTTTTTTGTTGAGACAGGGTCTTATTCTGTTCCCCAGGCTGGAGTGCAGTGGTGTGAACACGGCTCCCTATAGCCTAGACCTCCTGGGCTCAAGTGATCCATCCTCCCACCTCAGCCTCCCAGCATGTTGGAATTACAGGTGTGAGCTACCACACCCAGCCGAAAACAATTTTTAAGGTGAATTTAACCATTAACCTTATGAAGGGAATCTCTCTAACAATTATTTTTGTCTTAAATTCTCTTTGTCTTACTAATCAATTTTCTTTTGCTTAGTATTTATATAGTATACCTTTCTACAAGCTTTTGTTTTCACCTTTCTATAGTTTTACATTTTAGGTATGTCTTATCAAAAGCATATAGTTGCATTTTATACTTTTACCTAGTTCAACAATCTTTGTCTTTTAACTATGGCAATTTTTGTGCATACGTTTAATGTAACTCCTGATAAATTTATAGTTTAATTTGCCACTAAATCATAATTTTCCCATCTTTGGTTTCTCTTTTATCCTTTTTTGTTTTTTAAAGTGAAAGCAAGTTTATTAAGAAAGTAAAAGAACAAAAGAATGGCTACTCCATAGACAGAGCAGCCCTGAAGGCTGCTGGTTGCCCATTTTTATGGTTGTTTCTTGATGATATCCCTTTTATCCTTTATTGTCTATTTTTTACTGAGTATTTTTTAGCATATGATTTTTCTCCTCTACTAGTTTGAAAGTCATACACTTTGTTTCTATTGTTTTTAGTTGTTCACTTATAAATTACAGTATGTATTACTTAACTTATGAAAAATAATAAAAACCTTTACCTTGCTTCTAGGTAAAACAAAGATCTTAGACCCCTCTTACTCCATCCACTGACCTGCTTACTCAACCTACGTGGTATGGTATATAAATATTTTAATTCTTTATTTTCTAATTCCACTAGACTTTATTATTCTGTTTTATACATTTAATATTTACTTCCATTTCCCCACGTATCTAGCAACAATTTTGCTTGTTTTTTTGTTTGTTTGTTTGTTTGTTTTTGAGACAGAATCTCGCTCTGTCACCCAGGCTGGAGTGCAGTGGCACGATCTTGGCTCACTGCAACTTCCACCTCCTGGGTTCAAGCGATTCTTCTGCCTCAGCTTCCCCAGTAGCTGGGACTACAGGCACGCACCACCACGCCCGGCTAATTTTTGTATTTTTAGTAGAGACGGGGTTTCACCATATTGGCCAGGTTGGTCTCAAACTCCTGACCTCGTGATCTGCCCGCCTCAGCCTCCCAAAGTACTGGGATTACAGGTGTGAGCCACCGCACCTGGCCTACCATTTTTGCTTGTTATTGGCTTATGTATATGTTTTAGATTCTCCTTAATACTGATAATAAATTTTCTCAGCTTTTATTTGAAAATTATTTGAAGTCTGAAATTATTTATTTTGCCCTCAATATAGAAAGATAAATTTTCTTGGTGTAGAGTTACTGGTTAGCAGTTATTTTTTAAATTTTTCAGCACAATGTAGTTATCAAGCCACTCTCTTCTAGTTACCACTATTGCTGTTAAAATTTAGCTGTTGGCCAGGCGTGATGTCTCACGCCTATAATCCCAGCACTTTGGGAGGCCGAGGCAGGCGGATCACGAGGTCAGGAGATCGAGACCATCCTGGCTAACACAGTGAAACCCCATCTCTACTAAAAATACAAAAAAATTAGCTGGGCGTGGTGGTGGGTGCCTGTAGTCCCAGCTACTCGGGAAGCTGAAGCCAGAGAAAGGCATGAACCCAGGAGGCGGAGCTTGCAGTGAGCCGAGATTGCGGCGCTGCACTCCAGCCTGGGCGACAGAGCATGACTCTGTCTCAAAAAAACAAGTCAGTTACAACAAGGATGCCCACTTTCACCACTTTTATATAACATAGTACTGGAAGTCCTAGCTAGAGCAATCAGACAAGGAAAGAAATGAAGGGAATCCAAAATGGAAAGGAAGAAGTCAAATTATCCTTGTTTACTGATGATACGATCTTATATTTGGAAAAACCTAAAGACTCCACCAAAAAACTATTAGAACTGATAAACAAGTTCAGTAAAGTTGCAGGATTCAAAATCAACATACAAAAAATATGCTAACAGTGAACAATCTGAAAAAAAATCAAGAAAGTAATTATGTTTACAATAGTTATGAATAAAATAAGATACCTGGGAATTAATTAAAAAGGTAAAAGATCTCTACAATGAAAACTATAAAACATTGATGTAAGAAACTGAAGAGGATACACATACCAAAAGGAAAGATATTTCATGTTCATTGATTGGAAGAATCAATATTGTTTAAGATGTTCATCTACCCAAAGCAATCTACAAATTCAATGCAATCCCTATCAAAATACAAATGACATTCTTCACAGAAATAGAAAAAACAATCCTATAATTCATATGGGATCACAAAACACCCAGAAAAGCCAAAACTATCTTAACCAAAAAGAACAAAACTGGAGGAATCACATTACCTGACTTCAAATTATACTGCAGAGCTGTAGAAACCAGAAAGGCATGGTACTGGCATAAAAACAGACACACAGACAGTGGAACAGAATAGAGAACCCAGAAATAAATCCATACATATACAGTGAATTCATTTTTGACAAAAGTGCCAAGGACCTACACTGGGGAAAGAAGAGTCTCTTCAATAAATGGTGCTGGGAAAACTGGACATCCATATGCAGAAGAATGAATCTAGATCCCTATCTCTTGCCATATACAAAAATCAAATCAAAATGAATTAAAAACTTAAACCTAAGACTTCAAACTATGACACTACCAAAACAAAACATTGGGGAAACTTTCCAGGACATTCAACTGGGCAAAGATTTCTCGAGTAATACCTTACAAGCACAGGCAACCTAAGCAAAAATGGACAAATGGGATGACATCAAGTTAAAAAGCTTCAGCAAAACAAAGGAAACAATCAACAAAGTGAAGGGACAACCCACAGAATGGGAGAAAATATTTGCAAACTACCCATCTGACAAGGGATTAGTAACCAGAATATATAAGGAGCTCAAACACCTGTATGGGAAAAAATTCTAATCTGATTAAAAGGTGGGCAAAGATCTAAATAGACGTTTCTCAAAAGAAGACATACGAATGGCAAACACGTATAGAAAAGGTGCTCAACATCATTAATCATCAGATAAATGCAAATCAAAACTACAGTAAGATATCTCTTTTTTTTTTTTTTTTTTTTTTTTTTTTTTTTTTTTTTTTTTTGAGACGAAGTCTCACTCTGTCGCCCAGGCTGGAGTGCAATGGTGTGATCTCGGCTCACTGCAACCTCCGCCTCCCGGGTTCAAGTGATTCTCCTGCCACAGCCTCCCGAGTAACTAGGACTACAGGCACGCGCCACCACGCCCGGCTAATTTTTTGTATTTTTAGTAGAGACGAGGTTTCACCATGTTAGCCAGGATGGTCTTGATCTCCTGACCTCGTGATCCGCCCGCCTCGGCCTCCCAAAGTGCTGGGATTACAGGCTGAGCCACCGCACCTGGCCCGATATCATCTTATTCCAGCTAAAATGGCTTGTATCCAAAAGACAGGCAGTAACAAATGCTGGTGAGGATGTGGAGAAAAGGGAACTCTTGTATACTGTTGGTGCGAATGTAACTTAGTACAACCACTATGGAGAACAGTTTGGAGGTTCCTCAAAAAACTAAAAATAGATCTACCATATGATCTAGCAACCCCACTGCTGGGTATACACCCAAAAGAAAGGAAATCTGTATATCAAAGAGGTATCTGCACTCCCACATTTATTGCAGCACTATTCACAATAATCTAGATTTGGAAGCAACCTAAGTGTCTACCAACAGCTGAATGGATAAAGAAAATGTGGTATATAATAGACACGTGGAGTGCTATTCAGCCACAAAAAAGAATGAGATCTCGTCATTTGCAACAACGTGCATAGAACTGGAGATCATTATGTTAAGTGAAATAAGCCAGGCACAGAAAGACATATATGGCATGTTCTCACTTATTTGTGGGAGCTAAAAATTAAAACAATTGAACTCATGGAAATGGAGGTAAAAAGATGGTTACCAGAGGCTAGGAAGTGTAATGGAAGGCAGGAGAAGTGGGGATGTTTAATGGGTACCAAAAATGTTAAACAGAATGAATGAGACCTAGTATTTGTTAGCATGACAGGGTGAGTATAGTAAAAAATAATTTAATTGTCTTTTTTTTTTTTAGACGGAGTTTCGCTCTTGTTGCCCAGGCTGAAGTCCAATGGCACGATCTCAGCTCACCGCAACCTCTGCCTCCTGGGTTCAAGCGATTCTCCTGCCTCAGCCTCCCGAGTAGCTGGGATTACAGGCATGCGCCACCACACCCAGCTAATTTTTGTATTTTTAGTAGAGACAGGGTCTCGCCATGTTGGCCAGGCTGGCCTTGAACTCCTGACCTCGGGTGATCCACTCACCTCGGCCTCCCAAAGTGCTGGGATTACAGGCGTGAGCACCACGCTCAGCCATTTAATTGTCATTTTTAAATGACTGAAAGTTGAAAATAACTAAAAGAGTATAATTGCATTGTTTGTAATACAAAGGAAAAATGCTTGGCTGGGTGCGGTAGCTCACGCCTGTAATCCCAGCACTTTGGGAGGCTGAGGCAGGCGGATCAACTGAGGTCAGGAGTTTGAGACCAGCCTGGCCAACATGGTGAAACCCCGTTTCTACTAAAAATACAAAAATTAGCTGAACATGGCGGCATGTGCCTGTAATCCCAGCTACTCAGGAGGCCGAGGCAGGAGAATCGCTTGAACCCGGGAGGCAGAGGTTGCAGTGAGCCAAGATCGCACCATTGCACTCCAGCCTGGGTGACAGGACGAGACTCCCTCTCAGAAAAACAAAAACAAAAAGCAAAGGATAAATACTTGAGGGGATGGATATCCCACTTACTCTGATGTGATTATTACATATTGCATGCCTTTATCAAAATAGCTCATGTAACCCATAAATATAGACATCTACTATGTACCCACAAAAATTAAAAAGTCAGCTGTTAATCTAAATACTTTCATTTTTAAAAAGGCTACCTCTTATCCCCCTTGGCTTTTAAGATTTCATTTACCAAAGTATTCTGAAATTTCATTAGGATATATCCAGATATGGATCTCCTTTTATTTATTCTACCTGGAAACTGTTGGTTATTTTGAATTAATGGATTGGTGTCTTTCATCATATCTAGAAAATCTTATTCTATTCCTTTAAATATTAATTATTCCCCAGTCTCTCATGTTTTCTTGTTATGTAATTTCCATCTAACATGTGTTAGATTTATGACATTATCCTACGTATATGTCCTAACCTCTCTTCTTTATTTTTCATTTTTAAAAAAAGTCTGCCAGGCGTGGTGGCTCATGCCTGTAATCCCAGCACTTTGGGAGGCCGAGGTGGGTGGATCTCCCGAAATCAGGAGTTTGAGACCAGCCTGGCCAACATAGTGAAACCTTGTCTCTACCAAAAATACAAAAAATTAGTTGGGCGTGGTGGCAGGTGCCTGTAATCCCAGCTACTTGGGAGGCTGAGGCAGGAGAATCACTTGAACCCAGGAGGTGGAGATTGCAGTGAGCCAAAATCACGCCACTGCACGCCAGCCTAGGCAACAAGAGTGAAACTCCATCTCAAAAAAATAATAAATAAATAAATAAATAAATAAATAAATATTTAAAAAGTGTGCATTACACATTGCAAATTTCTTCTCATCTAACTTTCATCAATTCTTACTTCCTTCACTGTCCAATACTTTGCCAAGCACCTCTTTTTAATTTTAATTGTATTTATATTATTTTTAGTTTAGATGTTGTAATTAGTTTTACTGTGTTGTTTTTAATAGGTTCTTATTCTCTGAACATTTGTTTAGGTTTATCCTTTATTTCTTCCAACATGGTAATCATGGTTGAATAATCTGTTGGATAATTCCAATATTTGCAGGTTTTTTAGATCTGTTTTTACTGTCTTTTTTTCTGTTGTATTTAGCTAAAGTTTTTTGTATTCCTGCTTGCTGATTATTGCTGTTCAAAAATCACTTGAGCAGTTTCTATAATACCTAGCATGAGAATGCTTTCACTTAGAGAAGATTTGAACTTGCTTCTTCTAAAATTCATGTAATATCTCAAATGCTTTACCAGGGGAAGTGGTGATGGTATTGTACTCTAATGTTGAAAGTGGAGTACTTCGGGGTTTCAGCCAAATGTGGGTATTCTAGGGAGTCCTGATCCTTGACTTCTGTCTCCCGCTTGAAGCCAGAGAATCAAAGCTCAAATTTGTAGCATCATAAATATCCAGAGTTAAAAAATATCTTAGGTGTACTAATATTCCTCTTACCTCTCTGGTTCAAGTTTTTCTCAGGAATTTGGCCAGAAAATTCCCCACTAACTTTTTAGTTCTTCAGTGATTTTTCTTATGACATGTCTATATATATATATATATGTATATATATATATATATATATATATATATATATATATATATATTTTTTTTTTTTTTTTTAGAGATAGGATCTCACTATGTTGCCTAGGCTGGTCTTGAACTCCTAGGCTCAAGTGATCCTCCAGCCTTGGCCTCCAAAAATGTTGGGATTGTAGGTATGAGCCACCACATGTAGCCTCCTTTATAAATGTTAATATGAAAATCTTCAAAAAAAATACTAAAAAACCAAATCTACCAATGTACAAAAAGATTATAGAGCATTATCAAGTGAGATTTATCCCAGGAATGCAAGGTTAAATTAATACTTGAAAATTAATTAATGTAATATACCATATTAATGTAAAAAGGGGAAACAACACAAGATTATCTCAATGATGCAGAAAAAGCATTTAACAAAATCTAACACACTTTGATGATAAAAAAAACAATCAGCAAACTAAGAATAGCGGGGAACTTCCTCAACCTGATAAGGGTATCAATGAAAAACTCAAAGCCAATGTCATACCTAACAGTGAAAAATGGAATACTTTCCCCCTAGATAAGGAACAACACAAGAATCGTTCCTCTTGCCATTCTATTCAACATTGTATTGGAGGTTGTAGTCAGACCAATTAGGCAACAAACAGAAATAAAAGGCATCAGAAAGGAAGAAGAATAAATATTTTTATTTGCAAAAATATCAAATATTTCTTACATATCAAAAATTCTAAGAAATTCACCAAAACTAATAAATGAATTCAGCAAAATTACAGGATAGAACATCAATATACAAAAAAGCAATTGAGTTTCTATATACTAGTAAAGAACAATCTAAATTAAAAATTAAATTTCTGAATTAAAATTAAGAAAAACATTTATTTACTTTAGCATCAAAAGAAATAAAACACTAGAAAAAAAATTTAACCAAAGAAAGATTACACTTGTACACTGAAAACTAGAAAATATCATTGGAAAAAATTAGAGAAGTCATCTACAAATGGAAATATTTCCCAGTTTCATTGATTGAGAGATTTAATATTAAGATAGCAATACTCCCCAAGCTGATCTAAGATTGAATGTGATCTCTATCCAAATCCTAGCTTCCTCTGTCTTTTTTATTGAAATTGATCAGCTGATCCTAAAATGCATATGGAAATGCAAGAGACTCAGAATAACTAAAAAAATTTCACAAAAGAACAAAGAATAGTTTTTTCAACAAACAGTGCTGGGACTGTGGATATCCATATGCAGAAGAATGAAGTTATAGTCCTACCTCACACTATATATAAAAATTAACTAAAAATGATTGAAAAACTAAATTTAGGAGCTAAATTATAAAACTTTTAGAAAAAATATAGAAGTAAAACTTTATGACTTTGGATTTGGTAATGATTATTAGATACGCTACCAAAAGCAAAAGCAACAAAAGAAAAAATAGAAATAAATTGAACTTCATCAAAATTAAGATCTTTTGTGCTTCCAAACACATTGTCAAGAAAGTCAAAAGATAACACACAGAATGAGGGGAAAACATGCATATTACATATCTGATAGAAGGGCTGTATATACAATGTGTAAATAAGTCTTACAACTCAATAATAAAAGATAAATAACCCAATTTTTAATGGGCAAAGGACTTTGATAAACATTTCTCCAAAGAAAATACACAAAAGGTCAGTGAGCATATGAAAACATATACAACATCATTAGTTATTAGGGAAATGCAAATCAGAACACAATTAGATACCACTTGACATCATTGGATGGACATCATTAAAAAGTGAGGTAATTACAAAACAGTTGGCTGGCATGGCAGCGTGTGCCTATAGTCCCAGCAACTTGGGAGGCTGAGAGGGGAAGATCGCTTGAACCCGGGAGGTGAAGGTTGCAGTGAGCCAAGATGGCACCACTGCACTCCAGCCTGGGCAATAGAGTGAGACCCTGTCCTTCTGCCCCACCACCAAAAAAAAAAAAAAAAAAAAAAAAAGGTAATAAATGTTGGCTAGGACATGGAGAAATTGGAACATGGGAATATAAAGTAGTGTAGCTGCTTTGAAAAACAGTCTGAGTCTGACAGTTCCTCAAAAAGTTAAACGTATATTTTACAAAATGAGTTAGTAATTCTACTCCTAGGTTGACATCCAAGAGAGTGGAAAACATGTCCATACAAAAACTTGTGTACAAATGTTTATAGCAGTGTTATTTATCACAGCCAAAAGATAGAAACCACTCAAATGTCCATCAACCGATGAGTGGATAAACAAAATATGGCTATATCCATGCAATGGAATATTGTTTGTCCACAAAAAGGAATGAAGTACTGATACATGCCACAACATGGGTGAAACTTGAAAAGATTATGCTAAGTGAAAGAAGCCTGTCAGTCAAAAAGGCCACATATGTATGATTCCATTTACATAAAATGCTCAGAACTGACAAATCCAAGCAGACAGAAAGCTGCTCTGTGGTGGCCAGAGGCTGGGGAGAAAAGGGATTGAGGAGTGACTGCTAAGGAATACAAAGTTTCCCTCTGGGGACGATAAAAAGGTTCTGGAATTAAATAGTAGCAAGACTTGCATAACTTTGTGACTATACACTGAATTTATGCTTTAAAGGGGTAAATTTTATGGTATATGAGTTATAATGCAGTTTTTTTTTTCTTTGAAACAGGCTGGAATGCAGTGGTGCCGTCATGGCTCACTGCAGCCTCAACCTCCCAGGCTCAAGTGATCCTCCCACCTGAGCCTCCTGAGTAGCTGGGACTATAGGTGAGTGCCACCACACTCGGCTTATTTTTAAATTATTTTGTAGAGACGGGGTGTCACTGTGTTGCCCAGGCTGGTCTCAAACGCCTGGACTCAAGTGATCCTCCTGTCTCAGCCTCCCAAAGTGCTGGGATTACAGGCATGAGCCACCGACCCTGGCCCCAACAAAAATTTTTTTAAAGAAAAATATACCTTCTGGTAATTCTGTGTTCTTATGGTGATCCTTATTTATAGAAGTCAGGGGTATGGAGAAGCAGGTGGTTTCTCTGAACTATTTACCTAAGTCAGTTTCCACTGAGATAAGCACATTCCAAGTGTCCCTTAAAAAGTTTTTGGGGAGGGATTACAAAAGGACAAAGGGACATTTTTAGGAGTGATGGATATGTTCATTGTATTGATTGTGTGATGGCTTCATAGATACATACTTATGTTAAAACTCATTTTGTAAACGTTAAGTATTTGCAGCTTATTTTATATCCATTATGTCTCAATAAAGCTATGGGGGGCTGGGTGGGGGGGAGAAGGAGAAAGTATCCCCTATAGAAGGGACACTCAACAGCCAAGTTCACATGAGCCAGTCTTTCTCACTGGCTGCTAGGGAACTGGCATGACAGGTGTCTTAGTCAGTTCAGCTGCAACAAATTCATATGGACTGGGTGGCTTAAACAACAGTAATTTACTTCTCACAGTTATGGAAGCTGGGAAGGCCAAGGTCAAGGTGCTG
The DNA here is from genome assembly GCF_000001405.40 of Homo sapiens. Lineage (NCBI taxonomy): Eukaryota > Metazoa > Chordata > Mammalia > Primates > Hominidae > Homo > Homo sapiens. The sequence goes on along the minus strand of NC_000021.9, from coordinate 37,305,051 downwards.
GCCAATTTGCTTCTCTTCCTGGTTTGCAGAATGCAGTTGTTTCATTGTTTCCTCACATGGTGAAGAGAGAGAGAGAATGGAAGCTCTCTCCTGTCTCTTACAAAGGCACCAATTACATTCAGGAGGGCTCCCCCACCACGAGCCAATCACTGGCCAAAGGCCTCAACTCCTAATACCATCGCACTGGAGATCAGGCTTTCACACATGAATCTAAGGACACAAGCTTCAGTCCATAGCAAGGAGAACTGAATAGGATTCCCCTTGGCATATATGGAGGCTACGGGAGGAGCAACAGCGTGGACTCCCACTTACCAAGGCCAATCTAGCTACTGCCGCTTCTAAATGTCCAACTGCCAGCAACAGAGACCGATGTCGAGCTCCCGATAAGACAGTGTTCCTCAACGAGACCAACCAATCCCTTGGTAGCACCTGTCTACACTGAGCCCCTTCCATGCCAAATGATCCTTCCACACACGCACCAAGTCTATTCTGGATTTATCTTTCCTGCACACACCACTCTCTGGGGGTTCACAGAATGCCTAATCCACAGACAAGGAATCCTATATGACATAGAAGTGACCAGGTACCCATTTCAGAGCCAAGAAGGTACAGAGTGGGCCTGTGACCCTGGGGTCCAATGATAGAACCACATACCACCCCATGTAGATGCAGTCGGCTTGACAGAAAATTGCAATGGCTCCTCGAAGACACAGCTGATACAATGACTGGAAGGACAGCCTCTGTGTCACTGTTCAAGGTGTAGACAAGCAGCAAATTTCATACACAGCCAGTAGGAGCAGAAGTCCCTTTACAGAACAATTTGTGTCAATAGGTGGTAAAGCTCATTATCCAGCCCTCTCAGCTCCTGTGCATATTCTACAGAGATGTTAGCTTAAGTGCAGAATGAGAGGTGCCCAAGAACGTTTTTGCAACATTGGTGGCAATAATAAAATATGATAAACAACTTAAAGACCCATTAACAGGAGAATGGATCATAAGAGCACAGAACATTTACACAGTGGAATACCCTGCAGTCACCTGTAATCCCAGCACTTTGGGAGGCTGAGGTGGGTGGATCACCTGAGGTCAGGAGTTCGAGACCAGCCTGGCCAACATGGTGAAACTCCATCTCTACTAAAAATACAAAAAGTAGTCAGGTGTGGTGGAACACACCTGTAGTCCCAGCTACTCGGGAGGCTGAGGGAGGAGAATTGCTTGAACCTGGGAAGCAGAGGTTGCAGTGAGCTGAGTTTGTGCCACTGCACTCCAGCTTGGGCAACAGAGTGAGACTCTGTCTCAAAAAAAAAAAAAAGCATGAACTAGAACAATACATCAGCTGGATGTGGTGGCTCACAGCTGTAATTCCAGCACTTTGGGAAGCCAAGGAAGGAGGACTGCTTGTGCCCAGGAGGTTAAGAACACCCTGGGCAACATAGTGAGACTCTGTCCCTACAAAAAAAAAAGGAAAAGAAAAAAGAAAAATTTACCCAGGCATAGTGGTTCATGCCTATAGTCCCAGCTTCAGGAGGCCAAGGTGGGAGGATGGATTGAGCCCAGGAGTTCGAGGCTGCAGTGAGCTATAATTGCACCACTTCACTACAGCATAAGCTACAGAGCAAGATCCTGTCTCAAACAAAACAAAACAAAACAAAACAAAATGTCAATATGGATATATCTTTTTTTTTTTTTTTGAAACGGAGTCTCAATCCGTAGCCAGGCTGAAGTGCAGTGGCATGATCTTGGCTCACTGCAACCTCCGCCTCCCGGGTTCAAGTGATTCTCCTGCCTCAGCCTCCCGAGTAGCTGGAACTACAGGTGCACTCCACCAGGCCCAGCTAATTTTTTTTGTACTTTTAGTAGAGACAGGGTTTCACCATGTTGGCCAGGATGGTCTCGATCTCTAGACCTCGTGATCCACCCGCCTCCCAAAGTGCTGGGATTACAGGCATGAGCCACCATGCCCAGCCCGATATGAATATATCTTGAAAACATCATAATACACAGAAAAAAATAAGCTGCAGAGTAATATAGCATTTGTTTTAAATTTGTGAACATTAAAACCAATGTTACATATCCCCTATGGGTTCATACACTTAGAGCAATTATATAACAACACACATGGGGAGCGTAATCATCAAATTCAGAATAGTTCTTGCCTCTGGGAGATAGAAAGATGCATTTGACGTGAGAGGGGTACACAGGTGCCTTCCACTATGATCTCGAAAAAATGATCTAAAGCAAGTATGGACTGGGCATGGTGGCTCCTGTAATGCCAGCACTCTGGGAGGACAAGGCGGATGGATCACTTGAGGCCAGGAGTTTGAGACCAGCCTGGCCAACAAGGTAAAACCCTGTCTCTACTAAAAATGAAAAAAATTAGCTGGGCGTGGTGTTGTGCACCTGTAATCCCAGCTACTTGGAAGGCTGAGGCATGAGAATCGCTTGAGCCTGGGAGGTGGAAGTTGCAGTGAGCTGAGATCACACCACTGCACTCCAGCCTGGGCAATGGAACGAGACTCTGTCTCAAATAAAAAAAAAAAATAGTGTTTCGATTACAGGCATGAGCCACAGTACCTGGCCTAATAATTGATATTATAGTAGTTTGTTTCATAGTCAGGCACATCTACAGAGATATAATCCATAGAAGAAATTGTGGTTTGAAAGGCCTTTGCATTTTTCTTTAAAATATTTTAAATGATGCATTATTTCAAAATCTGAAATGTACAATTTAACTAAAATTTAGCTTGGGTTTGGAATGTAGTGATGAGAGGCCTGCTCTAGGTTTTACTTCTGGTTAATATTATTCTCTCGGAAAAAATAATGTCAACTATTAATTGGTCCATGACTTAGCTAGAATATTATTTGCTTTATTTTTTGTTTAGTGTAAATATTTTATTTCAACAAAAACTTGTTTTCTTGAGGCAGGATCTTACTCTATCACTCAGGCTGGAATGCAATGGCACTATGATGGCTCACTGCAGCCTCCATCTCCCCAGCTCAAGGGATCCTCCCACATCAGCCTCCCAGGTACCTGAGTGCCACCACACCCAGCTACTTTTTTGTATTTTTTGTAGAGACAGGGTTTCACCATATTGCCCAGGCTGGTCTTGAACTCTTGAGGTCAAGCAATCCTCCTACTTCGGCCTCCCAAAGTGTTGGGATTACAGGCATGAGCCACTGTACCTGGCCAACAGAAACATTTTAAAATACCGCCCTTGTAACTTTAAACCTTTAGTCTCATTCAGCTCATGAATACGTGGAGATGTGATGACGAGGGGTACCTGGCTCCTGAGTGGAGAAACACGGTTTTATTTTTGGTCTCAATGTGTCTTAATGAAAAGTGTTCTTACAATGAACTCTTGTTTCCATGAAGTAGAGAGTGAGTCTTTTATTGTTGGACCCAAAGGGCCAATAACTTAGAGAGTAGGATGCATTTCTCTGAATACACATATATTATAAAAGCAGAAGGCTACAGTGGAAAGATCAGTTAAAAGATGACCAGGCACGGTGGCTCATGCCTGTAATCCCAGCTCTTTAGGAGACCAAGGCAAGTGGATCATTTGAAGTCAGGAGTTCGAGACCAACATGACCAACATGGTGAAACCCCGTCTCTATATTAAAATACAAAAATTAGCCACATGTGGTGGTGGGCGCCTGTAATCTCAGCTACTCAGGAGGCTGAGGCAGGAGAATCGCTTAAACCGAGGAGGAGAAAGTTGCAGTGAGCCAAGATGGTGCCACTGCACTCCAGCCTGTGCAACAGAGCGAAGATTGCCTCTCAAAAAATATAATGACAATAAAAAAGAAAGAGAAATATTGCAAAGTACAAGTGAAGTATGCAAGCACCTCCACTGCAGACATTATGGAGTAGATGGAAAGAAGGGGGAAATGAAAAGGGACAGACATTCAGACATGAACAGAGTGGTTGGGGACTCCTGGTCTCAGAGCTGGGCCCCCAAGTGTGTCCACACTATGAGATTAACCACAGAATTAGACAGCGACGGGGCATTCGAGTAGCAGGCCCCCTTGAGTCCTCATACAGAAAACAGAACTTGGCCTCCTTGAAAACGGGGCGAGCGTAAGGGTACAATGGACAGTCACAACTTTAAAGGAAAACTTGTATTATGAATGATTTCTCCCGAAATCCAAACCCCTACAAAAGACCACTCTTAACCATAATGAATTTATAAAAAAGTGAATACAGATGCTCTTGAATATCCAACAAGCATCGGCCACCTCCTACCTCCCACTCGCTCCTCTAAATTAGAAGGTATGCATAGATACATTGAGTTTTTTATAGCTGCTGGAGAACTCCCAAAATGCTTTACTTTCGACACATATGCTTTCAACCTATTAGGAAAATGTTCTAGTTGGAGGCAATGCTTCTTACCCTTAAATCTACCAAATAACTTTTAATACAATCTACAAAGTATATAGTTAAATGTGCCTTTTATTAATTTAAAAGCAAGCCATAGAGCTTAGCATATTTCTTTTTGGATTGCATCATCAGAGATGTATTGAACACGAAGCCCAAGTTCCTATTTTCCTCTAAGGGAAAGAGGGACATTTCCCCATATGTTTTTGTTCACACACCTGTACACTCACAGTACCACACCCAGTCCCATTAGGGGTAGCTGCCTTTGGAGCCACACTTAGATCTCCCATTTAAAAAGCTTCTTCTCACTTTGGAAGGCTGGTGGTTTTGTGATATTTCATAGGTATACCCCTAAATCAGCATTTTTTAAAACTTCTCACTATGGACAATTTGAAACATACACAGAAGAAGACAGACTTGGGCAATGAACCCTCGTCACCCAGATTCAATAATTATCAGCTCAAGGTCGACCTTGTTTCATTTACATCCTCACCCACTTCCTGTCCTCTGGCATTGTTTTTTTTGTTTGTTAGTTTGTTTTTGTTTGTTTGTTTTTGAGATGGAGTCTCGCTGTGTTGCCCAGGCTGGAGTACAATGGCGTGATCTCAGCTCACTGCAACCTCCGCCTCCCGGGATCAAACAATTCTGCTGCCTCAGCCTCCCAGGTAGCTGGGATTACAGGCATGCACCACCACGCATGGCTAATTTTGTCTTTTTAGTAGAGACAGGGTTTCACCATGTTGGTCAGGCTGGTCTTGAATTCCTGAAGTCAAGTGATCTGCCCACCTTGGCCTCCCAAAGTGCTGGGATTACAGACGTGAGCCAACACGCCCGGCCTCCCTGGCATTGTTTTTTTTTTGTTTTTGTTTTTGTTTTTTGAGATGGAGTCTTGCTCTGTCGCCAGGCTGGAGTACAGTGGCGCGATCTTGGCTCACTGCAACCTCCATCTCAGGGTTCAAGTGTTTCTCCTGCCTCAGCCTCCCGAGTAGCTGGGACTACAGGTGCGCACCACCATGCCCAGCTAATTTTTGTATTTTTAGTAGAGATGGGGTTTCACCATGTTGGCCAGGATAGTCTTGAACTCCTGACCTTGTGATCCGCCCGCCTCAGCCTCCCAAAGTGCTGGGATTACAGGCGTGAGCCACCACACCTGGCCCTGGCATTGTTTTGAAGCTATTCCTGACATCATTTCAGGTGTAAATATTTCAAAGTTACTCTAATAGACAAGAACCCTTTTTAAGATAAAACATGTTCACAGTTCTATTTTTGCACCTATAAATAATAATTTCATACTATCGCCAAAGACAGTTCATTCAAACCAAATCAGTTTTTTGGGAAAATTCCCGTTTTGCACTATAAGGAGGACAACATGGTTTGCCATCCTGTCTACGGAAAGAGAGTACGGGTTAAAACAAGGACAGAGATGGCAAGGGAAATGTGATCCTTCCTGCGTTAGGGAGCGCTGCCACAGTAAAGGCTCTTTATTCCAATAACACTGGGGTGTCTCACGGAACTGAGCTCAGGACCTCAGCTGGGCCTCGGGAGGGGACTGACTCCCGAGGGGTGCTGAATGCAGTCACCCAGGATGCCCTCTCCATCTCACGACCTGCTTCCCTTTCATCTAAGCTTTCTATGCCACTCACTCAGCAATGCTCCAGCCCCAGCATTTTGCCTACTCTGTATGAGAAACCAGCACACACCAAGATGGGAATATCTTAGAAGTTTAAGTTTCCAGGAAAAGGGGCTCTGATTGGCCAGTTTTGGTTAAGTCTACTCCTGGTCTGAGCATTAGGGGCTGGGGTCACGTGTTATGGATCTGGCTGCCTAAGGCTTCCCCCAAGGGTCTGGGTGGGTGGGGAGAATCTTGCAGAGAAAGCCAAGGGTCACCACTCAAAGGCTGGGCTGCTGCAGAAGAGGGTGGGAAGTCAAGGCCTCCCTGAAGCCCAGGAATCAAGAGCATAGTGGACCACCATGTGCAGGTGCTCTCATGCAGGGGCCATCCCTCCCTTCCCAGGGGACAGCAGAACAGGGGGCCTCACTAGAGCTCTGTCCTGGGCTCGGTTGTCCAATTCAACCAAGTCTATGCTTCCCTCCCCTTCAACACGGTTTGATTGATGGATTGATTTTAGAGACAGGGTCTCACTCTATTGCCCAGGCTGAAGTGCTGTGGTGGGATCACGGCTCACTGCAGCCTCTAACTCCTGGGGTCAGCCTCCCACCTCAGCCTCCTGAGTAGCTGGGACTACAGGCGTGTGCCACCACTTCTGGCTAATTTTTTTTTAAACTTTTTTTGTAGAGACATTATCTCCGATCCCTGGACTCAAGCCATCCTCCCACCTTGGCTTCCCAAAGCTTCAGGATTATAGGCATGAGCCACCAATCTAAAACCCCAGCAGGGTGTTAGAACCTAGAACCTGCTGCAGCTTCCTCTCCAGTGATTAAGTGAGAACCGGTATAGAAGCCAATGGGCACAGGCTTAATCAGCCTCTGGTTATAGTCTTGTCCCATGGAGGGGAAGGGGGGCAGGCAAGAGAAAACCTTTTAACAATTATTTGTCTCCAGTTCACCACGGGTGGGACTTCTGTCCCTGAGAGCAAGGCTATGGGGCAGGTAAGGACCAAGGCACAACGTGAGATGTGCAGATGAGACAGAGAGGAATGGAAAGAAGCAGAACTAAAATCAGCAGAGGTGCCCAAACAGCACAGACTGACTGAGTGTCTTCACCTTCTTCATTGCTGGAGGCCAGCGTTCCTTACGCCGTGTTTTGAGGACCCTCATCACTTCGAGGGCTAGTTAAAGATTCAGACTCCGGCACTTGGTCCCAGGCATTCAGTTGTATGGCCTTGGGGCCCTGCCAGGGAATCTGCCTTCTCAACAGGTCAGGAGATTTTGACTCACACTCAAGTTTGAAAACCCCTCGCTGTGGATAGAAACACTGGTGAGGTGGACTACAGAATGTTCGATTTATTCTTTTGCCTCTGAGCAAGATGGATTTTCCTAAAATAATTTCCCCACATTTCTGCAGTGATGGTGATGTGTATAGCCAGCATTCCACAGTTGTTAGTGAAGGTATTTCAGTCTATACCCGAAATACCTTTCCTCGTTCCAGGAGCTGCCCCGAACAGCTGCGTAGTTCAGCAAAAGCCCACAAAGCTCTCTTTGGCTCCCAGTCATACCACCATCCCCCGACATTAGGGAAATGCTGTTTGTTTTGCTCAGTTCCATGTATTCATGTTCTTGGACTCTATGAGTTGACTAATATCATAATCATTATGTTTAGAAATTGTAAATTCTGGAGTTTGAAAGATCACCAAGCCGGGTTTGGTGTGACAGCATCTGGATGTGCACCTCAGAGAACCCCTGCTCAGGACAAAGTGTCCCACACTTGGGAAGTGTGATGGCTACCATGAATATTACAAGGGAGGTCACCTGTTTCTGCAAAGCAGTTTTGCACTGGCCTTGAAAGAATCCTTTCTTTTAATTGCCTTTTGTTTTTTTTTTTGTTTGTTTGTTTTATTTTTTGAGATGGAGTTTCGCTCGTCACCCAGGCTGGAGTGCAATGGTGCGATCTCTGCTCACTGCAACCTCCGCCTCCTGGGTTCAAGCGATTCTCCAGCCTCAGCCTCCTAAGCAGCTGGGATTACAGGTGCCTGCCACCATGCCTGGCTAATTTTTGTATTTTTCGTAGAGACGGGATTTCACCATGTTGGCCAGGCTAGTCTTGAACTCCTGACCTCAGGTGATCTGCCTGCCTTGGCCTCCCAAAGTGCTGGGATTACAGGCACGAGCCACTGCGCCCGGCCTCTTTTAATTGCTTTTTTTTAAAAATGGCTTTATTGGCTGGGCGCAGTGGCTCATACCTGTAATCCCAGCATTTTGGGAGGCCAAGGTGGGCGGATCACCTGAGGTCAGGAGTTTGAGACCAGCCTGACCAATATGGTGAAACCCCGTCTCTACGAAAAATACAAAAAAATTAGCTGAGTGTGGTGGCACACGCCTGTAATCTCAGCTACTTGGGAGGCTGAGGCATGAGAATCGCTTGAACCTTGGAGGCGGAGGTTGCAGTGAGCCGAGATCGTGCCATTGCACTCCAGCCTGGGTGATGGAGTGAGACTTTGTCTCAAAAAAAAAAAAAAAGAATAAATAAAATGATTACAAACAGCTTTATTGAGGTCTAACTTACAAACCATAAACGTCACTCATTGTGAGGGTACAGTGTGATAGGTTTCCGTGAACTGACGCACTTAGCAACCATCACAGTCCAGTTTCCCAATATTCCCATCCACCCCCAAAAGTTCCCCTTGCTCCTTTGAGGTCACTCCTGTTCCCACCCGCAGCTCCAGGCAACCATTGATCATTCTGTGCCTCGATTTGATCAGCCACAACATTGATCAGCCATTCTGTCTCTATAGTTTTGCCTTTTCTAGAAATTTCATACACATGGAATCATTGACTATGTCTTCTGTGTCTGACTTCTCTCAGTTAGCAAAATGTCTCTGAGATTCATCCATGCTGTTGCGTAGATCAGTAGTTTATTCTCTCAATAGCAGGGGCATATTCCACGGGGGGATCATTTTCATGTCTTGATTTGCTCTCTTAACTCTCTGAAATGAAACAAAATGTTTTTACATTGGCATCGCTGGAAGTTTCCTATGACTAGAAATTCTAACCTTAGACAATTTCTTGCTGTTTCAGTGTTACGAGCTGAGGGGAAAACTGCACAGCATCTCAATTGTGTAGGCTGCTGGCAAAGAGGAGAGGACAGTTTTCTTACTGTGGCTGGTTTGTATTCTTAGATTTTAATGAATAATACCTATTTTTCAGTGAAAAATCATTGACTATCATTTTTAAAAGATATAGTTTTTTCTGTTTGTTTGTTTTGTTGGGGTTTTTTTGTTTGCTTGCTTGTTTGTTTTTGAGATGGAGTTTCTCTCTTGTTGCCCAGCCTGGAGTGCAATGGCATGATCTCGGCTTACTACAACCTCTGCTTCCTGGGTTCAAGCGATTCTCCTGCCTCAGCCTCCCGAGTAGCTGAGATTACAGGCATGTGCCACCACACCCAGCTAATTTTTCTATTTTTAGTAGAGACGGGGTTTCACCATGTTGGTCAGGCTGGTCTCGAACTCCTGACCTTAGGTGATCCGCCCACCTTGGCCTCCCAAAATGCTGGGATTACAGGTGTGAGCCACTGCGCCCAGCCAATAAAGCCGTTTTTTAAAAAAAAGCAATTAAAAGAGGCCGGGCTCAGTGGCTCCTGCCTCTAATCTCTGCCACTAGTAGAGACGAGATTTCACCACATTGGCCAGGCTGGTCTCCAACTCCTGATGTCAGGTGATCCACCAGCCTCGGCCTCCCAAAGTGTTGGGATTACAGGTATGAGCCACCACGCCCAGCCTAAAAGATATAGTTGTTTATGCAACATGCTAGTGTCATTTACCAGGGAACCATTATAATATGCCTATGAGCTTCATAACGACTTTATATGTATTTTACCATGAGATTGATGTAAAACCAAGTGACCTGTTGCAAACATAACAACTATCTGAGGCACTCACTTTTTACACTTACCTTAATTCTTGGGTTCAGAGTACTGGGCTGTAGCTTTTAAACTTCAGAAAAACGTGATATTCTGTGAATGCACTCCATGCATCTATTTCAGAGTGGACGTTCTCTGGTTCAAATATCTTCGTGTGCATGCTGCTTTGGAAACACTTTCTCAGCTTCCAAGGCATTCTCCAAACACTTCCTGACATAGCCAAGATTCCAGGATATTTGCAGAAGAGTGGCAGCTCCTCTCCCCACGATCCATTTCCGGCTGCACAGCTGAGAGGCCCAAAGTGGAAAGAGCAGCTAATGGCCTGGAGAATGTAGTTCATGGGCCCCAGAGTTCTTTATTTTTAACAGTGTGATTAAATAATATTTGTGACAGCACAGGAAATTAGACACATGTCTATTAAGTGCTTCTTTTGAAAAGGGCACAATTCCAGGGTTTAAAGCAATGATTTGTGTGTTTCATTCATTAAAAAGAAATTCCAGCATCAACTGTGTGCTGGGTGTCGTAGGAGATGGGAAGTTGAGCAGTTCTCGTTTTCAAGGAATTTACAACCTACAAGAGAAGATATGCCTCTGGCATTATTCTTTAGGTGACTTTTGTATTGCCGATGGACTCTGGAAATCTAAATGTTCTTTCACTGGTTTGTTGTGGCTTGGTAGGTAAAAATGCTTTCTGCATTATTCTGGAGATAGAAATCTTTTGCTTCACCAGAATATGCTTCTTTCCAATCACAAGAGTGAGTTAGCTGGATCCGGTGGTTTTCTGTGGGTGCATCTAAGCACTTCTGCAGCTTCTGAGATCTTTCATCTTAACCTTGATGATATGAAACATCTGTAACCATCATAAAGAGGACATGGGATGTTCACAAATAACCCTGATCCAGGAGCGAGAACAACCTGGGTGCTGAGTCTGGCTTTGTTGCTAATTAGCGGGGACCTTCTGTACACTTTGACTTCCCTAAGCCTTGAGTGTTTCGTCTGGAAAAGGAGGACGCGTGTGTCAATAAGTCTCAGGTTCCTTTTAGCAAGAAAATTCCATGAGGCCTTTTTCACTGAGGACACAAATCTCTGGCAAGAGTCCCTTGCTTCATAATGACAGTTAGGTGACCCTGTTGAGGATTGATGGTGTTTCTATTCCTCAGGCATTGTACATCTTTTCTTTCCTTGTGTTTGTAATGGAGCAAAGTATGAAACAAGTCATTGATATTTATTAAAGTTTAAAACATTGTTTTTGACTGTGCAGTTATGAGAAAATTAATGTTCATATTTCTTCAACATACATATTCCTATTTACTATGAAAATAAGAAAATCAAGTCATTAAGGTAGGCAAATTAGAAATGGAACTTTTGGGCTGGGTGCAGTGGCTCACGTGTGTAATCCCAGCACTTTGGGAGGCCGAGGCAGGTGGATCACGAGGTCAGGAGATCAAGACTATCCTGGCTAACACGGTGAAACCCCTTCTCTATTAAAAATACAAAAAATTAACTGGGTGTAGTGGCGGGTGCCTGTAGTCCCAGCTACTCAGGAGGCTGAGGCAGGAGAATGGTGTGAACCCGGGAGGCAGAGGTTGCAGTGAGCCTAGATCGCACCACTGCACTCCAGCCTGGGCGACAGAGCAAGACTCTGTCTCAAAAAAAAAAAAAAAAAAAGAAGAAAGAAAGAAATGGAATTTGGGGTTCTAGTGCCATTTCTTCCATTCTCTTTCAACCTCCAATCCCAAGACTACAAACAGGAAAGGTGATGACAGAGGTTGCACCATATCCAAGTCCCAATATCTTGCTGCTCTTCAATGAACGAAGGATAAAATCCCTGTCTTCACAATGTGCAAAGGGTTTTTTGTCCACCTTCTATATTTTAAAGATTAATTTCTTAGAGATATTCATAAAAGCTACCATAAGGTCTTTATGAAGAACAAAGGATGGCAAGACACCAAAAACAAAAAATAAAAGGCAGAGATTCAGTGTTTATCCTGCTTTCTCTAGGCACGATGCCAAGCCATTGCACATAGGAAACTCTGGCCCACTTTGATAAAATATGAACAAAATTCAAATATCAGGTCTTGGAAAGATCTGTAAATGTTCGTTTTGATTTAAAAAATATCTTTTAGTCAGTTTTTTAAAGGTGTAGCAAAAATTCACTTAAAGTTTAGATATAACATTAGTAAAGTTTAGGTGTTCAGTCAAATCTCCAACTGGTTAGCCACAGAAAGTGTGATGATTATTTACTTGGAAAAGGTAGACTGTGAGTTTCTTAAGAAAAAGAAAAAGAAAACAGTCCCTTCTGAATGTGATGAAGGCTTGGGAATAAAGGCCAGTGTTCCAGAGAAGCAACTGTCCAGTACCCTGTCTAGTGTTCCAGTGACAGGCTACAATTTGGCAGCATGAGTGTGAGCTGGATTAAAGATGAGATCGTCAATTTGATGAGCAGAGTTTTACAAATCTGGATGTAACCAATATAAATGTAAGTTTCAAGCAAGGTGTTGAGACTATATCTGGCTGCAAATGGCAGAAAACCCAAAATGACAGCAGCTTAAACATGATAGAAGTGGTTTCTCCAAGCAGCCTGGTGCAGGTATAAAGGGTGCCTCAATCAACAGGAACCCAGGCTCTTTCCACCTTGTTGCACCCCTAAGCATTACCTATGGGCCAAGAAGGCTCCTCAAGTCCCGTATAGGAAGCAAAAAGACAGAAGGCAGAGGAAAAGAAGGCCCCTCTATTTAAGGACACTTCCCAGAAGTGGCAAATACAACCCCCACTTACATCCCATTGACTAGAATTTAGTCACATGGTTACAATGGGATGTAAGTAGATGCACAAAAGGCTGGAATTCTGGCAGAGGTTGGGATTCTTGATTGTGGCTGCTTTGTGCTCAGTTAGAAATTGAGGTTCCATTATTGTAGAACAATGCATCTGGGTAATAAAGAATTTGACCTTGCCCAAAGAGAGGTCCATCCTTTGCCTTCAGCTTCTGGTAGGTAATCTCTCAGCCCTTGGAAAATCATGCTCGATAGGAGTATCTTTGTTTAGATTGGGAGCTGGCCACACCAGGAAGTCTAACAGTGTGATTTAGGGAGGGGGTTGGGGTCACGTCGTATTAGTTCAACATCCAGAGGGGCTGGAGGCTGCGATCAACCACATGGGAAATCAATCATTACTACACAATGGAACCCCAATAAAAACTCTAAGCTTGGGTGGGCTTCCCTGGTGGGCAAACTCCATGTGTGTTGTCCACGTTAATGCCAGGAAAGTGGCACTATCCATGGCTTCCCAGGGAGAAAACAATGGAAGCTCTGTGATGGGTTCTTTCCTGGACTCTACCCTATGTTCTTCTTCTCTTTTTTTTTCTTTTTTGAGATGGAGTCTCGCTCTGTCACCCAGGCTGGAGTGAAGTAGCAGGATCTTGGCTCACTGCAACCTCCACCTCCTGGGTTCAAGCGATTCTCCTGCCTCAGACACCTAAGTAGCTGGGATTACAGATGCGCAACACCACGCCTGACTAATTTTTGTATTTTTAGTAGAGACGAGGTTTCACCATGTTGGTCAGGCTGGTCTCGAACTCCTGACCTCGTGATCCGCCAGCCTCGGCCTCCCAAAGTGCTGGGATTACAGGCATGAGCCACCGCGCCCAGCCCCCTCGGCTGATTTTAATCTGTATCCTTTTGCTGTAATAAACTGTAACCATAAGTACACCAGGTTTCAGAGAGTTCTGTGAGTCTTTCTAGTGAATTATCAAAACTGAGAGTGGTTTTGGGAATCCCCCATACTTTTTTTTTTTTTTGAGACGGAGTCTTGCTCCGTTGTCCAGGCTGGAGTCCAGTGGCGTGGTCTCGGCTCACTGCAAGCTCCGCCTCCCAGGTTCATGCCATTCTCCTGCCTCATCCTCCCTAGTAGCTGGGACTACAGACGCCTGCTACCATGCCCGGCTAATTTTTTCTATTTTTAGTAGAGATGGGGTTTCACCGTGTTAGCCAGGATGGTCTCGATCTCCTGACCTCGTGATCTACCTGCCTCGGCCTCCCAAAGTGCTGGGATTACAGGCATGAGCCACCGCGCCCGGCCGGAATCCCCCATACTTTTAATTGTTCTCAGGAGTGAGGGTGAGCATGTGTAGACTATGCTCACCTTAACTTCATAATGCCCCAACCATTTCCTTATAACAGTACACTGGGGCGAAAGGACAAAGCTGATCGTGGCCAGAGGCTCGACGCTGTTCCAGGGCTTACTTGTCTGCCCTGGAAATTGAGGACCCCAGTATCTGAATACACACATAACTCATTCAAGACATGCCAGGATTCTGCTATAGAAGAGGAGGAGAAAAGCAAACTGCCACAGCTTGCCCTCTTAGCCGCCTGATATCCATACACATCTCTCCTCCCACACGTGGTACATATTCATAGCCTTACCAAGGGCAACAACTTCAGAGTCCCACCAATGCACTTCCTCCAGCTCCAAGTCCTGCACCCTGGGGTGGTGTTCAGAGCTCTCCATAAGTCTAGAAGGGCTCTTTGTAGGCTGGAAACCCACGAACTGAAAGAAAAGTTACCTTCCCCAACATGTTTGCCTCTGGACTGGCTCTCAATGTCTAGCAGAGAATTGGACATGTAAAGCCCTTTGCAAAACATTGAGACCTCGGTAAAACCTTTACTTGGAATACAGAAGCCATTGGGTTTTTCAGTCCAGCAAGGCCCCAAATTACCAGCTTATCACTCAAATTTGCTTGCAAGTGGCAGGCAGAGAGGGCTCCTTTGCCAAAACGATGTTTTTCATTCGGTTGACAGACTGGCTGGCTTTCCTCAAGTTCACCTTTCTTTTGGATTTTGCAGGACGTGGCAGGAAGAAGCTGACTGTGCCCAAAATTCTGATCTTCCAACCATTTCCTCCTGACTCTCAGCCTTGGTCAGCATATAGTATGCCTTCTAAAGTAACCCTGGAAACATGCCACCAAGTGTCCCATTGCCATGTCCTAATGACCATCATTTTTCCGAACCTGCAATATATGAGTCCCGGGCATGTCATTGCTAAGTCAGTGCCACAACCTACGTTCTGCAACATACATTTTCCCACTTCCAGATACCAGATTTTGTCCTGGTTAGGACTGGAGGTAGCTGCAAGTGTCTGAAATTACAAAATAACAGTCGCTCAAGCAAGATGAAGTGTATAAGTTGCCAATTGCTGCTGTAGCCAATGACCACAAACCTACTAGCTTAAAACAACACAAATGTATTATCCTTCAGCTCTAGAGTTCAGAACTCTAAAATGAGAGTTGAGGAACTAAAATCAAGGTGTGGGCCAAGCTGAGTTCTTTCTGGAGGCTCCAGGGGAGAGCGTGTTTCCTTGCCTTTTCCAGGGTGTTGCAGTGCCTGCATTCTTTCTTGACCTCTGGGCCTGCCTCCATATTCAAGGTGCCTCACTTCAACCTTGGCCACTCCTGTCATCACAGGTTGTTTTTCTGTCTCTGATCTTCCTGCTTATCTCATATAAGGACCCTTATGATGACTTTGAGCCCACCCAGAATAACTAGGATCATCCAGGCTAACCCCCGCCCCCATCTCAAGGTCCTCAAGCACATCTGCAAAGTCCCTTTCCCCAGGTCAAGCAATATATCAACTATTTCTAGGGGCAAGGATGTGGGCATCTTTTTCGGGGAAGGAGGGAAGTATTATTCTGTCTACCCCTCAAGATAGCTGTTTGTTTCTCTCTTAAATAAATATAGGCAGCTGGGGCCAGGACGGAGGGTACCTGGAAGTGCTCGGCCTCCTTCTGCCTTGTCCCTCATCCCTCTACAATCCTAGTAAGTAGCTTCTGCCTCAAGGCCCCAGAAGACTACGCAGACTCAGGCCAGTGCATCCAAATACTAACCAGCAAGTGGGAAGAATGGGAGGAAAGAAGAACTTGCACACCCTCTTTTTTTTTTTTTTTTTTTGAGATGGAGTCTTGCTCTGTCACCCAGGCTGGAGTGCAGTGGCGAAATCTCAGCTCATGTAACCTCCGCCTCCCAGGTTCAAGAGATTCTCCTGCCTTAGCCTCCCAAGTATCTGGGATTACAGTTGCAGACCACCACGCCCAGCTAATTTTTGTATTTTTAGTAGAGACGGGGTTTCACCATGTTGGTCAGGCTGGTCTCGAACTCCTGACCTCAGGTGATCCGCCTGCCTCGGCCTCTCAAAGTGCTGGGATTGCAAGTGTGAGCCACCGCCCGGTTTGCACCCTCTCTTGAAGGGCACCTCCCAAGAGTTGCACACTAGGTTTCCATTAACAGCCCACATGGTCACCTCTAGCTGCATAGGTGGTGAAGAAACGCAAGGTTTCTTCAGGGCAGTCACATGTCCGTCCAGCTAAAAAGTTGAGGTTTAGGTCGGGCGTGGTGGCTCACGCATGTAATCCCAGCACTTTGGGAGGCTAAGGTGGATGGATCACCTGAGGTCAGGAGTTCGAGGCCAGCCTGGCCAACATAGTGAAACTCCGTCTCTACTAAAAGTATTAGAAATACAAAAATTAGCCAGGCGTAGTGGCAGGCACCTGTAACCCAGCTGCTTGGGAGGCTAAGACAGGAGAATCTCTTGAACCCGGGAGGTGGAGGTTGCAGTGAGCCAAGATGTCACCACTGCACTCCAGCCTGGGCAACAAAGAATGAAACTCTGTCTCAAAAAAAAAGTTGAGGTTTCTGCTATCACAGAGGAAGGGGAGGACATATAGGGGGAGACATCTAACAGAATGTCTAGAGTCCCTGACCTGATCTCTAAAATTATATGTACATTTTCAGGCGGGGATTCAATGCAAACATGTGAAATTTCAGAAAGCAGACAGGTCTACCTAACTGTCACTCATCTTGTGCAGATCTTTGACAGAATTCAACAAGCATCCTTTGTGTAGCCCTCAGACTAATGCTGTTCCCTTAAAAAAGTAGGGAGAGAGAGAAAAAAGGACCTCACATTAAACACCCTTCAGGGAAAAACATGAAATGGAAGTTTACTAATTCCAAAAGTAAACAGAGGGGTTTTTCCTCCTGAAGCTCAGAATACACCAAATTATCTACCGCCGATCAGCGAATGGATAATTTGGGTGTGATGGCTGGGGTGTATCCCAGAGTGGAGTGAGGCTCCAGGGCGCGGGGAACCAGGAAGCGGGGACTCTTTCCTACACTGACCATTAAGCTTCATGAAGGCCCTGTGAGTGTATCTGACGGGAATGGGGATTTGCGTGGGACATGGAACCCTGACCCCTCATCTACAGGTGGAGCCTCTCTCGCTGTCCCAGCACAGGTCCATTCAGTGACTGAGTCACACTGGGGCTAGCCGCTACGTTGTTTTCTATTGTCCCACTTCTTTTTATCCTACTTTGCCACTATGGGCATTGCCCACTCACCATGGTCTGTTGTTGAGATTACTACAAACATTTGCCAACTGGAATGTGTGGTGAGCTGCTACCCTCTACCACACGCTGCACACTGCAGGCAATGTGCAGGGTCTTTCTAAACGCAAAGGTGATCATTTAATGTTATGGGTTGCATTGTGTTTTGTGTTCCCTTAAAAAACACATGTTGGGGCCAGGCATGGTGGCCCATGCCTGTAATCCTAGCACTTTGGGAGGCTGAGGCAGAAGGATCGATTAAGCTCAGGAGTTTGAGACTAGCCCAGGCAACATGGCAAAACCCCACCTACAAAAATACAAAAATTAGCTGGGCATGGTGGCTCGTGCCTGTGGTCGCAGCTTTTTGGGAGGCTGACGCAGGAGGATCGCTTGAGCCCAGGAGTTCGAGGCTGCAGTGAGCTGTGATCGTGCCACTGCACTCCAGCCTAGGTGACAGAGTGAGACTCTGTCTCAAAAATAAGTAAATAAATAAATAAACAATAGAAATTAATTTCTCACAGTTTTAGAGGCTGGGAAGTCCCAGATCCTGGCACTGGCAGGTTGGGGCCTGGTCTCTGTGCTTCTGAGATGGTCTCGAATGCTGCATCCTCTGGAGTGGAGAAGCGTCATGTCCTCACATGGCAGAAGAGCAGAGGCAAGCAGACCCATGCCCCAAAGCCCTTGTTATAGCAGCATCGGGCCCATCAAGCCCCACCTCCCAACACTGTTGCACTGGGCATTAAGTTTCCAACATTCGAATGTTGGAGAGGCCACATTCAAACCATAGCACCTTCCATGTACCTCCATAGCTCTCTGTATGTAGAGGAATGAACCACTATCGAGGAGAAATTTGGGCACAGGAGGAAAACTTTGGAGAATGGCAATAACCCACTCAGAATTCATTCATCATGGTTCAGACCGAGAGAAATTTTTTAAATAATGAGTGAAGAAATCAGACCCAAGACAGAGGAAAATATCCTATGACAAAATAAGCCCACGACATGTTAAAAAGAGGAGAGAGACCATGTGCTCTATGAGTCTCTTAGTTATGAGATAGGTGTACTCATAGCGGGCTGAGTGTTGGCCTCCCCAAAAGATACGTCCTCTTAGAACCTGTGCATGTGACCTCATTTGAAAAAAGTTCTCTGCAGGTGTAATTAAGGATTTTGAGATGAGATCATCCTCGATTATCTGGGTGGATCCAAAATCCAATGGCAAGTGTTCTCATAAGAGGGAAAAAAAGAGCCAGGCGCAGTGGCTCACACTTGTAAACCCAGCACTTTGGGAGGCCGAGATGGGCAGATCATGAGGTCGGGAGTTTGAGACCAGACTGGCCAACATAGTGAAACCCCGTCTTTACCAAAAATACAAAAAATTAGACGGGCATGTTGGTGGGCGCCTGTAATGCCAGCTACTCGGGAGGCTAAGGCAGGAGAATCGCTTGAACCCAGGAGGCAGAGGCTGCAGTGAGCCGAGATGGTGCCATTGTACTCCAGCCTGGGTGACAGTGCGAGACTCCGTCTCAAAAAAAAAAAAAAAAAAAAAGAAGAGGAGGAAAAAGGAGAAGACACACAGAGGAGAAGCAGATGTGATAACCGAAGTCGAGATTGTACTGATGTATCAACGAGCTAAAGGACGCCAAGGGCTGCCGGCAGCCAGCAGAAGCCAGCACAGAGGCATGGGATGGATTCTCCTGCAGACACACCAGGGGGAAGCGGCCCTGCCAACACCTTAAAATTGGACTCTTCTGGTTCCCAGGATTGTAACAGTATAAATTTCTATTGCTGTAAGCCACCAATTTTGTGATAATTTGTTACAGCAGTTCTAGGAAGCCAGTACAGCACCCTAAAGTAACTAAGGAGAAAACTAGACTTGACCATTGTTGGAATGAAAGTATCTCTGCAATCACCCACCCCTGCCACACTCTGGAGCCAGCTAAGGCCTAGCTGGTGCAGGGTGTACTGCAAGCAGCAGTGATGTCAACACCCTAGGAAGGCCAGGGCTGGGACTCTGTGCACAAGTAGGAGGGGTGCAGGGTCTTGGGAGGGGCTAGTAAGAGACTAACTCCCCCCAACACTTTGATGCTTACAGCAACTCTTCACACTCTACTGGAATTACTTGTTCGGTCATCTCTCTTCCCTTCTGGGCTGTAAACTACATGAGGGGAAGATTGCACCTGTTTTGTTCCCTGGTGAGTCTTCAGGATTCAGTACCATATATAATTGACACCCAGCAAATAGATGTGCAATGACTGACCAAAGAAATGTATCATATCTTTTGTTGTTGTTGTTAGACCAAGTCTTGCTCTGCTGCCCAGGCTGGAGTGCAGTGGCGTGGTCTCGGCTCACTGCAGCCTCCGCCTCCCGGGTTCAAGCGATTTTCCTGCCTCAGCCTCCCAAGTAGCTGGAACTACAGGTGTGTGCTACCACGTCCGGATAATTTATTGTCTTTTTAGTAGAGAAAGGGTTTCACCATATTGGCCAGGCTGGTCTCAAACTCCTGACCTCAAATGATCCACCCACCTCAGCCTTTCTAAGTGCTAGGATTACAGGCGTGAGCCACCATGTCCGGCTTGAAAAATACCTTTTTTAAATCCCTGTAAATTGTATAATAAGCACCTCTATCACAATTTCCAGCCCCAACTTTTATTTTAAATTTCAAACGTAGATAGGAGCTGGAAAAAATGTACAATGAACAGGCACCAACCAGATTCTAGAATAAATGTTTTGCTATGTTTGCTGTATCACATATCTACCTATCCACCAATCTATCTAATAAAACATTTTGCCCTCAGTTAGGGTTAATATCGAAACACCTCAGGTAAACCAAGAAGAGCTCCATGATAATACAGAAAATAAACCAATGGGGCCGGGCATGGTGGCTCACGCCTGTAATCCCAACAGTTTGGGAGGCAGAGGAGGGCAGATCACCTGAGGTCAGGAGTTCAAGACTAGCCTGGCCAACATGGTGAAACTCCGTCTCTACAAAAAATACAAAAACTAGCCAGGCATGGTGGCATGCGCCTGTAATCCCAGCCACTCGGGAGGCTGAGGTGGGTGGCGGAGGGGTGTCGCTTGAACCCAGGAGGCAGAGGTTTCGGTGAGCCGAGATTGCGCCACTACACTCCAGCCTGGGTGACAAAGTGAGACTCCATCTCAAAAAAAAAAAAAAAAAAAAGAAAGAAAGAAAGAAAGAAAGAAAGAAAATAAATCAATGGGACCATAACTGACATGAACTAAGGATACCTCACCTGGAGGACCCGTCCCTAGGGCCCACGCCTTGGCCCACTCAGTCAGGATCAGGGAGTAAGCCTGGCTGGATCTGGAGCCAAAATGAGGACCTTCCCTAAGGGCCTGTGGCATCACTTGACATCTTATTGCCACATGGGACTCCTGGAATTCCAGGAAATCCCAATAAACAGAAGCCCAGGATAACGGGCCGTTGGGAGTGGTGGAAGAAAGAGATTTGGTGCAGCCACAACTGATGAATCCTGGCAGCCACCAAGAGCTGGTTGCTGAGGAGTCCACCATGCTCCATCATGGTGTCTGCTGCCTAGATGGGCCTGCCTCTTCTTCCTGCAGGGCCAGCGCACACGCTATGCACTGCGGCTCCTGCAGCTGATACGGGCGCCAGAGTGGGGACCTGGCCACTGTCATGGTTCAACCACGGTTAGCTCCACTCCCTGAAACGTTCTTAGGCATTCCTGCAGTGGCAGGAAATCAAGTGAATGTTGATGTATTTTACAAAGGCTTGCCCTATTCTTTGCAGAGTTATTAGCTTTACCCCATAACAGTGGTCCCCAACCTTTTTGGCACGAGGGACTGGTTTCATGGGAGACATTTTTTTCCATGGACAGGGCAGGGGAATGGGTTTGGAATGATTCAAGTGGATTACATTTATTGGGCACTTTACTTCTATTATTATTACATTGTAATAATATATAATGAAATAATTACACAACTCACTATAATGTAGAATCAGTGGGAGCCCTGAGCTTGTTTTCCTGAAACTAGATGGTCCCATTGAGAGGTGACAGCGTGCTGGAAGTCCGCACCGCCCTCGCTCGCTCTCGGTGCCTCCTCTGCCTGGGCTCCCACTTTGGCAGCACCTGAGGAGCCCTTCAGCCCACCGCTGCACTGTGGGAGCCCCTTTCTGGGCTGGCCAAGGCCGGAGCCCACTCCCTCAGCTTGCAGGGAGGTGTGGAGGGAGAAACGCGAGCGGGAACCGGGGCTGCGTGCGGCGCCTGCGGGCCAGCTGGAGTTCCGGGTGGGCGTGGGCTTGGCGGGCCCCGCACTCGGAAGCAGCTGGCTGGCCCTGCTGGCCCCGGGCAATAAGGGACTTAGCACCCGGGCCAGCGGCTGTGAAGGGTGTACTGGGTCCCCCAGCAGTGCCAGCCCACCGGTGCTGCGCTCGATTTCTCGCCGGGCCTTAGCTGCCTTCCCGCGGGGCAGGCCTCGGGACTGCAACCCGCCATGCCTGAGCCTTACCCCGCCTCCGTGGGTTCCTGTGCAGCCCGAGCCTCCCCGACGAGCGCCGCCCCCTGCTCCACCACGGCCAGTCCTATCGACCACCCAAGGCCTGAGGAGTGCGAGTGCATGGCGCGAGACTGGCAGGCAGCTCCAGCTGCAGCCCCGGTGTGGGATCCACTGGGTGAAGCCAGCTAGGCTCCTGAGTCTGGTGGGGACGTGGAGAATCTTTATGTCTAGCTCAGGGATTGTAAATACACCAATCAGCACTCTGTATCTAGCTCAAGGTTTGTAAACACACCAATCAGCACCCTGTGTCTAGCTCAGGGTTTGTGAGTGCACCAATCGACACTCTGTATCTAGCTGCTCTGGTGGGGCCTTGAAGAACCTTTGTGTCCATACTCTGTATCTAACTAATCTGATGGGGACGTGGAGAACCTTTGTATCTAGCTCAGGGATTGTACACGCACCAGTCAGCGCCCTGTCAAAACAGGCCACTTGGCTCTACCCATCAGCAGGATGTGGGTGGGGCCAGATAAGAATAAAAGCAGGCTGCCCGCGCCAGCAGTGGCAACCCGCTCGGGTCCCTTTCCACACTGTGGAAGCTTTGTTCTCTCGCTCTTTGCAATAAATCTTGATACTGCTCACTCTTTGGGTCCACACTGCTTTTATAAGCTGTAACACTCAGCACGAAGATCTGCAGCTTCACTCCTGAAGCCAGCGAGCCCACGAGCCCACCAGGAGGAACGAACAACTCCAGACGCGCCGCCTTAAGAGCTGTAACACTCACCGTGAAGGTCTGCAGCTTCACTCCTGAGCCAGCGAGACTACGAACCCACCAGAAGGAAGAAACTCCAAACACATCCGAACATCAGAAGGAACAAACTCCAGACGCGCAACCTTAAGAGCTGTAACACCTTGAGGGTCCGCGGCTTCATTCTTGAAGTCAGTGAGACCAAGAACCCACCAATTCCGGACACACCATCTGGGGGTGGCAGAGACAGAGACAGATCATCAGGCACTAGATTCTCATAAGGAGCGTGCATCCTAGATCCCTCACACGTGCAGTTCACAATAGGGTTCATGCTCCTATGAGACTCTACGGCCGACGCTGATCTGACAGGAGGCAGAGCTCAGGCCTAACGCCAGCGATGGGGAGTGGCTGTAAGTATAGATGAAGCTTTGCCGGCCCACCTGCTGCTCAGCTGCTCACCTCCTGCTGTGCCGCCGGTTCCTAACAAGTCGGCGTCTGTAGGGGGGATTCAAAGGGGGCCCAGGGGGGCGGGAGGGGTGGGGACCCCTGCCATTACACACATTTGGGGGACTTGTTTTTGGCGAGTTCAGGCTACAGTTCTTATACTTTCTTTTAGTGGATTTACATTTTAGAATTTGGAATAACTTCAGTCCACAAACTCTCAGGACGTGCTGGCGCATTGTTGATGTGCTTCAAGAGGTTTACAGTCAGCACAGGGCAGGACCCCCATCGCAAACGACGCCCCGCACTGGGACAGGCAAGGAGGAAGCAAACGCACAAACCAGGAAAGTGGAGATGTGTTGCCACACGTTAGCTCTGAATTATTGCTAGGCTGTGAGAATGAAATGAAGGTAATAAATAAAATGTGTGGTTTCCACAAGCTTTCCTTCTCTTATTGCCTCTTAAATATTGAAACTGTTTGTGATGTAGTATTCGTTGATTTGCCTATTGACATAACTTAGATGTCTCCCCTATAAATGGTAAGAAGACTATTAGGAAACTGGTAAATTGACTTTGTATATGTAACTCAACTGAAAACAACTCCATCCTGGGTTGAGTTAGGAAAGCCAATTCATCTGTGTTTGGTTTAAGGTTATTTACTTTGATTTCTGGACTGGGCATGGTGGCTCATGCTTGTAATCCCAGCACTTTGGGAGGCTAAGGTGGGAAAATTGTTGAGCCCAGAAGTTAAAGACTAGCCTGGGCAGGCTGGGCGCTGTGCTCACGCCGGTAATCCCAGCACTTTGGGAGGCTGAGGCAGGCGGATCATGAGGTCAGGAGATCAACACCATCCTGGCTAACACGGTGAAACCCCATCTCTACTAAAAATACAAAAAATCAGCCGGGCATGGTAGCAGGCGCCTGTAGTCCCAGCTACTCAGGAGGCTGAGGCAGGAGAATGGCGTGAACCCGGGAGGTGGAGTTTGCAGTGAGCTGAGATTGTGCCACTGCACTACAGCCTGGGCAACAGAGCAAGACTCCATCTCAAAAAAAAAAAATAGCCTGGGCAACATAGCAGAGCCCTGTGTCTACAAATAATCAAAAAATCAGACAACCATGATAGTGTACTCCTATAGTCCCAGCTGCTTGGGAGACTGAAGCAGGAGGATCACTTGAGCCCAGGAGGCTGAGGCTGCATTGAGCCTTGTTTGTGCCAATGCACTCCAGCCTGGGTGACAGAGAAAGACCCTGTCTCAAAAATAATAGTAATAACAAAATAAAATAAAAAATAAATTGGTTTCTGGCTCTTGCAGTTGAAATAATGCTAATGCTGCTCTTGTCAATTTCCTTTCACTTTTTTTAAATTCAATAGGAAATATTTTTAACTTGAATAGTAAATACTTTCATTTACTGGCAAATAGTTTTGAAATAATGCATATCTGTGAGAAGAGCAAAAACCAAACATAAGGGCCAGGCGTGGTGGCTCATGCCTGTAATCCCAGCACTATGGGAGTTCAAAACCAGCCTGGCCAAGATGGTGAAATCCCATCTCTACTAAAAATACAAAAATTAGCTGGGTGTGGTGGCAGGCACCTGTAGTTCCAGCTACTTGGGAGGCTGAGGCAGGAGAATTGCATGAACCTGGGAGGCGGAGGTTGCAGTGAGCCGAGATGGCTCTATTGCACACCAGCATGGATGACAGAGTGAGACTTCATCTCAAAAAAAATAAAAAATATAAGATTAGAAAAAAAAAAGAAACTTTATAGTATTAGCTTTTAGGTCTATGATCCATTTCAAGTTAATGTTTGTATATGGTGTCAAGTAACAGGCAAGGTTCATTTTTTTCCCGTATGGATATCCAGTTGTTCCAGCACCAGTTGTTGAAAAGGCTTTCCTGTCCCTGTGGAATTGCCTTGGCACCTTTGTTGAAAGTCATATATGATTTTTGTTGACCATATGTATACGGTTTTATTTCTGGACTCCCTAATCTGTTCCATTGATCTGCTTATCTCTCTTTAAGCATCGATCCTTGTTGTTTTATGCCAGGTCTTAAAGTCAGGCAGTGTAAATCCTCCTGCTGTGCTCTACTTTTTCAAAATGTGTTGGCTGTTATAGGATCTTTGCATTATCATACAAGTGTTTAAATTTTTAAACCAAAAACTGGGATTATAGAATGCAATTGCATTGAGGGAGAGATGGCATCTTGAGTCTTGTACTCCATAAACATGGAATGTTTCTTCTCCATTTATCAGACCTTCTTGTATTTTCTTTCAGCATAACCATGTTTTCAGTGACTGCCTAATATCTTGTTGATTTGAAGGTGTAATGTATCCAACAATGTCCATTTTGCCAATTAGATTGTTTCCACTTTTTCATTATTAATAATTTGCCGTGAATACCATGGTGTTTTTATTAGTCTGTCCTCATGCTGATAATAAAGACATACCTGAGACTGGGTAATTTATAAAAGAAAGAGGTTTAGTGGACTCACGGTTCTGCATGGCTTGGGAGGCCTCATAATCATGGCAGAAGACAAATGAAGAACAAAGTCATGTCTTACATGGCGGCAGGCAAGAGATCTGTGTAGGGGAACTCTGCTTTATAAAGCCATCAGATCTTGTGAGACTTATTCACTATCATGAGAACAGCACAGGAAAAACCTGCCCTCATGATTCAGTTACCTCCCACCGGGTCCCTCCCATGACACGTGGGGATTATTACAAGTCAAAGTGAGATTTGGGTGGGGACACAGAGCCAAACCATATCAGTGTTTAAAAATGTTTTTTTCTCAAATTTAGGATTACTTGATTGCTGGGAAATTTTTTTTCCAAATTTAGGATTAATCTTTACATAGATTCCCAGCAGTCAAATTACTGGGCCAAAGAATATAAACATTTTAAAGGCGTTGGTATATATTTCCAAATTTATTTCTACATGTGTTGTACCATTCACATTGCTATCATCAATGAATGAAATGCCTGTTTCACCACATAGCTGCCAATATTTAGTATTTTTTGCTAATTTAATCTGTGAGTAGAAGATTTCTACTAGAATTTCTTTTATTTCAATTGAAGTGAAACATTTTCCCATATGTCTGCTAACTACTTGATTTCCTCTTTTGCAAACTGTTATTCATGTCCTGTGTCTTAGAGTTCTTATTATAGATGTGAATGTTATCCCCTCTGGTAGTCAAAATTCTAAGAATGACCCCCAATGACCTTCTTCTTTCTATAATCCCCTCCCTTTGAGTGAGGGTGGAAGCTGTGGATATGATGAAATATCACTCCCAAGATTATGTTACCTGGCATGGTTAATCTTCAAATAGGGAGATTTTCTAGGTGGGCCTAATCTAATATCATTAGCCTTTTAAAAGCAGAAAATGTTCTCTGTCTGGCCGCAGAAAGGGCAGTCAAAGAGATTCAAAGCACAAGAAGGATTTGATGCACCATGGCTGGCTTTGATGATGGAGGGGCTCTGCCCACTGATCAGAGAGACGTCTTTAAAAGCTGAGAGTGGTCCCTGCTGACAGTCAGCGAGGGCACGTGACTGGAGTCCTACAACCACAAGGAACTGAATTCTGCCCGTCACCTCAATGAGCTTTCAAGTAGGTGCTTCCCAGAGCCTCCAGGTAATAGCCCAGCCAGGCAGACACCTTGATCTCAACCCTGTTTGACCCTAAGCAGAGAATCCAGTTGAACCCACAGAGCTGTGAGCTAATCAGTGGGTGTTGTTTCGCATCTCTACATTTATAGTTATTTATTACACGGCTGTAGAAAACTAACACATCCTCTGTGGTCAAAATGTGAACTTTTCTTGTCATGTTTGTTGTATATATTTCCCAAAATGTTCTTTCCTTTTTTCTGGGGGGGCGGGGGGGGGCCAGCGTTTCACTCTTGTTGCCCAGGCTGGAATGCAATGGCGCGATCTCGACTCACCGCAGCCTCCACCTCCCGGGTTCAAGTGATTCTCCCCTCTCAGCCTCCCGAGTAGCTGGGGTTACAGGCATGTGCCACCACATCCGGCTAATTTTGTATTTTTGGTAGAGACAGGGTTTCTCCATGTTGGTCAGGCTGGTCTCAAACTCCCAACCTCAGGTGACCCACCTGCCTTGGCCTCCCAAAGTGCTGGGATTATAGGCATGAGCCACTGCGCCCAGCAGTTCTTTCCTTCTTATTATGGGTTTCCCCACTGATGTATAGGAAAATTTTCTATATAATAAATTGACTTTTTTTCTTTTTCTTTTTTTTTTTTTTGAGACATGATCTTGCTTTGTGGCCCAGGCTGGAATGCAGTGATGCGATCACGGTTCACTGCAGCCTCGACCTCCCCGACTCAAGTGATCCTCTGGCCTCAGCTTTCTGCATAGCTGAGACTACAGGCACACGCCGCCATGCCTGGCTAATTTTTGTATTTTTTACATAGGGGTCTCACTATGTTGCCCAACTCCTGGGCTCAAGTGATCCTCCCACCTCAGCATCCCAAAGTGCTGGGATTACAGGCATGAGCCACTGCATCCAGCTGTGGCTATGTTTTTCCTTTGTGATGTTTCTTTTTTGTTTGTTTGTTTTTTGTTTTTGTTTTTGTTTTGAGACGCAGTCTCGCACTGTCACCCGGGCTGGAGTGCACTGGCACGATCTCGGCTCACTGCAACCTCCGCCTCCCGGGTTCAAGCAATTCTCCTACCTCAACCTCCCAAGTAGCTGGGATTACAGGCACATGCCGCCACGCCCAGCTGATTTTTGTATTTTTCAGTAGAGATGGGGTTTCACCATCTTGGCCAGGCTGGTCTCAAACTCCTGACCTTGTGATCCGCCCGCCTCGGCCTTCCAAAGTGCTGGAATTACAGGCGTGAGCCACTGCACCTGGCCTCCTTTGTGATGTTTCTATCAGTCATGTAGAAAGTCTTCCTACCTCTACCCCACTGAAGTTTTAACAATTCCATTGTATTTCTCTTTTCTGTGTGGTTTAATTTTTTAAATTAAAATTTTTTTAAATTAGCTAAAACATTTACATGGATACAGAGTCAAAATTCTATGACATAACATGCAGAGATGTCTTGCTTCTCTTCCTGTCTCCCTGCCCTATTCTGTCTTTTCCCCTTCGGTAATCATTTGATCTGGTCACCTACTGCCGCATCACAAACCACCTCAAAACTCAGTGGCTTAGGACAATGGCCACTGTATTATTTTTCACAATTCTACTGGTGGACTGTGGCTCAGCTGAGTGGTCCTTTTGCCAGTCTCACTTTGTGTCGTTCACGTGACTGCAGTTTTATGGCAGTGGAGTGGAAATCCCGAGATGGCTTCATGTGTATGTTGGGTCCTTGTGGACATGGCAGGAGGGCCATTCTTGGTGGCTACGCTGGGGGAGCTGGGGTTTTCTCTCTCTCTCCCACCCCTTCTTTCTCCATATTGTTCAGGGCCTCTCCTCTTTGTGGTCCTTCAACAGTGTCTCCATCAGGGTCACTGGGCTCCTTACATCATACTCAGCCCTCCCAGCATGTAAAAGCAGAAGTTGCCAGGTCAGGCCTTTTTTTTTTTCGAAATAGGGTCTTGCTCTGTCATCCAGGCTGGAATGTAGTGGTGTAATCATAGGTCACTGCAGCCTCAAACTCCTGGGCTCAAGCAATCCTCCCACCTCAGCCTCCTGAGTAGCTGGGATTACAGGCGCATGCCACTGTGACCAGCTAATTAAAAAAATTTTGTTGTTGTTGTTGTAGAGATAGGTCTCACTGGGTTGCCCATGCTGGTCTCAAAATCCTGACCTCAAGCGATCCTCCCACCTTGGCTCATAGTTTTGGGACTACAGGCATGAGCCACTGTGCCAGGCCTGTTGCCAGGCCTTTTTAAGATTTAGGTGCAGAGGCTGGGTGCGGTGGCTCATGCCTGTAATCCCAGCACTTTGGGAGGCTGAGGCAGGGGGATAACCTCAGATTGGGAGTTCGAGACCAGCCCGACCAACATGGAGAAACCCCATCTCTACTAAAAATACAAAAGCAGCAGAGCATGGGGTGCATGCCTATAATCCTAGCCACTCGGGAGGCTGAGGCAAGAGAATTGCTTGAACCCGGGAGGTGGAGGTTGCGGTGAGCTGAGATCACGCCATTGCACTCCAGCCTGGGCGACAAGAGCAAAACTCTGTTTAAAAAAAAAAAAGATTTAGGTGCAGAACTCTCACTGCCTTCCACTGGCTAAAATGAGTCCCAGGTGCCACTCTCTGTATGACACGTCCTAGGCTCCTCCTCCTCCCCCTGCCCCCCACCGGTTCATCTCTTTTGAGATTTGTTCTGGCTATTCTCCCTTATTTATTATTCCAAATAAATTTTATAATCAACCTGCCTGGCTCCATAAATAAATTAATATTTTTGTTAGTGTTAATTTAAATATATAAATTAAGCAGAGGAGACTTAACATTTTTATGATGTTACACTTTCCTATCCAAGATAATGGTATGTTTGCCTTCTGTTCAAATCTACTGTGACGTCTCATGCAAGACTTTAGTAGTTTTTCTCATATAAGTTTTCCATACTTTTCATTAAGTCTGTGCCTTAACTTGTTTTATTATTTCCTGAACTCTTTAATCCAACTAGGTCTTTTCTTCTCTCTCTTCCTTTTTTTTGATATATGCTGTTATGGTAAAATCTAAATGAATTTTTCTTCTAAATAGCATTTAGTGTAATATCATTTACTGAGTAATCCCCTGTTCTTTATAGATTTGCAATGCCTCTTTTATCATTTATTGAAATTTCATATACAACTTGAATATATACAATAAAAAATAAATAGGCCGGGCGTGGTGGCTCACACCTGTAATCCCAGCACTTTGGGAGGATGAGGCGGGCAGATCATCACAAGGTCAGAAGATAGAGACTATCCTGGCTAACACGGTGAAACCCCGTCTGTACTAAAAATACAAAAAATTAGCCGGGCGTGGTGGCTGCGCCTGTAGTCCCAGCTACTCGGGAGGCTGAGGCAGGAGAATCCCTTGAACCCGGGAGGCCGAGGTTGCAGTGAGCCGAGATCGTGCCACTGCACTCCAGCCTGGGTGACAGAGTGAGACTCCGTCTCAAAAATAAATAAATAAATAAATAAATAAATAAATAAATAAATAAATAATCCTATACATAATATGTTGGGATCTGTTCTGAATGATCTGTCCTATCCAATTGCTCTTATGTCAGGATGATGCTCTTTTAATTCTTACAGTTATACTATATTTTATGCCTAGTAAAAACCTTTCTCCTACAATTAGCTCTTTAAAGAGATGTCATTTCAAAATACTTCTTTATTTTTTCAGAAGAATTTTAACAGAATTTCATTGAATTTCCTCATGAAAAATTTTATTAGGATATTGAGAGTAATTAGCTCTAAAAATTAATTGTATACAACTGGACATTTTAAAATAGATTTTCTATTCAGAAATACTGTAAATCTCTATTTTGCCATATTTCACATTTCTTAATTCAGCCTTATAGCTTTTCTCATGTAACTAAAACATAGATCACATTCAAATTACTCCAAATATTTTATATTTTGATTGCTATTGAGAATACAGTCTGTATCTTCATTTTATTTTCTAACTGGTTGTTGCTGTTAAATCGTAATGCCTATTGATTTTTGCATACGTAGGCTGTTTCAAAATTTACAGGCATACATATAGATGACCAAAAAAGTACCAGTCTTCATTTCTCTATAAATTAACCCAGTTTAGCTCCCCAGTAACCATTTCTGCTGAGGACAGGGGAGAAGAAAATCAGTCTCATTATTCAGTTGGAACCCAGCTGATAGCCAGTGTTTTAGAATTCTCTTTTCACATCCTCAGTCTCCTTCTTACCTTTCCCCAAAAGCATTCTACTTGGGATGGAGAGAGGCATATGGTTCAAAAATGCCATGTCCCTTGCCTATCTGCCAACGTCCCAGCTGGAGTGTCTCAAAATCCCATCTCTGCACAGGCAATAGCACACTAGAGGGACCGCTAGAAAGAGCCGGGACTCCCCCTTGGCTGACTCAGCCCATACCTCTAACTTTTGGGTTATTTTAATCATTTGATTCTTCTCTCTCGAGCTCCGAGTTTCCTGTCATGTTTTCTATTGCCCTGCGCATTTCTAACCCCAACTGGGACGTTGACTCCAAGCATGAAATACAGCTGGATCCCACCCCAGGAGCTACTTCTGCTCTTCTCATTCTATTCCCCTTCCTCTAGACCAAACCATGTTTCAGATCTTTGGCAAAGTGCTCTTCAACACACATTTTTTGCTTCAGGGTATAAACTTGATGGAGAGAGAGTTGAGGGGCACCTGCTGGGAATGACAAGGAATTTTAAAAATACTTCAGCTTAATATTTCAAAAATATTATCCTACTTTGTAAATTTATCTTCTCTTCTTTTGTTATGGAACTCAAGTGTATACAAAGGCAGAGTGAATGAGTGAATAAAACCTTTCCTCCTCCTCCTCCTGTACCCCTTCCCTCTTCCTCCATTTCCTCCCCTCCTTCTCCGCCCCTCCCCATCCTACTTTCTCCCCTCCCCCCTCCTCCTTCTCCACCCCTCCTCATCCTCCTCTTTCTCCCCTCCCCCTCCTCCTCCTTCTCCCTCTTCCTCCTCCTAGAGTTATTTAGAAGCAAATCCCAGATAGCATATCATTTCACTCTGACCAAATTTCCAAACTTTTTCCAATAATTTTTCAGAGGATTCTTTTTTTACCTGTATCCCATAGGTTTTGGTGTGAAGCATTCATACTTTGTTATTTTTAGTCTGGTATCATATTTTTACTTGTTTCTTGACAAATAAGAAACAAATATTGTATTTTAATCACATTTTAATAAAAAATTTATATAAAATATAAAATTTATATATAAATTTTATTTTTATAAAATTCATTAAACATTTTTATATAAATTTTTATGTATGTTTACATTTTAAAATTCTATTTTATTTTCTAATTTTATTTATTTTATTTTATTTTAATTAATTTTTTTTTTAGATGAAATCTCACTCTGTCACCCAGGCTGGAGTACAGTGACGTGATCTCAGCTCACTACAACCTCTGCCTCCCAGGTTCAAGTGATCCTCTAGCCTCAGCTTCCCGGGGACCTGGGATTACAGGCCTGCGCCACCACGCCTGGCTAATTTTTGTATTTTTAGTACCGATGAGGTTTCACCATTTTGGCTAGGCTAATGTCGAACTCCTGACCTCAGATGATCCACACTCCTTGGCCTCCCAAAGTGCTGGGATTACAGGTGTGAGCCACCACACCTGGCTAATTTATCTTTAATTTAAATTTTATTTTAAAATTTTATTTTTCTTTATTTATATATAAATTTCATATATATTGTTTATAAAAAACAAATATTGTATTTTTATGTGTTTGTTTACAAAGAATGCTTCACATTTTGTTATTTGAG
This sequence comes from Homo sapiens, assembly GCF_000001405.40. Lineage (NCBI taxonomy): Eukaryota > Metazoa > Chordata > Mammalia > Primates > Hominidae > Homo > Homo sapiens. Next base: position 37,272,709 of record NC_000021.9, on the reverse strand, counting down.
AAAGTGTGTCTTAACTGCCAAGTGGTGTAAGTTGTGGTAGTTAAGGTATCCAGGACATCCTTAATCAAACTTGTACATAATCAACATTGAGATGTTCTTAGTGGCCATACATGCAATTGTCTCAGTCCATTCATGCTGTTATAACAAAATACCACAGAGTGGGTAATTTCTAAACAATAGAAGTTCATTTCTCATAGTTCCGAAGACTGGGAAGTTTAAGAACAAGGTACCAGCACGTTGTGTCTGGTTCCACTCTGCTTCCAAGATGGCGCCTTGAATGCTGAGTCCTCCAGAAGGGACAAATGCCATGTCCTCTCTTGGCAGAAGGGACAGAAGGGCAAAAGGACTAGCTAGCTCCCTTCCATTCCTTTTATAGGGCACTAATCCCATCTATGAGGATGGTGTTCTGGGTTGAATTGTTTCCCTGCCAAATTAAGGTCCTAGCCCTTGGTACTTCAGAATGTGACGGTATTTGGAAGTAGGGTCTTTACAAAGGTAATCAAGTTAAAAGGGGGTCATTAGTGGACCTTAATACAAGATGACTGGTGTATTTAGAAAAAGGGCAAGTTTGGAGTCAGACATTGATACAGAAAGAACATCACGTGAACATGAAGATACATTTTATTTTATTTTTTGAGACAGGGTCTCGCTCTGTCGCCCAGGCCAGAGTGCAGTGACATGATCTTGGCTCACTGCAACCTCTGCCTCCCAGGCTCAAGCGATCCTCCCACCTCAGCTTCCCAAGTAGCTGGGACTACAGGCATGCGTCACCACATCCAGCTAATTTTTATATTTTTGTAGAGATGGGGGGTTTCGCCATGTTGCCCAGGCTAGTCTCGAACTCCTGGGCTCAAGGGATCCTCCTGCCTTGACCTCCCAAAGTGCTGGGATTACAGGTGTGAGCCACTGTGCCCAGCCATGAAGACACATTTTTTAAAGATAGAGTGAGGAGACATAAGAGGGCCACCTAAAAGCCAAGGAGAGAGAACTGGAACAGATTCTTTCCTCACCGTCCTCAGAAGAACAACCCTGCTGACATCTTGATTTTGAACTTGCAGCCTCCAGAAGAGTGAAAGAATAAATTTCTGTTGTTTGAAGCCACCCAGTTTGTGGTACTTCGTTGTGGCAGCCGTAGCAAACTAAAGCATTATACTATTCTGCAATAGTTTTAATATTCTATCTTCACCATCAGTTGATACAATGACCCCCCATTCCTCTCTTTAAGATTGCCTTTGACTATGACATTGCACCTCTGCTGGATTTTCCCATTTGATTGGCAGTCTTTTGTCCAGTCTTTTGATTAAGATCATGAGCCCCCCATTGTTATGCACCCAGGCGTTTGTTGTGTGCATGTATGTAGCGCATTGATCAGCAATTGCCTATATGAACTCTGGAGTCAGAATTGGTGGCTGCCACTTAGTTGCTCTATGACCTTGGGCAAGTACATTAATCTTTCTGTGCCTGTCTTCCCTTTTGTAAGGTGAGGAAATAGTAATTTTTCCTGTATCACAAGAGTGTCTTGAGGGTTATTATGAGGGTTATTATGAAACTAGCATAACTGGATTGTTGAGGTTAGGTTGCCAGAAGGCAGAATACGAGATGGAGATTTAACATGCAGGAAGTTTATTGGGGAGATGCTCTCAGGATCAACAGGCGCACAGGGTTTGGGTGTAGGAAGCAGGATTCAATGCGGAGCGTAGTGGTTTAAAATATGTCCTCAAATTCTTTGACCCTCCCTTCCATAGGTAGAGCTAAATTCCCCTTCCCAAATGGAATTAGTGGGATTTAGTGACTGTCTTCTGATGAAGAGAAGAAAAGTAGATGTCCTTCAGATACTTGGCCTCACAGGGCATTGCAGCTCCCTAATTGCACTCTCTCTTGATTGACTGGTCTGGGAGAAGCTAGCTGCCATACTGTGAGGCTTCTCAAGCAGCCTGTGGAGTGGAAGTGAGTGCTCCCAACCTCAGCCATGTGAGGGAGCCATCTTGGAACTGGATCTTCCAGCCGACAACAGGCCTTCAGACAACTGCAAGAATCTGACACCTTGAGCCAGGAACACCCAGGGAAGCTGCTCCTGAGTTCCCAACTCGCAGACATAATGAGACGTTTGTTATTTAAAGCTACTACAGATTGGAGTAATTTGCTACACATCAGTATTTAACTAATACTGGGAGTTTTGAATATGGAATGGTCCTTCAGAGTTGTCCTAAACTGGAACAACGGAGAGGCCTCTATATCCTAAATGGATTAATTGTCAAGTGTGGGCTGCCCCCTAGAAGGGGGAATGACCTTGGGCAAGGCAGTTTTCTTCATTAAAGCCAAGCTTTGAAGAGTGACTTAGCTGAAAACTGTTGAGACCAATACTCCTAGCAGCTCAGGGAACATGTCCTCCAGTCCTGCAGGAAGAGTCTGCGCAGAGAATCATAGCACCCACTTAAAGATGTTTAGTGGGACCTCTACTATTGTCCCAGAATTGGCACTAGGCTCACAATGGAAAACTACAGGCATAGTACTCCATCTCCTAATGAAAGATGCCTATAATTGGGGCCACTTCCCCCAGGGCTTAATAAAAAGCTGCAGATCTGGCCCCGCTTCCACCAAATACTTCCCCAGTCCTCTCCTCAATCTATACAGGAAGGCAGGGGAAGGAATGAAAGGAGGCAGTCGGTATTGCGGAGGACGGTGTTTCTGGTGGGAAGTGATGTAGCTGGGAAGGACATAGGACAATCTCTCCAAGGTATCAGAGGGCCTGCTGGAAGGGGAGTCTGGTATTCTATCTGTTGCCTGCAGATCTGTTCCTCCAGCACTCTTGCTGACTTATCCCTGTCTGTATGGCAAGGGGGAACAACAAAATTGAAGAGGGATATAGCAGGGGAGAGAGGAGTAGCCACGGGGTGGTCTTCAGTCCAGCCCTTTTGTGTGGCAAAGATGTGTATTTCTCCTGGGTCAAATTCTTCCTATGCGGAAGATAAATGGTCCTGAGTGATCTTGCCTGAGAGGCTGAGTGTACTGCCCGGTGCTGACGGCGGCGGGGGCGGGTGATGGAAAAGATCTCCCATGGAACTGTGCGGCAGGGAGAAGGCCCCACCCGACCTCCCCATCTGTACCCCACGAAAGGAATTTTAAACGAGACAGTTACCAGAGAGGCAGGAATCAACTAAGAAAATTCAGCAGTGGCTAGTTAAGAGATATTTGTCTCATTTTCTCTCCTCTTCCTTATCTCAACACAGAAGCCAGGCCTTGCAGAGGTACGTTGAGAAGTGTCTGCATGCCAGAACCACGCTTTGCACCTTCCCACTCACACTAAGGGATTTAGGGTCCCACTTGAGACATGAGATCGACACTTTAACACGGTCTGATTTTTGGTAACTCAAATGGACCAGAAAGTTAAGGTATCATCTAAGGTGTGAGTGAGGGATGGAAAAGATTTAAAAGGATAGCGATTGGAGGCTGGGCGCAGTGGCTCACCCCTGTAGTCCCAGCACTTTGGGAAGCCGAGACGGGTGGATCATGAGGTCAGGAGTTCGAGACCAGCATGGCCAACATGGTGAAACCCCATCTCTACTAATACAAAAATTAGCTGGGAATGGTGGCGCATGCCTGTAGTCCCAACTGCTCGGGAGGCTGAGGCAGGAGAATCGCTTGAACCTGGGAGGCGGAGGTTGCAGTGAACCAAGATAGCACCACTGCACTCCAGCCTGGGCGACAGAGCGAGACTCCGTCTCAACAACAAAACAAAACAAAAAAACCAAGTATACAATGTTGATACATGTGTTTCTTTTCCTGTTTCTCTGCAGTGTCTACTGAGATTGATTTTTTACCACTTGAAAATGATGGGTGAGTCTAGCGGAAAGGGATCCACTTCTTGAATTCAAATAGACTAGACTGTGATTTTCAAGTCCCTAATGAATTGTTCTAAAATCGCTGAGTTTTGAATTGCCAGGAAAACATTGAAGACAGAGACCAAAGCCCTGAGGGCAGAGAGGAGCTGCAAACCAAGACCTGAATATTTGAAAATACCATTTATTAACCTTCAAATGCAATTGTAGCTGCAGCACCATCACTGCTGGCCTGTAAAACATTTTATATTCTTAAGAGGGAGGCATTCGTGATACTAATTCTTTTTACAGATAGTTTCTGATGTTATCCCAAAAGCAATGCACTTTAAAAAATAATGATCAGAATCAAAGAATTTAAACAAAAAGCAAAGAATTTAAACAAAAAGCACTTTTCACCGCATTATTTAATTAAATCATTTGTCAAAATGAAATTTGACCTTCTGCTTATTGGCAAAATCCTCATTTATAACATTTACAAGAGATTTTAACTCAATAAACGAAGTACGTTAACAGTGCACTGCCCTGCCCTGCAGTAACGCCCCCCACCCCCACAAACTGTATCTGGGGTCAGCTGTTGCTGGGAATAAAAATAATAGGCAGATTCACTCCAGCTTTCAGTCTTTCATTTGCAACCAATCTCCAAGCCCCAGAGCCTGGGGGCCGTGCCTTTCCACCCTTCACGCGGGGCGCACGGATCTGAATATTTAACACCCGGTTCCAGGACACGCGCCTGGGGAACACCCACAATCCCTCGCGGCCCGCGGAGCCCGGCTGGCGGGTGACCCAGCGCCCGCGGCTCCGAGAGGAGCGAGGTCACCCGGCGCTTCCCGAGACCTTGGCCCTAGGCCCAGCTGGCGCTGGGACGCGAGGCAACCGAGCCGCCGGCCAATCAGCGCTTTGCAGGACTAGCACGCAGGGGCCGCACCCCTGAGGGTGACCGGAACCGCTCCCGCGGGAAGGGCAGGGTGCGGCGCCTGGCCGCAGACAGACAAGGGGGCGCCGGCTCTTCAGAACCCCAGGGAGAAAGCGGTGGAGGGCTAGAGTTGAGGAGACTAAGGACATTTGAGGAGGGCAGGCATTACCAAGTTAAAACCTCCTGAAAGACAACTCCATTGGGCGACCGTCTGCGCCGCACAGCCTGACGGGAGCGTCATCCTTCCTGCGCAGGCTGCAACCGACAGACAGGCTCGGCTCCGCCTCCAGCCGCGGGGCACGCGGGGAGAGCCGTTCCTCCCTCCCTCCGCTAACCCGGACAGCAAAGGAGCATTTCCGGCGTAAGACTGTCCCTACGGAAGGGGTGGGGCTAGCTTGGCCCCGTCTTTCACGCCCAGAGGGGGCGGGGTGAACCGTGACAGCGCTTCGGCCCGCACTAAGGCCGGCTCTTGTGCCGGAAGGAGGAAGGCGTGGGCATTCGCCCCTCGGAGCTAGGGAGTGTGTGCGACGCCGCTGCGAGGTCACGTGAGCCACTGCCGGCAGAGAGGGAAAGGGGCGGGGCCCAGAACGAAGCGGGGAGGCGCCCCTTGTTTCCCTGGGGTCACGCGCAGCCGGAAGTGGCGGCTGCTGCGGAGAATTGGAGATGGGGACCGCCCTGGACATCAAGATTAAAAGAGCGAATAAAGTTTATCACGCCGGGGTAAGTGGGGGCTGGGGGTGGGGATGGAGGTGGGGTTGGGCGGGTCTGCAGGTTCCGCTGTCTCCATCGCTCTGCGCACGTCCCGCGTCCCTAGGCGGGGCAGGGCTGTCCCGCCAGGTGCGTCTCCGCCAAGGTGGGTGCGTTCCCGCCAGGTGCGTCCCCGCCAGGTGCTTCCCGCGCGAGGCTGGCTGCCCTGCGAGGAGGCCCCAGGGCAGGCGCCGCCGCCGCATCTGCGGGACGTGCAGGGCAGGCGCCCAGCTCCGGGGCTGCGCTCTTCCCATCTGGCCCCTTGAACACCCGGCGGTGTTGGGTTCTCAGGCTTGAGCTCCCTCAGTGAGCGCTGAGGGCGGAGGAGTTGACGACCAAACTCCCCTTTCCCTCTCTCCTAAGGTGACCGCAAAGGTCTAATGAACGAAAGCTAAAACAAACCTTGGAAGCAGAAATGGGTATGTCTGGCGGCAGCATATATTAGATGGTAGTCACTTTTAACAACATACTAACATACTACGAAAGTTACTGCTTTTTCTGGTTTTATTCTTCGACTGACACAAAGGAATGGCTATTAAAATGCAAGTATAAAAAAGTAAAATCTTGACTATGCCATTAACAGGTTTTGTGACATTGGCCAGTCATTTAACCTCCTTGGGCCTCAGTGTCCTTATTTGCAAATGAGGGTGTTGTAAGGTTCCTCTAACTCGGGGAATCTCAACCCTTACTCTACATCAGAATCAGTCATCCTGGAGAATTTTAAAATATGATTGCTTGGGTTCCACTCCCAGCGATACCGGTGATATATGTGCAGCTAGGGTTGAAATCACAGCCCCAACACTCTTTGGAATAAAATTGATCGCAGTGGTTGGTCATATTAATGCAAAGTAATCTCAAAAGGGACAGAATTTCAGACAAAGGTCTTGGATGGATGCTAAAACTTTTGGGCAAAAGACAACTAGGGAAGCCTGCTCTTATTTACACAAGCTCAAATGGTCATCCCCTTGATGGTTAATTACAAAGGGAAAAATCTGGCCCGCGCGGTGGCTCACGCTTGTATTACCAGCACTTTGGGAGGCCGAGGCGGGCGGATCACCTGAGGTCAGGAGTTCGAGACCAGCCTGGCCAACATGGTGAAACCTGGTCTCTACTAAAAATACAAAAATTAACCGGGCGTGGTGGCGGACGCCTCTAATCCAAGCTACCAGGGAGGCTGAGGCAGAAAAATCGCTGGAACCCGGGAGGCGGAGGCTGCAGTGAGACGAGATTGTGCCACTGCACTCCAGCCTGGGCAACAGAGTGAGACCCCGTCTCAAAAAAAAAAAAAAAAAAAAAAAAAGAGAAAAAGCTACCTTTATAATGGAGAAATCTGGTAGTCACACTCCTCTAGCCAAGCACAACAATGAACACCACTTCACCATCACAACTAATGAGACGACTGACATTCGGTACCCCTTGGCATGATGCACAGAGAAGGCCACAACTCACCTATGTAGTATTCCTGCCAAAAATGTTTAATCCGTATCAGTTCATAAGGAAACAATAAGGAATATCCAAATTGAAGGGCATTCTGTGAAACAAGTAGCGTGGATTCTTCGGAAATATCAGTGTCAAAAAATAAAGGCGAGATAATTTTTCTAGACTATAAGACTAAAGGGACATGAGAACCAAATAGAATGCTTAATTTCTGATAAAATATAAATTCGACTATGGACTATAATTGTTGTATATTGGTGTTGAATTTCTCCAGTGTAATATTTATATTTTGGTTATGTAGAATACTCCACATGCTGAAGTATTTAGGATCAAAGTGTCAAGCCGTAGACTGTGCACATATGTTTATGCACATATGTGTATAGGAGAAAGAAAGTGAATGTGGCAAAATACTAACAATTGCTGAATGAAGTTAAAAGCTACATGGGTCTACTTTGTATTCTTTTTAAAAACAGCTTTATAAAGATAATTTAAAATACGAAATTTACCCTTTGAAAGTATACAATTCAGTAGTTTTTTAGTGTATTTGCAGAGTTGCACACCCATCACCACGATCTAATTCTAGAACATTTTCACCCCAAAAAGAAACCCTGAACCCATTAGCTGTCACTCCTCATTCCCCCTCCCTCCTGACCCCTGGCAGTCACAAATTGACTTTGTCTCTGGAGTTGCCTATTCTTGACATTTCATATAAATGGAATCGTACACTATGTGGCCCTTTTGACTGACAGGCTTCTTTTACTTCGAGTAATGTTCAGTGTTCATGCTTGTCATAGCATGAGTCAGTTCCTCATTCCTTTCTGTGGCTGAATAATATTCCATTGTATGGATAGATCATATTTTGTTTAACCACTGGTCTCTTGATGGACATTGGAGTTATTTCTACCTTTTCGCTATTAATAATGTTATGAACATTCTAGTACAAGTTTTTATGTGAGAGGATGTTTTCATTTCTCTTGGATATATACCTAGGAGTGGATTTTGCTGAGCTACTTTAACTTTTTGAAGAGTTGCCAAATTATTTTCCAAAAATGTCTGCACCACTTTACAGTCTACCAGCACTGTATGACGGTTCCAATTTTTCCACTACTTTGTATTCTCGTAACTTTTCTGGAGCTTGGAAATGTTTCAAAATAACAATGGGAGGGCAGTGACAGGAGACTATATATGCATTTAACTTTAGTATTCATTATTTCATTAACAAGTTAGCATGTTCTCTTCAGAAATGTTACTCCAGCTGGGATGCTGAGATATTTTCTGTGGTTTTAAATATGATACAAGTAATGAAAAGTACATTAGAAAAGACACAAGCAGTGGAATGGTAAAGTTGCCCCAGCAGAAGTCATACACAGCCAGGACCACTTCCTGCGGGTCACAGAGTTGAAGACAGAGTCAGCTCTGTCCCTTAGACTACATCTCCTGGTGCTAGTATAAGGAACAGCATCTGCAATTGATGGCTGAAGGCAGCTTCTCTCAACCTTCAGTCACTTTTTATACTTACATGCATTTTAAAGGAAACCTTATATGGTGAATATAAAAGAAAAACCAGTATAACTTCCAAATAGATGGTTGCTATGTTTTTTTAAAAGGCGACAGAAAAGAGAAAGTTATTAAACTAATTAATCAATTGACAAAAATCTCTGACATGTGTGCCCATGACTCATGTGCTAGACTCCATGATCTGTAATTCAGGGTAGGTGGAGTAGGCAGCCAGCACTGTCATGGCTGTTTTCCAAGCCTCACGTAGCAGGATCCTTGCTGTCTGGTCCTTGAGGAGGCCTCATTGACTGCAGACAGTGCATATGTCACATCTAGTTTGCGCTGTGGTTGTGGGAGAAGCGGCCCTTCTCTCCTATCCTCCTCACCCTTAGCTGGCTGCAATGGAGCTGATAGCATACACATTTTCTCTTTTCTCCGTACATCTCAACAGTGACAGTAAAGATTCAGTTACCAAAGATTTGACTTACCTATGGACCTGCCAGAGCACCATGCCTACAATTCTTATGGGTTGCTTGAGGTGACTGCCACCTACTTTAGCCTGATCCTAAGCAGTACTATCCCAGGCTTGAGGTCATTAAGTGATTGTCTTTCAAGTGAAACGTGTTTGTCAGCGTAAGCACATAAGGCAAGCTTATGTTCCAGCAGAGGTTCTGGGGTAGGGTTTGACAGCCAGGCAGTATCACTCTCATTTTTCTAATGAGGAAATGGTGGCTTAGACAAGTTGATGAATTTCATAACCCAACTAGACAAGTTGAAGAACTTCACCCGACTAATTGGACAGAGTCTGGATTCCAACTCAGATCAGTTCCAGTTCAAAGCATGTCCATTGAACACTCTATTATTCTGCCTCCCTAGGAGTGGCCATTTATGCAAAATGGAGGAATTTGTAATATAGAAATGTTGTTATTCATTTCGTAGGAGTGCTGTGAATAACATTGTGATATTTCAATAAAAAGAGACTGATATGACTTCTACTTTGAATATATGCTGATTCTGTTATTGTGCTTTTCAGTATCTTAGTTGTGGAAGCATTTGAAAATGGCTTGATTCTGTGGACACCAGAGAAACCTAAGTTATACTTAGATTTAAAATTGACCTTTTTTTTAAGAAAAAATACTCACTGACAAAATGATTTTTTAAAAATTACAGTTGAAGCATTTAAAAAATATAAACGTTAAAATGTAATATCCCAGCTGGGTGCGGTGACTCACACCTGTAATCCCAGCACTTTGGGAGGCCGAGGTAGGCAGATCACTTGAGCCCAGGAGTTTGAGACCAGCCTGGCCAACGTGGCGAAACCTCATCTCTACTAAAAATACAAAAATTAGCTGGGTGTGGTGCACGCCTGTAATCCCAGCTACTTGGGAGGCTGAGGTTTGAGAACCACTTGAACCCGGGAGGCAGAGGTTGCAGTAAGCCAAGATCACACCACTGCACTCCAGCCTGGGCAACAGAGCAAGACTCTGTCTCAAAAAAAAAAAAAAAAATTAACGTGCTACAGAAGAAGGTAAAATGAAAAGTGAAGTCTCCTTACTCTTCCTGACTCCCTGTTCTGCCCTTGGACGTATCCACTGATGATTTGTGTAGTGTTCCAGACACACGTGTGCACACACACGCAACTTGTTCTCTTAATAATGTACCTTTATCTTGGATACCTTTTCATATTAACATTTTCATCAGTCCCATTCTTTTTTATATTATTTAATCAATCAGCTTCATTCAGCCAATGTATGTTGATCTCATGAGGGTTACAGGTTAGTAGAGATAGGCAAATATATAAAATAAAAGATGATTAAAAAGATGATCAAGTGCTCAAATAAGAGCATCTGTGATGTATGAAGGAGCATAAAGTAGGGTATAGTCATCTGGGGGGAAAAGGGAGAAGCTGGGGGCCCTTCTGGAGCTTCATCAAACCTAGTTTTGAAAACTGAGTGTTAAACTAAGTGCCCACCATGCACTGCTGGTTTCAGTCATGAGGAATAGACAATGTAAACCTGGTGAAGAAGAGTTTGCAGACATTTGGGACGCAACCTGAGTCCTTTAGACTGTTTCTTTTACTTGGTTGACCAGGTGTTTATAGTTGCTCATCCTCATCTAATCTGGCAGCAACAGCAGTTTTTTAATGTGACTTAGGTTGACTGTCTTTCCAAAATATTTCTGTTTTCTTAGGGTTTATTATGTTCTTTTTTTTTAAACTTTGTAAGTTGGCTGTTCAGCATATTGAATTGTAGCCTCCTTTTTAAAAATGTAGACATTTCCCACTAAGTACTACTCTAAGTAGTACTTCGTACCTTAAGTTTTATTTTTCTTTTTAATAGGTGAGTGAATTATTGTAAGGCAAACCCTTGTAACCCTACCCACATCCTGCTGGAGAGGAGACTGGAAGTAGGATCACTCCATCTAGATTCTGGGAGAAGACCCTGCTCCAAAGGACCTTGATGAGGTTTCATGGTTTGGTAACCTCATGCACTGTGGGAATGTCAGAGGACCCCGAGATAATGCTTCACTGCCAAGTCTGAAAATTGTGTCCACAAGATTTGATTGGTAGTATTTTCTATCATTGTACAACTTAAAATATCTTCTAATTTCCATTTTTTTTTTTGACATGAGTTGTATAGAAATGTGTGCTTCAGTTTCTGTTATAGCAACAACTCTTGTCACCCATAGCCTTACAAAAATTCCTAATTTTAATATTTAAATTTTAGAAACTTTCTTACAAGCAGAATTACAAAAAGAGTAACTAACAAGAAAGTGAGATTGTGATGGGATAACGGAATGTCAAGTCTAATTGTCAGGAAAAGACAAAATAACATGGGAATGACAATCAAAATGGACTAAGGACTTAGAAGATCCGAAACTATGAAGCTACTAAAAGAAACATTGGGGAATGCTCCAGGACATTGGTCTGGGCAAAGATTTCTTGAGCAATACCTTAAAAGGACAGGCAACCCAAGCAAAAATGGACAGATGGGATCACATCAAGCTAAAAAACTTCTACACAGCGAAGGAAACAAAGTGAACAGAATAACATGGGAATGTTTTCTGTAATTTAGTAGTAACTGGCAATAGTTTACAAACACATTTTGTGTATACTGCTGTCATTGCACTGATTACCTTCTGTTGTAGTGACTTTGTTCTATTAGTCCACTCAATTAAAATATTTGGTTTTGTTTATCTTTGTATTCCTGGGCCTGGCAGTACTCACCACTTAATAGGTGCTCAAAAACTTTATTAAATGATGAGTTGAAGCCCTGAAACATTTAAACAAAATGCAGAAGACTGATAATTTTATAAATGCATTGATCAGAAAGGGGAAACTATGGTATTGTAGGCACATTATGGATTTTGCTTCGTAATTATAAATAATATTCTAGGTATCAATTTCAGACAGATGTTGATAAGATTTATTCTTATTTTGACATAGCCCCAGAGCTACACATTGCACCCACCATTACTTGTATTTGCTTTAAAATAGTCATTCTTAAGATCATGATTCAAATAAATTGGGAGTAGAGATTCCAGAATTCCTATAAATATGGTTTTCTCTCTGATTCAGGAATGGAATATAATAGAAAATTGTCCAAGGTTTGATTTTCCAGGGTCTTCATCCCAGTTCCTGTGGCTCAGCGTGAATATAGACCCTTTCTCCAAGCTTGCAGCATTGCTGTTGGGGCACCTTCTCCCTAAGCATCCTTCCACTTGGGTAGAAAACTTCTTTTTTTAAGTATTTTATTAAGATAGAGATGAAATCACGCTATGTTGCCCAGGTCGGTCTCAAACTCCTGGCCTCAAGCAATCCTCCTGCCTTGGCCTGACAAAAGTGTTGGGATTACAGGCATGAGCCACCACACCTGGCCTAAAAACTTGACTTCTGTTTCCAAAGACCCATGGGTGATATGAGATAATCAGGAATTGTGTTAAACATTCCCTAATTCCCTACTTCCAGTGAAAGATTAAATTTCCCATGGAAACACCTAACTAATACTGTTTTATAACTAGGTAGACTAGGATAGCCTTTTCCAGCTCACAGAGTGCTTTAATCCTCCATATACTGTTAAGAGGTAGCGTTTTCTCCGTTTTGTGGTTCAGAAGACTGAGGCCCAGAGAATTCAGGGACATGCCAGGGGGACTGATGATAGCAAATATTTGAAGTTGCATCTTTTTATTCCTAAATCCAGGATTCTTTGTGCCTTCTCTGGGTCTTAATTCTCATCTGTAGAATGGAGATGATACCTACTCAAAGGTTGTATTTTAAAAATTAAATGAGATAGTGTTTTAAGACACTTATCCTAGCTTCCAACACCTCGTGGGGGCCGCAGTAATAGGTGGTGGCATTGTCATGTTCTTTTCCACGCTCCGAAGTCTGTTCACCCTTAGAATTGCCCTTTGTATGCCACAATGCTAGTTACGTTAGTACACCCTCCAAATGGCATAATGAGTGCTTGTCAGATGCTTCACAGATTGTCAAATATGTGCCCACTGTCTATGTCTGCTTGGAGGAAGGAGAGTCAGTGACCAAGGAGAACATACGGAGGTGACGGCGATTTTGGCCGTGAGAGCCAAGTGTGATTTTGGTGTTGCTGCAACTCCTTTGCTTAGTGCAGCAGATGTGTTCTTGATCAAAAAGTTGGACTCAAATGCACTGTAAATTACTTTGTGTCTTGGAACGCTGTAGGGGAGCTTATTGGTTAGAAAAATCCTGCAGTAAATCTTTCTGTAGTGTAAATATAATTCATTTGTTTTTATAAATCCAGAATGTTTTACATTCTTAAATTCTGGCACATGTACTCATGAAAATGACATTGTTAAATATTATGGTTGTGAAAAACATAAATAAGAGATTTACTCCCCAGCATAGCCAGGTTACAGTGAGAAGAAATTTATACACTGTGGACTGAGTACTGTTACCTTAAGAACCTCAATACTACCTTAATTGGGCATGCCCGTAATTTCTTATGAAAAAAAAAGGAGAAACCCTATACATAACAGTTCATTATTATGAAGAAAAATTGCAAAGCTAAAATGCTAGTTTTTTTGTTTTTTTTTTTAAGCTTAAATATTCTACTTTAACCTGCTGGATTCTTAGTAAATGAATGATCAGTTGTAACAGTGAATGCTTGTTGTAAGGACTTAGGGTATAAAAATTTAAATCTCTGAGCCAGAAGAGATCTTAAGGTAATTTTGAGAGGTATGAACCTTTTAGGAATACAGTCATCCAAACTTTAAGTAGGTCTCTTCTTCTGCCAATAACCTAATACTCCTGAAAAAGCTTGTCTGTTAAATCATAACCTAAACTCTTATATAATGCATAAGAAGCATTTTCAGAATTATCCGAGATTGTCTGAAAACTGGGATGCGATCAAAAGTGTTCATGTAGTTCTCCACTTGGTGTTTGTTGCTGCAAATCTTGTACCAGCCTGCGCCTGAGCATGGTAAAGCCTGCTTGACCACCGCGGCGTGTTTCGATACTGGACAGGTCTCAGCCTGCTTTGCACACACTTCACCCCCTGCAAGCTGCTTGCTAGATCTCCCTCGGCCACGGTGGTGGGCTTTTCCTCTGCCTCCTCCTAATGCCGAGTCCCCGGTGCAGACTCGCCTCCGTTATGTCATCTAGGAGTCTACTCCGTGTCGCCAGCCATGCCCTCTCTTAGGCCCGAAACCTGCAGCCTACACCTTCTGCCTGTTAACAAAGGAAGAAAAAAGGAGAAAACTTTATTTTCCAGGTAACAATATGTAGACTGAGGACACGTAGCTTCCAGGAAAACGAAAGCACGGAAGCCTGGGGTCCCCACCGCGCGTTCATCAGGTTCGGGGCGCTGGGAATGCCCGGCGCATGCGCAGAGGTAACACGTCACATCGCATGTTCCTTTTGGCGCCAGGTTTTAACACTGAAAAGAGGGGTTGCGGCTGTGTCGAAAGGTGAATGGCAGGGCACGGAGACGCTTTGTGTGCGCAGTCTCTGTGAAACGGCTGCAACCGGCCTGGGAACTGCAGCGCGGATCAGGAAAGGTTGTTTGCAAGGTGCCTCCTGCGCAATCGGTGCTGCTGCCGGACGCCGGGGCGGAGGCGCCCGGGTCAGTGGCACTCACTGAAGTCACTGGGCAACGTTTTCCTAGAACGGGTTTCTGCTGGCTGCAGGCAGATCTCACGGCAGTTAACCTCGTAGTGTGAGCAGTATGGGGTTATGTGAGCAACCCTTCCCCCTGCTGTGGCCGCTTAGTCTCTTCACGAGGGTCTCATCTCCGCCACACACTGGCCAGCTGGGGCCGCGGGTACCATGTGCAGCGCAGCGCAGGCTGGTGGGCGCTGCCGGCTGGTGGGCGCTGCATGGTGCTTCACTGTCCCCTGCCTCGTGGCCCCGCTCCCCGCTTGGTGCCCCACCCGGAGGCAGCAGAGCCCATCGTTCTGTCTGGACTGTTTCCAATCCAGCTAACGCCGACTTTCCTTTCCGCCGGTCCCTTGCTGCCCCTTTGTCCCCGTCCTCCCACGCCTCTGGTACCCTCGCTCCCCACCCCTTTCCCTCCCCTCCAGTCCTTTCTTCCGCCCGTGCTTGGGGCTGACCATGAGCAAGGCAGGGTTGTGAAAAGCTGGAAGGGGAAGCCAGCTTGCCATTTGCTTTCTGCTTTCATTTCAACCACACTGGAGTTTGTGACGCCCTAACACTCCCCATTTCACGCGTTCCTTTTTTCATCAGGTCGTTGTTATACAGACAGGCAGTGCTTTTACTGCATGTGGCTACACCCCCACCCCAACCCAGTTACTTTTCTAGGTTTAAGCTTCCGTTCAGAAAACAAACTGACTTGTTAGCCATCGGCTAGGTGGGCTGACCTGCGTCCCCTCCCCGAGAGCACACAGGCCAGACGCTTCGGAAGAGCGTGGTCCACACGTCACCTGCGAACAGGGACTCGCCCACGAGAAGCCGCTACGGCCTCAGAGGGAACCTTGCCTGTTTGCCTGTCCAGAGCGCAGGGAGAGGTCAGTTGACCTCAGATCCTGATCCTTTTTTACTTTTTCCAGAACATTTTCTAGATCAGTTGTTTACAGACCTCATTTTGGGAAACCGCACTTCCTATTTTTACATATATTTGCTTTTTTTTGTTTGTTTTTTTGTGTTTTGTTTTTTTGAGACAGAGCCTCACTCTGTCACCCAGGCTGGAGTGCAGTGGTACAGTCTCAGCTCACTGCAGCCTCCACCTCCCAGGCTCAAGCGATTCTCCTGCCTCAGCCTCCCGAGTAGCTGGGATTACAGGTGCGTGCTACCACGCTTGGCTAATTTTTTATTTGTAGAGACAGGGTTTCTGCATGTTGCCCAGGCTGGTCTCAAACCCCTGGGCTCAAGCGATCTTCTGGTCTCAGCCTCCCAACCACCATGCCCAACTCCATATTTACATTTTTAAATTATAAAATGGTAAAACTTTATTATCAGGAATAAAAGAAAAAAGTATGTCATACAAACGCAAATATGTAAAGATGTAATTTTTGTAAAGTACTTCTTCTTGTCCTCTAACTTAGCTACACAGAACACTTTATGGACATGTTTACATGGTGAGCAGCCATGAAAAAGACTGCCTGGGCTTTTTACTCTCTGTAATAGAGAGCTTGTGCCGTCACTTGTTGGCAGAAAACAAATCCAGGCTCAGAGAAATAGTGCCTTTCCAAGGTGATAGAAAATAGATTTTACCTTTCATCTGGTAAGTTACAAATGGTTGTTTCCTTATAAATAAGTCAATAAAATGAACATCGTTTAGCATAAAGATTTTCCAAAAAAGCAATGAAACCCTTTTATTAAATGAAGTCTTATATAAAATTCTAATGTCAATTTTAATAATACATATTAAAATACTTTATTTTATAAACAGATAAAAGCAGAGCTGTTCTACTTTAAGTGAGAATATCTATTTCCTCCCTCCCTTCCCTGACTCTTCCTCACATCCCAAAGTGGCTGCTGAGGTGTCTTCACAGGCCTACGGCCAGTGGTTCTCTTGTAAAGTATTAGTTATAGGATGTTGTGACTAGCAAGAGGCAACAAAGTTGAAGTTTTTTCATGCCAACCCATTTAATTTGGTCCTGTGTCAAAACTTACAAGTTCTGTTAGCTTTCAGATATAATACAGTGCCTAGGGCCGGGCACGGTGGCTCATGCCTGTAATCCCAGCACTTTGGGAGGCCGAGGCAGGCAGATCACCTGAGGTCAGGAGTTCAAGACCATCCTGAACAACATGAAGAAACCCTGTCTCTACTAAAAATACAAAAATTAGCCTAGTGTGGTGGCGGGCACCTGTAATCCCAGCTACTCAGGAGGCTGAGGCAGGAGAATCACTTGAACCTGGGAGGCGGAGGTTATAGTGAGCTGAGATTGCACCACTGCACTCCAGCCTCTATCTAAAAAAAAAAAAAAAAAAAAATGCAGTGCATAGAATGAGGCTTTAAATATTTTGCCTTTATTTACTGGAGCATTTAAGCCAAAAAGGTACAGACCCACCAGTTTACTGACTATCCTTTGATAGTTTCTGCCATTTTCCTCCTGGAGAATTTACTCAGCTGGGGCTCTTGGACTAGCAGTCTCAGCAAAAGCTGGTGGGCTCTGGAGACCTTCACTGTTGTCCTACTTACTTGTCCTGGGAACTTGAGCTGGGAAGGACAACATGAGATTGTGGCCCTTTTGCTTCTGATAGGAACAAGCTGTCCTGACCCTGGATTACTGATGCTCAGACAGAATTGACCTCTGGGTAGCTGTGAGGGTTACACCTGCTGTGTGTGCTCTGATCCGTTGGGCAGGTCTCTGGTGGCCAGTAGCATTGGCTCACATGCTTTCCAGTGATGGTCGCGGTCCCTTCATCCTCACTACCGTTCCCCCATGACAGTGTCTTATTTACGTTTATGGTTTTACTGTCACATGCCAGGCATGATTTCAGCCCAAAATTAGCTCTTCCTTTGTTTTATCAGAAAGAATTATTTAAGACAATTTCTCTAAAACCCAAATCTTCACCTTTGGGAAAGGAGCAGCAAGCAGTCCTGTCAATGGAAAATTAGGAACCGATGGGCAGAAATCCCATTCTTCAGTAATCATCAGGAAAAAAACTAAGCTTTTTCTAATCTAAAAAAAATACAGTCATGATAGTTTGACCGTGTGTTTCAGATTTTAAAAAACCATTTTGTAAATTGAAAATATATATTTTTACTTGCTAAGAAAATGCAACTAATACAAAAGAATGTCTTCTGCCCCTTCTCCTCTGCTGCCCCATGAACAGTGCCCAGAATTAACCACATGACATTCTCTGCATCTCACAGTAGTTTCATAGAGCAGCCTTAGGTGATCTGTCCCCAGAGCCTACCCTGGATTAACCTGAAGCAGAGACCCTGTTCCGTACTGCTTAATTAACACGTGATCTACCCTACAGTGCTCTTTTTGCTGAGCTCTTTTTTTCTTTTCTTTTATTTATTTTTTTTTTCTAGACAGAGTTTTGCTCTTGTCACCCAGGCAGAATGCAATGTCTCAGCTCACTGCAGCCTCTGCCTCCTGGTTCAAGCAATTCTCCTGCCGCAGCCTCCCAAGTAGCTGGGATTACAGGTGCCCGCCACCATGCCTGGCTATTTTTTGTATTTTTAGTAGAGATGGGGTTTCATCATGCTGGCCAGGCTGGTCTTGAACTTGTGACCTTAGGTGATTCCCCTGCCCCAGCCTCCCAAAGTGCTGGGATTACAGGCGTGAGCCACCGCACCCAGCCTGAGCTCTTTCTTTCTTTACTTACTTGTTTTAGAGATGGGGTCTTGCACTGTTACGCAGGCTGGAGCACAGTGGCACAATCATAGCTCACTGCAGCCTTAAACTCCTGGTTTCAGGTGATCCTCCCATCCTAGCCTCCCAAAGTGGGTTGGGATTACAGTGCGAGCCACCCCACCTAACCGTGCTCTTGCTTTCTAACAAGGGCCCTTTAGGCTGTTAGCCTCATTTGCTGCTAGACTCATCTCTTGTCCTCTACTCTGAAGTTTGCCTGCATCCTGGCTTGGATTTGAATGCTGCACTATCGTGATTCATACATGATTTCACTCTGGGATTTCAATCTGCTGGCTCTTTGGTTGTTCATATATAAGTGTGGGCTGGCTCTACAGAGCATTTTCTTTGGCGGACTCCCTGTGTTCCACGGTCATTACTTTGGCCTGTAATTATGCCAATTCCAGGCTCCTTTGTAATTGGAGCCCTCCTAAATGTTTGGTTTATAGTCTGGAGTCTTTACATGCACTTATGCCAGTAGTTCCAAACGAATGTCAACTTTGTAAACCTACAAGTTGGAATGTTATTTCTTGAATAGTCCTTATCCGAAATGCTTGGGACTAGAGGTGTTTTGGATTTTGGAATTTTTTCAGATTTGGAGTATTTGTAGATATTTAATGGTTGAGCATCCCTAATCCAAAAATCCAGAATCCGAAATGCTCCAGTGAGGGTCTTCTTTGAATGTCATGTCAGTGCCCAGAAAGCTTTGGACTTTGGAACGTTTCAGATTTCAGATTTTCAGACTAGGGATGCTCCATCCTATTGAAATCTGAAATCAGGTAGTCTCTATTAACATAATTTTGTTAATATGTGCTATCTAACTCCTGAAGCCACGCAACACACCATGATTAGAATTTAATACTCTGCTGCTAAAGATCCTGCATATACTTACTTTTATTAATGTTTACTTTTTATGAATAGTATTTTTCCCTTTCTTTTAAACTTTTGTTCAGTGGCTTCAGTTTCTTTTCCAGGCTCTCAAGAAAGTTTCAGATTTTGAAGTTTCACATCACACTATTGGACAGTATGCTTTTTGTCAGCCCATTTTACTTAGTATTGACGCCTGTGTGTATACTATACCATACGTAGAAGGAACCAGCTATGTTTTACCATGTTGGTTCTGCCCCAGAATGTGATACTAAAACATAAGCCCCCAGAGCATGGGCTTCACCTGTTGTGTTCCCTGCCATGTCCAAGTGCCTAAAACAGTGTCTGATACAGCAAGCATGCCAAAAAAGTTGTCAAATGATGGTATTATTTCTCTATATTGGCAGCACATGTATGTAAGCCATGTAAATTGATATCTTGTTATTTTGTTACAGTTTCATTGCTAGTGAACTAACTTTTGTAGATTTTACTTAAACATTAATCAATTTTAGAATATGACTCAATTGTCCAGAAAGTAATATAACTATTTCCTCCTATACGTGATAATTTCTGTGTTTTTTAAAAACAGGTATAATTACAAACAGTAGATGACTCTTTTCAGTATAAAGTTCCTTGAGACTGTAGCCACCCACAATTCAAGATATGGAACAGATCTGACACCCCCCAAATTCCCCTGTGCTCCTTTGTAGCCCCTGTTTTCAGTCCCTATAGTTTGCTTTTTCCAGAATGTCACGTAACTGGCATAAATATGATTATGTGCTTTGTAGCCTTTGAATCTGGCTTTATCATTAGCGTAATGCATTTCGTTCGGATTCATCCAGGTTGTGTGTTAATAGTTCATTCGTTTTGATGGCCGAGTTGTCCACCCTTGCATAGATGTATCACAGTTTGTTCATCTATTCACCTGTAGAAGACGTTTGGGTGATGATGAATAAAGCTCCCAGAAGCACTTGGGCATGATTTTTGTGTGAACATAGCTTTCATTTCACTTGGGTTTTAAAATCTAGGAATGGGGTTGCTGAGTGGCATTGTCTTAGTTTGTTTGTTTGTTTGTTTGTTTCTGTACCAGGAAATGAACTGCATTGGAGTATCTCAGTTTAAATGATAGTTTGGAGATAGTGTATTCCATGCAAAATTCTCTTTCCTGGAACTTCAGTAAATTTCACATAATACTGGCCATTACTTACCATGTGGAGAACTATCTGAGGATTGTTTATCCTGTTTTTTCAGACAAGATGGAAACAGTTACATAAAATAGTGGAGATGGGGATACCTAACACATTGAAATCTCTTTAATGTTTCTGATTTCCGCTTTCTAATCAAAATGGGTCTCTCAGTGCTACTAAGAAAGGGTAGAGTGTTTCAACAAGCAATTAATTGTCTCACTCATGTTTTCCCACCCAGCTCAGTAACTTACCTTGGTGTTTTGTTTTCATGTTAGTTCACTACTTAGTGCATTTGGTCCTCATTGGTAAATAAAAAGGCATCTCACTATAGGTGTACCGGATCTTTAGACCAAATGGGATGGCAGAATCTCAGGTGGTTTAGGAGGGAAGGCCTTGTTCAGATATATGCACACGACTGTGGGGAACGAAGATGGGCTGTCATGGTGCATCCCACTGCCAGGACCATTGGAAAGGAAAAGCATTGCAGAGAGAATGGCTGAGGCGTTGAGAGGCTTTTACTTTTCTAGCAGTTGTGTTCAAGTCCAAAATAAGAACTAACCCAAAGAAATGTGACTTTTTAACACACAATCTTCAGATCTTTTCCTGAGGAGAGACTATTAGGCCTATAGGTTATCAAAATTTAAGAGGCTTAGAACTTTGTACATTGAGGTCTAAAGGCTACCCACTCTGGGATTTTGTTTTATTTAAAAATGGATTCATTATAATAGGTAATCAATTCACAGGGTTCAACATTCATGAATTTCAAGATCGATACCCCCTGCCTCACCCACCCTATTCATCAAGGGCTTCTCCTGTGGGGCAACCACAGCTATCAATTTCTTGTGATTCCTTCCAAAGATACTGTATGCATCTACAAGTAAATATGTACAAATGTGCTTTTTCTTCCTCTTTTTCACAAATGGTGCAATATACAGCTTAAATTTTAAAAAAAAGTAGAATGTATGGGAGTGAGGGGGCGTAGACTGGACATGCTGATTCATATGCAATAAGGAGTCAGTTCTTAAGATAAATGAAGGAAACTAGCCCTGCATCCCCATATGTACTAGTGTAAATGATCTCCACATTGTTGAAAGAAAACTCACAATTTTCCTATTGTTGGAATTTAGTTTGTCGACCATCTTTTGTTATTTACAAACAGTGTTGCAGTGAATAACTATGTTCATAAGTCATCTCACATCTGCAAATGTATCTGCTGGGCCCATGTGTTTGTAAAATGTTTTTGGTCTTGCCAAATAGCCGGCACGAGGTTGCAACATTTCAGGTTATCCCCAGCAATGCAGAGAAGGCTTATTGCCTCCCCTCTGGCAACACAATGTAATGACATTTTTTTATCTTTGTTTTAATTGCTATTTATCATATTTTTGTTGAAATTGAGCATATTTTTCTGTGTTTAGGAACAATCTGCATTCCCTTTTCTGTGAGCTCTTTGTTCAGATCATTTGCCCTTTTTTTTTTCATTTTTCTTCTGAGTTATCTTTTTCATCGATGTCTTTTTTTTTTTTTTTTTGAAATGGAGTCTCACTCTGTTGCCCAGGCTGGAGTGCAGTGGTGTGATCTCGGCTCACTGCAGTCTCCGCCTCCCGGGTTCAAGTAATTCTTCTGCCTCAGCCTCCCGAGTAGCTGGGATTACAGGCGTGCACCACCACACCCGACTAATTTTTATATTTTTGGTAGAGATGGGGTTTCAACATCTTGGCCAGGCTGGTCTTGAACTCCTCACCTCCTGATCCACCCACCTCGGCCTCCCAAAGTGCTGGGATTACAGGCGTGAGCACCGCGCCCAGCCTTTCATTGATTTCTTTTAGGCATTCTTAAAATATTAGGGAAATCAGCCCTTTGCTAATTTGTTATATTAAGTTGTAGGTATTTTACCTAGTTTATCATTTATATAGTGGTATTGTTCATAGTCATATTTGTGGCCATATTTATTCAGAGTTTTGAGGCATTCATAGAAAGGCCTTTCCCACTTAGATGTGAAAAAAATTATTCTCTATGGTTTTGTCCAAAACTTTTATTATTTCAGTTTTTACATTTAAGTATTTGCTACATTTGTCATACACAAAAAGTTTCAGTATGGTCCAACTTGATTTTTTTTTTTTTTTAAGAGAGAGTCTTACTCTATCACCCAGGCAGGAGTGCAGTGGCGTGATCTCAGCTCACTGCAACCTCCACCTCTTGAGTTCAAGTGATTCTCCTGCCTCAGCCTCCCAAGTAGCTGGGACTATAGGCATGTATCATCATGCCTGGCTAATTTTTTGTATTTTTAGTAGAGAAGGTGTTTCACCATGTTGGCCAAGTTGGTCTTGAACTCCTGATCTCAGGTGATCCGCCTGCCTCAGCCTCCCAAAGTGCTGGGATTACAGGCGTGAGCCACCCTGCCCGGCCCAACTTAATTTTTTTTGGTTGAGTTCTCTGGCCAGTTTCCCAGTATCACTTATTGAATATTCCCTCTCTTCCCTAAGGATTTTAAATGCTACCTTTATCAAACATTAGCTTCCCATACTGTCTGGGTCTATTTCTAGACTTTTGTTCTGTTGATCTTTCAGCCTGAACATGTGTGCTGTATGACACTTTGTAAATTATAGCAGCGTTGTAATATCTCACAGGGCTAGTTTCTCCAATTTCCTTCTTTTCAGATTTATCATTGCATATAAACTTCAGAATCAGCTTGTCTAGTGTATCCCTCCCACTCCCGCCATCTCCCCCTCAAAAAAGAAAAACAATTGTGGTGTTATTTTCTTTTAAGATTAGGTTGCCTTTATAAACCAACTTCTGGGAAAGTAGATTTGTTAAGGGCATTAAATCTTTCCCATTCAAAATCTGGCATGGTTGGCCATTTCTTCAAATTTTCTTTTGTGGCTTTCAGGCATGTTTTAAGTTTTGTCATCTGGGAGTTTTAGACATTTCCTGTGAAATTGACTTATAATATTTTAACTTTTTGTTCCTTTTGAAAATAAGGCCATTTCTTCCATTGTATCTTCTCACTAGTTGTTGGTTTATATGTGATACCTATTGGGTTCTCTGTGTTAATTTTGTACCCAGCTGTCATCTTTTCTGAAACTCTCTTCATGTTGATAGTAGTTTTTCAGTGGATTCCCTTGGGTTTCTTCAGGTATACACTCATTGTGCAAGTAGTGATCATTTTACCTCCTGCCTTTGAATTACCTCTTTCTCTCTCTAGTTTTATTGTATTAACTAGTACTTGCAGAACGTTAATTGTGGTGATAGTGGACATCCTTCTTTTATTCCTGACTTAAATGGATGATATCTTGTTTTCTCATTAAGTTTGATGCTGGCTTTGGGGTAAGGTAGATATATTTGGTCATCCTTCTATTATTTTACTAAGAATTTTATCAAGAATGCATAAATTTTTTCAAATGCCTTTTCAGCATCTATGGAGATGACTATATATAATTTTTCTCTTAATAGCTATTAATATGAGTTGTATTACCAGTTTTCTCATTATTAAACTATGCTTATATTCCTTGACTGAATTCTACTTGGTTATGTATAGTGTTGTTTTAAGTTGCTACTGGATTGCATTTGCTAATATTTTATTTAGGACCTTTGCACTGGTATTTACAAATGAGAATAATCTAGTTTTCTCTCTTCTCTCTCCTGTCTCTCTCTCTGAGTGTGTAGACTTTTGTCTTATTTTGCTGTCATTGTTATGTTGGCTTTTTTTTTTTTTTTAAGTTCGTTGCTTTCTAATAGTTTTATAGTGGAATTTTCTGTTCTTCACACAGAAAAATTCAGGGAATGATCTCCTGTGAAGCTGTCGGGTTTGGGGGCCTTATTTAGAACTTTATTTTTTCTATGATGATTGATTTGCTTGGATTTCATGTCTCCCTTGGAGTGATTTTGGATAAATTATATTTTCCCAGAAAAATAATTCACTTAGTCAGCTTTTCAAATTTACTTATATACAGTTGAATAGTGTTGAATATTATCTTTTAATTACCTCCATTTTTCTAGTATTTCTGCTCTTATTTCTTATTTTGGATATTTGTGTTTTTCTTTTTTGATTAGATTATTTAATAATTTGCTTTGTTCCCCCCCTCCCCCCACCCCCAGAAGAAAGACCTATTGGACTTATTAAGGGATCAGTTTGGCCAGTTTTTAAAAGTATATCATGGACACTGAAAAGAGCATATTCTCTGTTTTCAGGGTATAGAGATCTATGTATGCCAGTTCATTATACCCTGTTGATATGTGACGTAGGTCTTCTGTATCCTTGTTTCTTTCTGTCTACTCTATTGGTCATGATCTGTAAATTAATGTCTCCCACAACGAATTTGTTTTACTCAGTTTCTCCTTAAATCTATTCCCTGTAGTTTTTGCTTTACAAGTGTGGACACTGTTTGATCTGCAGATAATAATACCACGTCTTTTTCTTTTTTTAGAGACAGGGTCTCGCTATGCTGCCTAGGCTGGTCTCAAACTCCTGGGCTCAAACAATCCTCCTGCCTCGGCCTCCCAAAGTGCTAGAATTGCAGGCATGAGCCACCACACCTGGCCTCACAAGTCTTTATTGTGAGTTGCTCCTTTAGAATTGTAAAGTCCCCTTTGTCTTGTTTAATCCTTCATTCTCGGAATTCAGCATTGTCTGATATTAAGGTGACAATCCATGCCTTCTTTCTTTGCCTTTGTTTATCCTTTCTTTTTTATCCTCTCCAAATCCACCCCTGCCATTTTAGGTGCTTCTCTGTCATACAACATAAAATTGGGTTTTGCCTTGTAATGGAATATTCATGTCTGTTTTTGAATAGGCATTAATTTGGCTCATTTGTTAATATGACATACGTTTGGCATTAATTCTGTCATTCCTGCTTGGTTGGGGGGAATGTGTTTTTAAGTAGCTTTTGAAACATCTTTTTACAGTCTGTCTTGTTTGCTTTAGTTGTTTGTATGATTTTCTAGTCATCTGGAGTTTTATTTTTGTTTTAACTGTTACCCTTGCAACTTTTTATTGTACCTGAATCTTCACATTTTAGACATTATTTATTAATTTCCTACTGTGAACAATGGTAAATTAGCATATTTCCTCTTTCCTTTTCCCTTTCTTCCCGCTACTACCTGATCTTAGTTACTTATAGTATTCGTCGTTGTTTACTTCTGTTAAGTTTATTTGTACGACATTATTTGACTTATTAACTTTAAATCAGCACTGTCCAGTAGAGCTCTCTGTGATGATGTGAATGTACTTCTTATCTGCTCTGTCTCTTATGATAGCCACTGGCCATAGTGTGGCTATTAAACACTTGAAATGGAAGGTCCTGAATTTTAACTATTAATATAAGTTTAAGTTTCAATAGTCACATATGGCTTACAGCTACCATACTGAAAAGTGTAGACCAGGTGCAGTGGCTCACACCTGTAATCCCAGCACTTTGGGAGGCCAAGGCAGGATTGCTTGAGCCCTGGAGTTCAAGACTAGCCTGGGCAACACAGCAAAACCCCATCTCTACAAAAAATACAAAAATTAGCTGGGTGTGGTGGTGTGTGCCTATAGTCCCAGCCACTCAGGAGGCTGAGGCAGGAGGATCACTGGAGCCTGGGAGGTGGAGGTTGCAGTGAGCTATGATCACACTACTGTACTCCAGCCTGGGTGACAATAAGACCCTGTCTTAAAAGTATGGAAGTATGGTTTGAATAATACATTTTTAAATCCCAGCCATCAAAGATGGGAAAGCCATGTACATTATACTACTTCCTAGATTCTAGTTCTCTTAGTCTCCCAGCTAGTGTCGATTACATTCTACATTGTCAGGACTTATATTTTGCATTCTCTTCTTTCATTATAATCATCACTTATCTCAGTCTTCTTCTTACAATTAAATGGAGTTAATCCTCACAGTTGGTTCTTTTGACATAGTTTTTCTAGCCATCTCTTGGATAGCTATAGTTTACTATTTAGTACATTCCTCAAGAAGGACTTTTATATAGTATTGCTTGGGATATGTTTTTTTTTTTAGTTTGGTTGGGTTTTTTTATTTTTGCACATTTAAAACTTTCAGTTACACTGGAATGACAGATTAGGTGAGTATAAATTCTAGGGTCACACTTCACTGCCTTGAGCATTGTTGTATCATTCTGCTTGCATTTTGAATTCCATTTTGCTATGGAGAAATATGGTTTCTTTTCCTCTTATGAGTGACTCGATCTTTTTTCCTGACTCCAAAAGGATATTTTCTTTTTTGAATGAGAACACTTTTGCTACAGAGTATTTTCATTGAGTGCTCCTAATTCCTTTGCCCTTGACTGTTTTTGAATTATCACAGTAAATATTTGTTCTGCTTCATTATTTCAGTTTTCTTATTTGGAACTTAATTAGGCATAGCTGTGTGTTTGTTACCTGTCTCCAATTTTATCTCTTTGTGGTTCTTTTTGAATTCTTTCTTAAATTTTCATTTAATTTATTTGGATTTTGTCATTTCTGCCCTGCATATATCCTTAGACCCTTTTAAATTTATTTTCTGTGGTGGTTTGATTTTTTCCTTTTACTTCTTTTCTGAGCTTTCCTATATTTTTATCTCTTCCTTTTGCCTCACCATTTCCTCCCTGAGCTCTTATAGCTCTGTTTTGTGTTCATCCTTTATAGAAGCAATTGTCTCATCGGACTTTACAAATTCATGGTGAAATGCACATTCACCATTTTCATCTGCTTGATGGTATGGATTTTTCTTCTGGTGAATGATCGTTTATTCATTTAGTAAATGTTCATTGAATGCCTACTGTTGCCAATCACTCTGCCCTGGTGGAGTTTATGTTCAGGGGCAGGAGACAGACAATAAATAAAATAGGGAGGCACTTTTGTCTTATTTTGGAAGGTGTAAGTGTCACAGAGCGCAGTCAGTCAGGGAGGGGGGATAATGAGTGCTAGGGAGGGAGTAGTACAGTTTCAAATGTGGGCTCACGGAACCGAGTCCTGCAGGTATCTGAGAAGAACAAGCAGGTGGAGCAAGGAACGTGGGCAGTTGCCTAAGGCTGGAATGTGCAGGCCTCTGAAAGGAATGGCAAGGGGGCCAGGGCAGGAGCGAGGGAGCAGAGGGCCCCATATGAGGGCCGTCAGGTAAGGAGAGGGCGGGTCCCCCTTTGTAGGCTGCTGTGGCTCTTACTGTGTGCTTGAGATGGTGAGCTGCTGAAAAATCTAAGTGGAACAGTGACCTGACCTGGCTTTCGCATTCATCTGCCACTCGTATTTCTCTCCTTCCTCACTTCCCCTCCTTCCTTTCCCTTCCCACTCTCATTTTTTAATCCATTAGATGTCATGTGCTCCTCTGCTGGTTCCTTTTAACCTCTCCTTGCAGGAGATGAATTTATTCCTAGACCAGGCTGGCTGGAGTGTTCTAATAGCCGGAGGATTTACGTGAGAGTTTCTTTCATCTTGACTTTGCATGAGCCCATGCAGTAACCAGCTGCAGGGCGTTTGCACCTTGCAGAGGGGCTCATTGTCTCCACCACTGCAGAGACCGACTGCTTCCAGCATGGGGCGGGTTGACAGGATGCCTCTCTGGGTGTGGCCTCAGCTGTTCCCAGGTGTACCCTCACTTTCCAGAAGAAGCACGTTTGCAGAGCTGGGGGCCTTCTTTCCGTTTTTCATCACGTCCCCCTGCTCAGTCTTCACTTCTTTTAACAGCTCTTCCACCTATTTCATGGTATTTAGCTATCTCCTTGCCTCGCCGAAAATGCAGTTTGTGGTTTTGGTTCTCATTCTTTGGGTGATTTCCAGGAAGCCAAGAGGGGTCGCGGACTTGATGCCACTATTTTCAAATCCAGAGTTCCAATTATGGTTTTGGCATTTTATTACAGAGAACAAATAAGAAAAAGAGTTGTATAGTTTGGTAGTGGCCTTTTACATTTAGAGAATACAAAGTTAGGCTGGGTGCTCACACCTGTAATCCCAGCACTTTGGGAGGCTGAGATGGGTGGATCACTTGAGGTCAGGAGTTCGAGACCAGCCTGACCAACATTGGTGAAACCCTACTAACAATACAAAAAATTAGCTGGGTGTGGTGGTGCATGCCTGTAGTCCCAGCTACTTGGGAGGCTGAGGCAGGAGAATTGCTTGAACCCAGGAGGCGGAGGTTGCAGCGTGCCGCTGCACTCCAGCCTGGGTGACAGAGTGAATGAGGAAAAAAAAGAGAATACAAAGTTAGAAAATGTGGTTGCTTTTGCCCCCCTTTGAACAAACTTGCCAGTGGTTTCCGCTGTGAGAGCCAGCAAAGCTGAGAAGAGCAAGGTGGCCAGTAGCCTTTGGAATGCTTGTTTCCAGGCGGCTCTTTGGGCTGAGGTTGAAGATGGGCAGCTTCAGGCCTCTCTCCAGACTTAGCTCCTCCAGGGCAGGGACTTGGAGGAGCCCCTCGAAGCAGGCTCTGAGTGGTGTGGTTCTTGGGTGCATGGCCTCTGTCCATCTAAAGCAAAGCAGCTGAGGCACAAAGTATAATAAAGAGCTGACTCGAGCCAAAGAGAGGACAGCTGCCCAGAAGATACAGACCCAGTGACCCTGGATATGAACTCCGTTCCCCTGTGTTACAAGTAGGTTGTTAAGGCAAAGAAAGGGGGACACGGAGTGGGGTGATACAAAGTTGTTTGCCAGGAATTCTCATAGGCTTACAGAAATGGCATTGATGGGCGATTGGCTCTCCATTGTTAAGCTCTAGGGTGCGGGCTGTAGTCTCGGATGGGGTGTGATTGAGGGAATTTATAGCTTAGCTGCTGGTGGCAAAAGCAGGTAGTTTCGAGAGATGAGCACAACCCAGAGAAGGGGAGGACGGGACTGCCGTCTCCTTTCAGTGTCTCTGGGCTGGATAACTGAAAAGTATTCACATTCCTCCAATGAAAGCTCTTTCCTTTACTCACCCTGAAGAGGGGTTGGCTCTTGGTGACGCGAGTGGGTCCCAGTGTCTGTGCTGGCTTCTCTGATGAGCACGCACACCACACGGGGCTGCGCCTCTTCCTCCTCCCACTTGACAATATGGCCTTTCCCAGGCCAGGCGCCTCCTCCATGATGAGACAGAAGCTACGGCTCTTCTCCCAAAACAGTAGCACCCTGCACACGATTTCGGTGTATACGTTCTGGGTTCGTTGCCAGTCTGTGAACGGTCCCTCTTTGTAGTCACGGCCCCCAGTTGAAGGCCTCTGCTTGTGATGTTGGACGAGGTATTAGTACTATCTGGAGCCATAAATCTTATGTCTTCCTGATGAAAGTCTAGACGAAAATCTGAGGGAGAAGTTCTTGGTGAGATCTTGGGTTTTCCTTAATGTCTGTTCTACCAGTGTATCCTATCTTCCTCTGCCAGGATCAATCAAGCATTGTGTAGACAGATCTTGCCTCTCTGTTAAACCGTCTCCTGTTTCTAAATCCCTTGGCCCTCGGCCTCAGGTGGGCTAATTCCCTATCCTTCTTTCATTGGTAGGAGTTGAATAAACCTGTATATTATAAGAATATCTAATTTATCCACAAATGTTAATTTTGTATTTTCTGTACTATATTGTGTCTCGAGTCATAAAATATTTACTCTGCTTACTTCCGAGGTATGTCACTACTTTTTTCCTCCTACGCTGCAGGGATTAAGGAGGGAAAAGGCTTTACTGATGTCATAGTTAGAATATGCCCATCAGGGAGACCCAGAGACCTGTTCCCGTGAGACTGACGGAAAGGGTTATGACTGCATAGGAACGGGACCATCCTCAGGCGCTACTGTGTGGTTCAATTGATAAAGCTCACAAATTATTTTGTCTCATTTATTTGTGGGACATATTCGTCAAGTAAACTTTAAAAAATATACTAGTGGATTTAAATTTTTTTTTCTTTTTTTGAGACAGGGTCTCACTCTATTACTCAGGCTGGAGTGCAGTGGCTCATTCATGGCTCACTGTAGCCTTCACCTCCCAGGCTCAAGTGATCCTCCTGCCCTCAGCTTCCTGAGCACACCACCACGCCTGGCTAATTTTTAAAATTTTTTTATTTGTAGAGAAGGAGTCCCACTATGCAGCACAGGCTGGTCTCGAACTCCTGGGCTCAAGTGATCCTCCTGCCTTAGCCTCCCAAAGTGCTGGATTACAGGCATGAGCCATGTTACCTGGCCTGAATTTTTAATATTAAATTTCCATTTGAATTTGGGCTATACAAAAAATTAATAGAATTAATGTTAATTAAACTTAGAATTTAAGTTACTTCACAGGAATTTTTATTTAAGTCTGCTTAGGAATTTTTTAGGAACATTAAATTAAACATTAAACATTAACATTGAAACAAACACAGTCATCTCCATTTTAAGCAGAATTCAAGGAGAACTCATTTTATTCTTAAGATTGCTTAAAATGGAGATGATCGTGTTTGTTTTAATTAGACTTCAAGGCTTTGGGATGGGGAGTGGAAACAAAAACAAAATACTTAGCACATTTAAGGGACATAGAATATTTCTTGCTTCCAAAATTCAAGTTAAAGTAAGAACTTGGTAAAAATTTTTCACTGGATAACTAGAAGAAATAAAAGATAAGCAGATTTAAACACCAGTAGGACAGATGTTTTTTAATGGTTTGATCTGCAGGCCAATTTTTATTTTTACTGTTTATTTTTGAGATAGGGTTTTGCTCTGTCACCCAGGCTGGAATGCAGTAGCGTAGTCACAGCTCGCTGCAGCCTCAACCACCCAGGCTCAAGCAATTCTCCCACCTCAGCCTCCCCAGTAGCTGGGACCACAGGTGGGTGCCACCACACTCAGCTAATTTTTTTTCTTATTATTTGTAGAGATGGAGTCTCGCTATGTTACCCAGGCTGGTCTCAAACTCCTAGGCTCAAGCAACCTGTCCACCTTGGCCTCTGAAAGTGCTGGGACTGCAGGCATGAGCCACCACGCCCAGCCTGAGACGTGTTGTTCTGTGTGGATTGTGGATTCAGTCTTTCTGTTCCGCTTGATACTATTTCATCCCCTCAATTTCCTCTTCCACTCGAGCCCCTGTAACAGATTGAGACCATCCAGTTCTATGGTGACAGGAAGAAACTGCTCTCCAATAGCGAATGCAGTTACTATCCGTAATCTATTACTCAGTAATTATCTTCAGATAAATGCACAGATGATCTGTTGTGAAGTCTCTCGATGATGTGTGAACCAAGGGAATGGAGGCGCCGATGCCTCCTGGTGTGAGCAGGAACCACAGGGACAGGGCAGTCCTTCTGGAAAGTGGCATGCTGCTGCCTCGTGGGTGGCACCAATAACCTCCAGTCTTGCTCACAGTAGGCATTTCTGGGCAGAAAGGACACCAGGCTAACCATCGTGTTAAATTACTCATGCATTTGCAGTTGTGCTGTCATTTTAGTCAGCGCTATTGAGAAAGAGCCTAACGAACAGAGTTTTATTTTCTTCTGTTCCTTTTGAAGGGACCTCATCCATGCCCATGTGTGATATCACTGGGAACTTACATTTGCCCTGGCCCTTCTCCTTGCACTCTTGAATTCAGACATCTGTTGAGATTCCCCAACCAGGAATGAAGACATGTCTGAGAGGCAGTGACGGGACGAGGTTTCTCATCCCCACACCCGGGTGCTCCCCGTCAGGTGTGTCCAGGCTGCCACGTCATTATCAGTGGGCATCTGTCCCCTACCAGGACCTGGGCCTTCTCCACCCTGGTATCCAGGTGTCTCAGTGAATGTCTGGATCTTTAAACAAATTGATGATGAAGGAGACCTACGTTTGCTAATAAACAAGGTAGAATGGAGGAAGCATGCTAATTTGATTGGTGGCTGTCTTTTCTCTCCCAGGAAGTGCTCTCTGGCGTGGTGGTCATATCGAGTAAGGATTCAGTCCAACACCAGGGAGTGTCTTTGACCATGGAAGGAACTGTAAACCTCCAGCTCAGTGCCAAAAGTGTGGGTGTGTTTGAAGCTTTTTATAATTCTGTTAAGGTAAGAAAGAATGCTTAGATTGCAAGTTTTTAGTTCAATATTGAAATGTTGGGCTGGGCGCAGTGGCTCAGGGCCAGGCGCAGTGGCTCAGGCCTGTAATCTCAGTAATTTGGGAGGCCAAGGCGGGAGGATCGCTTGAGCCCAGGAGTTTGAGAGTAGCCTGGGCAACATAGCAAGACCCCATCTCTATAAATAAACTTTAAAAATTAGCCGGGTGTGGTGGTGCGTGCCTGTAGTCCCAGCTACTCAGGAGGCTGAGGCAGGAGGATCCCTTGAGCCCAGGAATTCAAGGCTGCAGTGAGCTATGATCACAGCACTCTACTCCAGCCTCAGCAACAGAGCAAGATACCATGTCTCTTAAAAAAAGACATGTTTATGGTGGGTTTCACTTGCTGTGTGCCTTTATTGTTATCTGTTGTTATTTTGCAAGGGATGGTGGTAGTTACACTTCTGATATTTACTAATCAACCTGCGAAAATGGAGATACTTTGTTTCTAAGTATATCCTGTTATTGAAAGTCTGCTTATATTTATTCCTATTTGATAAATAGGATTAGGAGAACTATAAATGTATTAATTTCAGCCATTAAAAAGATCACACCTGGGTGCAGTGGCTCACGCCTGTAATCCCAGCACTTTGGGAGGCTGAGGCAGACAGATCACCTGAGGTCAGGAGTTCGAGACCAGCCTGGCTAACATGGTAAAACCCCGTTTCTACTAAAAACACAAAAAATTAGCGGGGTGTGATGGCGTGTGCCCCAGCTACTTGGGAGGCTGAGGCAGGAGAATCGCTTGAACCCAGGAGGCAGAGGTTGCAGTGAGCTGAGATGGCGCCATTGCACTCTAGTTGAGGCAATAAGAGCAAAACTCCATCTCCAAAAAAAAAAAAAAAAGATCACAGCTCTTCTGAGAAGTTGTGCCTGTGGCTTATGTTACATGCCTTCCAAAATCAAAACTGTCATTTTATTAGCTGTGTCTATGCTACTGTTGATTTGACACTAAGGTAAGATGAAAATAGAGCAAGTAACTGTTGTTTTTGTCATTTAGGGTAGAGTTTTGTGTTCCAGAATGTAAACTCTTTCTCTATTCTTGTAGTTGCCTTTTCCTGAAGGACATATTAACGCTTTAAGTTTTGCAGGGAAAAGAGTGAAGACAGAGAAAGGTGCATTCACAGTGTTCAGATTTAGGGGCTTCCTATGTTTTCTACAACTTTATTTTAATCCATTAGTACTTAAGAGATTCACTTCCTAAGTCATGGGTCTTCTCCGAGCCACTGATGTTAAACTATAAATGCTTAAAAAGCATGAATACGTGCCTTGAAGGCAGGTTCCAAATGTTAGTACCCTCCTGCTCCTCCTTGGAGGCCCAGCTGAGGAGGTCTGTGCAGGCCACAGGGCTGGAGGAAAGGCCTGCTCTCCCTGAGCGGCTGCAGCAGGAAGGCTCCGAGGAAGCTGGTGGGCTGTCAGGAGCAGAGGCAGCGCTGCCCAGAAGAGCACGGGGCTCGGTGAGGGGGAGCCGTGGGTTCACACGTCAACCCTGTTAGCCAGGCAGCCTCACTGTGCTGGGTCTGCTTCTTGATCCTGAAGATCGGGGTCGTTAAAACAGTTAAATGAGATACCTGGGGAGGAGAGAGGGATGTATCAGTTCAGTTCCCATGTGTCTCAAGCACCTATGTGTCTCATGTTGTAAATGAATCATTATTGTGCCAGAGTCTTAAAAAGCAGAGCCAAGTCACTGTTCATCTCCAGACCCAGCGCAGAGCTGCCGAAGACAGCAGGATGGTGGCCTCCAGGGGGTCGGGGTGCTGTGTCCTTCAGAACGTTATTAGTAATTGGAAAGGACATTTCCAAGTGTGTGCTGATGGACTGAACTGATTTTTGTTTACAGCCTATCCAGATTATCAACAGCACCATAGAAATGGTGAAGCCGGGGAAATTTCCCAGCGGCAAAACAGAAATCCCTTTTGAATTTCCTCTGCACTTGAAGGGTAACAAAGTTCTGTATGAGACGTATCATGGCGTGTTTGTCAACATTCAGGTGAGAGCTTCCTAGTCCTACGCGACTGACTTCACAAGTTTTCTTCTGACAAACGGTGTGGTCTTTCTCTCAACGTTAGTAGACGGGCCCAAGAATTTAATACTGTGTTTATTGCTGAGACCTCGCATGTATATTCGACGTTAATTTCTCATTTCCCTGATAAATGCATTTGATGTATGGCCGTTATTTCTGATGGGAGCCTCAAGGCACTCGTGCTGTAACTTCTTTTCCCTCTGTTTCTTCTGGGCTCTTTTCAGGCCACCTCACATTGTAAGGGATGCTTTTATTGTCTGGTAACAGATATGCCCTAACTTCTTTCTGGCACTAGCATTAACTTGTCTGTTTTATACTTACAAGTATCTCTTTGTTTAACACCCAAAGGCTACTACTTTGACATAGGCTGGTGTTCTTTACTGAACAAACCTTGTCAATGAGGGGAAGTGGATTATGACTTCCTGTCTACCTCTGCTGGTTAAGGGACGTCTTTGACAGTCTGCTGTTGTTGTCTCAGGAGCAGTGGAGTCCACGCGGGGTGAGATAGCCTTTCCTTTATGCAGCAGAAAGAAAGATACTTTTGTGATAGCAGCCTCGCAGCACTTCCCTTGCTGGATGAGACACAACTCTTCAGTCTTATATGCAAGAGGGATGAAAGTCAGGAATTTTTTTGATTTATTAAGTTTTGGTCAATAATTTGGCCTTAGTAGATACATTATCCTGCTGAAAATAATAGAACCTTTAAAATAAAAGCCCCCCAAACCCCTGTGAGTGTTTAAAGATTCATCTGTATGGGAGTTTTATGAATTGCCTAAGAGATCTGTCCAGAGGAAACACATGTAGTATGATGTACATCTTCTGTGAAGAA
The DNA here is from genome assembly GCF_000001405.40 of Homo sapiens. Lineage (NCBI taxonomy): Eukaryota > Metazoa > Chordata > Mammalia > Primates > Hominidae > Homo > Homo sapiens. The sequence goes on along the minus strand of NC_000021.9, from coordinate 37,237,597 downwards.
AAGAAGTGTTTCTAGTCCTTTATTGTTAGCACCAAAGGCTTTGGACAGCCCCAAGGAAGCAGCAGTGATGACTGAGTAGTACCTGGATTCAGAGGAAGCTGCGTACGTAGCCATGCAGATACCAATTGCTGGTATGTGGGTGGGAGTCTTCTGATCAGCTTTCTAGGTTGGGACTGTTTCCACCCTGAAAGAAACTGAATGAAAAATGCCTTTTTGGCAATACTGAAGATATCTTGAACATTGATTTTGGAAATTATTTTTATTATCTACCCAGAATCAGTATCGACTTGCTTTATCCACACGGCAGTTCTTTAATATGGTTGATTTAAAAATACAAGAATATGTTCATTAGAAACTGGAATAAGATCACGTTTTCAGTGATCATATTTGTTAACTCCTGCGTTCATCAAGACTTACCAAAAGAAGATGAATTTGTTTAAAGTCAAATTGGAAACCCCATCCTTTTCCACATGTTGCCAAGACAGATGTTCAGATATACATAGAAAACGTGTGTGCTGGCCAGGCACAGTGGCTCACGCTTGTCATCCCTGCACTTTGGGAGGCCATGGCAGGAGGATTGCTTGAACCCAGGAGTTCAAGACCAGCCTGGGCAACAACGCAAGATCTCATCTCTACAAAAGAAAACAAAACAAAAAGCTTGTGTGCTTCTGTTGCTGCAGAGCTGTGTGTACATTGGAGGCTACTTAAAATATAGTAGGAGAGTTAACAGGTGGTGGGTTCCTTAGTAAAGGGAATAATTGCCCCTACCCTCGTCTTTTCATCATCAGATTTTACCATTTGAGGGTTAACCTCAGAGTACTACAATTTGGAATTCAGTACCTCCCCAACTATCTCACCGATTTCTAACAATGAAGAGATTTCTTAGCTTAACCTCTGATTTCCATGACTTTATCACACTTATTGTCATTCAGCACTTAATAGTATTTTGCCATCTTTGTTCACCTAAAAATTTAGATTTTTTTCTAAATCATTTTAAAGTTAGTTTCAGAGTCTTGATACTTCATCTCAAAATACCTCATTGCGCATCTCCAAAAACTAAGGACGTTTGTCTCTATAATTACAGTTAACATTTGCACACCTATCAGAATTTGTAAAAATTCTCAAGTATTGATTAATTCTTGATTCATATCAAAATTTGTCGTCTTTTGAGAAAATAAATTTAAGAGAAACTAAGATTATGTTTTTTTAAATCTGTCATCATCCATCCATCCATTCATTCATTCATGCCATTATTTGGCAGGTCTTTTTCTTACAGTTTTATAGTAGAGCAAGTGCCGCCCAGAGACGGCAGTGACTTCCTGTGGTCACACAGGCCAGCCTCAGCCTGCGGGTCCAGACCAGCACTCCTCGGCCCGCACTGTTTACCGCACTTACTCTAAAGGTTAACATAGGCACATTTCTTTGGATAGAAACTTTTGTTGCTAAACCCTAATATCATCTTTCTTAAATTATGTGCCAAGAAATTTTTCATTCATAAATTGAATTGTGTTGTAACAATCTAAAACGGTAAAAATCATAAATCAGAATAAAGGATTTAAAAGATAGACGTGCTGGGTGCAGCGGCATGCACCTGTAAACCCAGCCACTTGGGAGGCTGAGGTAGGAGAATCACTTGAGCCCAGAAGTTCAAGTCCAGCCTGGGCAACATAGCAATACCTCATCTCTTAAGAAAAAAATTTTTTAATTAAAAAAAAAAATATATATATATATATATATATATATATACACACACATATACACACATATATATGTATATGTATCAAATGCCAGTATTATATTCCTGACTTCCAGAGGCTTGGCTTTCTTGTCATTTTTTAGATGAAGAGCTTGACATTCTTCTCAGTCATGTTGCGTTCATGTTTGTCTTTGTTACTAGATACTTCATATGATCATCAGAGTCTTCCGTAGTTGCCCTTTGTGCATCTACTTCTTCTTTTTACAATAATTTAAATTGTAGGCAAGTTTTATTAGGTTTGTTCTACTCTTGCTTTACTCTTGTAGCTGTGCTAGCAAGCGTTTATCCTATCACATAAAACATGTCTGCTGAAATTGTATATTCAGCACTCATTTCTAGAGATCCTAGTCATCCCTTTTCAAAGTTAAAAATTCCTTTTATAGGAATCTACTTTAAAACTATGGACAGGGCTGGGCACCGTGGCTCACGCCTGTAATCCCAGCAGTTTGGGAGGCGGAGGTGGGCAGATCACCTAAGGTCAGGAGTTCGAGACCAGCCTGGCCAACATGGTGAAACCCCGTATCTACTAAAAATACAAAAATTAGGCCAGGCACGGTGGCTCACACCTGTAATCCCAGCACTTTGGAAGGCCAAGGCATGTGGATCACCTGAGGTCAAGACCAGCCTGACTAACATGGTGAAACCCCATCTCTACTAAAATACAAAAATTAGCCGGGCATGGTGGTGGATGCCTGTAATCTCAGCTACTCGGGAGGCTGAGGCAGGAGAATTGCTTGAACCCAGGAGGCAGAGTTTGCAGTGAGCCGAGATCACGCCATCGCACTCCAGCCTGAGCAACAAGAGTGAAACTCCATCTCAAAAAAAAAAAAATTAGCCAGCCATGGTGGCGCGGCCCCTGTAATTCCAGATACTCAGGAGGCTGAGGCAAGAGAATCACTTGAAACCAGGAGGTGGAGGTTGCAGTGAACCGAGATCACGCCACCGCACTTCAGCCTGGGTGACAGAGTGAGACTCCGTATTAAAAAACAAAAAAAGAATATATATATTGTATATATATTCTACATAAAGATCCTTGCAGACAAGGATGATTCTTTTAAACAATGTTTTACTCTCCCAGTAGTACCTTAAATATATATAGTAACTTCTTATTTCATGCGGACAGGTTGTTCATACGAATATTAGCTTCTTGGAAGATTCAGTTATGCATAGAGTCCGAGTTATGAAAATTATTTTTGACATAATTCTGAAGTTTTTCCTGGACGATTAAAACAACAACTAACTTTATTAAACGTGGATTATGTGATTTTTTTTTAAAGACTGGCATTACAACAGTGGTCCTGCTGTAGAATTACATTTTTAAATAGTCTCTCAGCTCACGGACAGGGATTTGAAGCAACAGTCTCCGTTCAAAGCCTGCTTTAAGCTCAATACCAGCTCTGCAGTGGGGCTCCCCTTGGGGGAATAGAGCTCACCTTGCAGTAGGCACCATGGTAGCAACCAGCTCAGAAAACTAACCTAGGGACAGCAGAGAAATGGAATGCGGCTCTGCCACATTAAAAAAGCAAGTGTGCAAGTGCGATGCTACATTGTTTTCCAACCCACTTTTTCTTTGAGGTGCAGGCTACATCTGTGTGTTGGCAGATGGAGAGAGACCTCAGATGTCTCGAGAAATAAGATTAGCCATGAGTTGACCCTTGTGGAAGTTGGTTGATGGATGTGTGGGTTACTGCATATTCAGTAAACTAGAAGTTCCCTGAGGACCAGGTGTGACCTTGAGCTTGGCTCTGGTGCCCAGGGCAGTGCTATGCACTCAGAGCAGGTGCCCAGCGAGGAAGGGTTGTGACATGCTGGGTGCTGTCCCAGGGTTGCAGTCCTCACTGCATGGATTTTCTAATCCCGCTTACAAAGTAGCTGCTGTTTTCCAGCATTGCTTTGTGCCAGCCCTGTGCTGAGTGCTTGTCACACATGATCTCATTGGAGTCTCGCTGCAGGTGGGTCTTAAGAGCCCCATTCTACAGAAGGGAAGCAGAAGCTCAGACAAGTTGTGTTATCTGTCTGGGCTCGCACAGTAAGGCAGACAACAACGGGATCTGGCCTGGCGTCTGCTCCTGAGCGCACTGCCCTTTCTGTCTCGCCAGCCTGCTCCCTGCTACAGGTGGGACCGTGCACCTGTTTGCCAGTGGGTCCAACTGCAGGCCAGCTGTGCAAACAGATTGAAGAATAACCTTAAAGTGGTTCATTTTTAAAACAGAAATGCCTTTATTTTGAACATTAACTATCCTATTATGTATTATATTATGTATGTTAATTTTCTATAATGCACTGATTGTACAACATTTCCCTAAAATATGTTGACTGACTTGTCTCTTTGAATATAATTCCAAGATGAAAGCAAATCCCACTAAAATGAACTTTTTTCCTCCAACTCTCCCCTTTAGTATACACTGCGCTGTGACATGAAGCGGTCTCTGTTGGCCAAGGACTTGACAAAGACCTGTGAATTTATCGTTCACTCCGCTGTAAGCTTCACTCGGGGACTCTGGTGCTTAATGATAGGAATCTCCCATGGGGTCTGAGAGTTTACCCTATTTACAAGCTCACCATTTAGCCTCTTACTGTTTCACGGGTGCTGGCAGAAGACACAAGACTTCTGGGTCAGAGACAGTCGGTGGCATGCGCATCACGTGTGCATCATTGTCCTGGGCCCAGAGTCCCCCAGCTGAGGCCGCGGGCCAGAGGGACTCCACGTCGGCACATCAGGCAGGACCTTTCCTCCCCCTGGCTCTCTGGATGGTAGACTGGCCCTTTGCATCCCAGCCCCTGGATAAAAAATGCCAGGCAGGCTCTCATGAAGCTCGGCTGTATCTGTAGATTCTGAAATTATGTAACATGGAGGTGATCACTGTTACTGCTGTTTTGGTAACGTTTAAAGTATGATTCTTCAGGTGACAGCTCTATAGCTCAGAGGCCAATAGCAACCTGACCTCCTGGGTTCAATGCTCAGCCCCCCAGCTCCACCACTGAGCTGAGCAGGCCACTGAGCTCTCTGCCCCGCTTGCCTCGTCTGTGAAGTGGGACCATCTGGGAGGTGTGAAGAGCCCTTTGGAGGGTCACTGTGCTGAGGTTTCAAATAAGTACTTGCCAATAACACTGTTCTGTTTCTTAGATCTGATTTTAAAATTCTGAATCTGAAAGGCACGTTGGAGATTAAGACATCTCTCCCCTCATTTTACAGATGAGGAAACTGAGTTTCAGCAAGATGGGGAAATTTGACAGAACTGTGTTCAGGACCCAGGCTTGCGCCTCTTAGTTCCCCGTCCTTCCTGCATCGCCAGGCTGCCGTTGGTTTATTTTTGAAAGGGAAAAGCTATTTGACCTGCAGAACTCTTGGCCTTCACCTACTGATTTCGGTTTCACCTCTCGTTTTAGCCTCAGAAGGGGAAGTTTACTCCCAGTCCCGTGGACTTCACGATTACACCTGAAACCTTACAGAACGTCAAAGAGGTAAGACGTCCTGCACAGGCGAATGCCGTGGGTATCTTCCCAGCAGCCAGACCCCACGGACTAGCTATTGCCCGGGTGGTCTTCATTTGGAAATCACGTCATCAGCCGGCAGAGATTTCTGATTGTACCCAAATTACTCAGTATTTTCCATTTGATTTCCTTTTTAAGCTCAGTAAAGCAGCTTAGAAGAGGACTGCTTTTGAAAAGTTCCTCAGGGAGGGTCCATGTCTATTAATCTCACCATTTTCCCTCAGTTTTACTGCATCATGGGCCCCCAAGACCCCCTGCTGCCCATGACACGGCCACGTCCCTTCATTTCTCATGGTTAGCCGGGGCCTGCGCCCGGCCCCCTGGCCTGTTGTCATCCTCCATGGATGTTTAGTTTGCAGTTTCTTCCCCAGCATTCCCATCAGACAGAGGCCGGGCAGCAACGTGCTTTTCAAAGATTCCGCAGTGCCCTCCGTGGTGGACGCCTCACGGCCAGGGCAGGTACAGTGAGGACACAGACGCCTGGGCAGTGCCAGCCCAGCTCCCCCGCCTCCTGCATCAGGACAGGGCTGTCTGGCTGTCAGTGGCAGCCGCTGGTGGAGCCTCAGCTGGTCCCTCGAGCTGCACGGTGAACTTGGGCCCGTCCAAAACTCTGCCTGGCCCCGGCCTCCCTGATCTTGCCCTCTCATCCACTGCCATGCATTTCTCCTAAACAGTGGAGTCCTGTAGTTCTTCCTGGATGTAACTTTTCATCCTTCCTCTAATTCTTTATTCTGCTGTCTGGACCACACTGACTAGGATCAAGTGAAGGACAAGCTGGGAGGCCTGGGCCCTGGGATGTCATTGGCCTCATCCCTCAGAGGCTGGACATGTGTCGTGGGGAGCCTTTCAGACAGGTGAGGGAGGAAAGGCCACTCCTCTGTCTGTTCTGCACGTCTCCCTTCTCCGGGCTCTGAGGGCACGCGACCCCAGTGGGCCACTCAGACTCCCGTCTCCCACCTCTGTAGCCTGTCTTCGGAAGCGCTGACCTCAGCAGTAATGTGATTCATTTCTAGACACCGTTTCTTCTTCGGGATAGCTGCTGCTTCCATGACGGACGCAGTGGCCTTTCATCTCCTTTTCCTGTATTGATTCTGTTTCTCAGGGGTTGGTTCTGTTTGTCGAGTGTGTGTGTCTTTTTCTTGCTTTTGTTTTCCTTAAATGTGTATTGATCCTCGGTTGTCAGTTTACATTTACAAATGAGGATCTAATGTGTGTGGTGGTGTTGTAGAGGCTGTATCCTTAGCCCAGGTGAGAACCTGTTCTCCTGGTCCTCAGCACCTGCTCATCAGAGGCGCTCTGCCCTGGGTGTGGCACGTGGCCGGGGTGTTTGTAGGCAGCTTGTCTCCTGAGTCCAGAGGCTCGCTGTCTGCATTGTGGCTGTGAATGACGTGGGACACTTGTCCTACCTTGCCCCGAGTCTGCTTTTCCGGGTGGGAGATCCCCTTTGCAGGAAGCTGTGGTGCCAGTCTGTGGCAGCTTCCCCCATCTGGTGAGCTCACCTGTGATACCTGCCTACTGCCCTTCGCAGGCCCCCGCCCGATGGCAGGCTGACCACACGCCCTGCGAGCACACCCGCTCTCACCGCTCCCCCTGCCACCTGGAGGACGGGTGCCCCGAACTCCCGGGAGCCGGATTGTCTGTCCACTTTCTGCCGGACAGAAACACTTCACTGGGGTGGTCCCCACGGGGCGTTCCTTGTGGCTTTTCTAGGTATAGGTTTATTTGTAAACACGAAGAACTTTTCTTTCCACAGAACCATTCAGGTTTATTGTTGGAAAATAAGAAAATAACACATAAAGCAAATAAAATAAAATTGCTTATTCACAAAATGCCACTGGTGGTTTTTTGTTTTGCTTTTTAAGTAGAAAAGAGATGTATTGTAGAAAATCTTGTAGATTTTTAAGTAGAAAAGAGATTTATTGGAAGGATATAAGACAGCTTTACAGGAACTACTAGGCTGGAGCTCAGACTCAAAATAGTATAGGTTTATTTTATTTGTATATGTTAATATCATGTCAGTGGGAGGAGAGGGAAAATGATTGTTTAGTCAGTATCTTGAGCTGAATGTTGAAAGCTATCCTTTTTCATCAGTCGCCTAAAAGAATTTTAATGTGTACTGCTACTGCTTTTTGTTTTTCTACACAAATAGCTTCTCTTAGTTATTTTTAAAACTCTGTCTTGGCCAGGCACAGTAGATCATGCCTGGAATCCCACCACTTTGGGAGGCCAAGGCAGGAGGATCACTTAAGGTCAGGAGTTCAAGACCAGCGTGGGCAACATAGAACCTGTCTCTACAAAAGAAAAATGTAAAAATTAGCTGGGTGTGGTGGCATGCGATCGTAGTCCCAGCTACTAGGGAGGCTTAGGCAAAAGGATTGCCTGAGCCCAGGAGGTGAGGCTGCAGTGAGCCATGTACTCCAGCCTGGGCAACAGAGCAAGACCCTGTCTCTAAAAATGTTTATAATAAAAACAAATAAATAAAAGCTCCATCTTGAATGCAGACTTCTTCAGAGGTCTGTACCTTTGGGGACTGCCAGGTCCAGAGTCCCGGGCTTTTCAGGTCCAGAGCTTCACTGCCTGATCAGGTGGCCACCAGCCACACATCACCATTGACCCTGGACACATGGCTGGACCAAGTAGCTGAGTTGGATGTGTAAATACTGACCAGATTTCAAAGACTCAGGATGAAAAGAAGAATGTAAAACATCATTCATATTTTTGATATTGATTATATGTGGAAGTGATAACACTTTTGATATATTCGTTAATTTTACCTTCTTTTTTAATGTGGCTACCAGAAAATTCCAAATTATATATGTGGCTTCCACTCGCAGCTTGCATTATGTTTCTGTTGGACAGTAGTATGCCAATATCTGATCCTTTCAGTAACTGGGATCCAGCCAGAGGTAAAGATTCCTAGAAAAATTGTCTCTGTCTAGACCAAGCCCATTCAACCCACAGCCCACCGGCCAGGATGGCTTTGAATGTGACCCAACACAAATTCATAAACCTTAAAACATGAGATTTTGTTTCTGTGATTTTTTTTTAGCTCATCAGCTATCATTAGTGTTAATATATTTTATGTGTGACCCAAGACAATTCTTCTTCTTCCAACGTGGCCCAGGGAAGCCAAAAGAGTGGACACCCCTGCTCTAGACCATCATCAGTCCTTCCTGGCCAGCGTCAGGTGTGCAGAGTAAAGGTTTGTAGGCTTCTCATCAAGCGTCAAAGAAACTAGTTTTCTTCAAATTTCCATGAAATAAAATAAATGTCTTGGGTTTTAAAAATTGTACAATTGGGAACATCTTTGAATGTTTTTTTTTTTAAGAGACAGCATCTCATTCTTGTCACCCAGACTGGAGTGCACTGGTGTAATCATTGCTCACTGGAGCCTCAAGCAATCCTCCTGCCTCTGCCTCCCACGTAACTGAGACTACAGGTGTGCACCAGCCTGCCCAGCTAATTTTTAAAACATTTTTTAGAGATGGGGTCTTGCTGTGTTACACAGGCTGTTCTTGAACTCCTGGCCTCAAGTGATCCTCCTGCCTTTGCCTCCCAAAGCCCTGGGATTACGGGCCTGAGCCACTGTGCCTGGCCAGGACTTTTCTTTTTAACTGTGTGTGTGTCAGGTTGTCTTGAACACCATGGCGACTCCCTCAGACTTTTTCATGTCTTATTCCTTGGTAAGAAGGAGCTTTCTAGCTCTGAGACTAGGCAATTAGGATGGTTCTCTGAGGCATTCTCTGTACACAGAGTGTCAGTCAGGTGCCATATGTAGAGAGTCGTTGAATAATTCAGCCGGCTAATGTCCAAGACGTCAGTACTTCGCTCCTTTCTTCCCGTTTTGTGAGACGGTCCCGGTGGACTGTGTAACCACTATCCAACTTCGCTTCCAGGTTTTATTTGCACCAAAGTATGGAGCACTTTCCCCCCTTGCCTGCATTCTGATGTATTTGTTTTCATTTTGTTTTAGAGAGCTTTGCTTCCCAAATTTCTCCTTCGAGGACATCTCAACTCAACAAACTGTGTCATCACGCAGCCACTAACGGGAGAGCTGGTGGTGGAGAGCTCGGAAGCCGCCATCAGAAGCGTGGAGCTGCAGCTGGTGCGCGTGGAGACGTGCGGTGAGGGCCGTGCCACCAGGCCTGGCGCTTGCCTGTCCCCCTCGACTGCCACCCTCACGTTCCATGGTTAAGAGGATGCTGGGGGGCTGGGCACAGTGGCGCACCCCTGTAATCCCAGCTACTCAGGAGGCTGAGGTGGGAGGGTGGTTTGAGGCTGCAGTGAGCTGAGATCGCACCATTGCACTCCAGCCTGGGCAGCAGAGCAGACCATGACCCTGACTCTAAAAAACGAGAGGACGTCGGGGAAGCAAAAGTAAGAGCGTGGCTGTGCCTTAGCAGTAGCCGCGTGTCTAAGGAAAGTGAGGGGAGGGGACCCTGGAGGATTCTTGGAGCAGACTGGTGGGTGGTGCCGGTGCGGATGTGGACCCCGCAGCCTCTGCTGGCCCTGACCGCGTGATGTGGCCTCCCTCCCGCAGGGTGTGCAGAAGGCTATGCCCGCGACGCCACGGAGATTCAGAACATTCAGATCGCCGACGGGGATGTGTGCAGGGGCCTCTCTGTCCCCATCTACATGGTCTTCCCTAGGCTGTTCACCTGCCCTACACTGGAGACCACCAACTTCAAAGTGGGTAAGTGGCACTCGCCTCCCAGCCCTCATGGGCCCATGGGAAGGGCCGCTCAGCGCCAGGGCCTGCTGTGGGTCACAGAGCTCAGAACCTGCCGCCCTTCGGTCCCTCAGTGCCAGGGCCTGCCACAGGCCATACAGCTCAGAGCCTGCTGCCCTTCGGCTGCTCAACAAAACCTTGTTAAGGAGCTGCTGTGCCGCACAGGGGACACACCCACAGGCAGTCCTGGTGCTTGTGGGACTTCCACTGTCACATGGGGAAACACACAGACCCACATCAGTGTAGACATGGGCAGGTGACGCTGAGCTCTGTGTAGACATGGGCAGGTGACGCTGAGCTCCGTGTAGACATGGGCAGGTGACGCTGAGCTCTGTGTAGACATGGGCAGGTGACGCTGAGCTCCGTGAAGAAAACTCCCGTGAACGAGCACCACAGGAGTGGGGGGTGGTGTGGATACTGAGAAAGTGGCTCTGTGTGAAGGTCCAGGACCCGTGAAAACCCCAGAGTGAGCGCTCAGAAGCAGGAAGGCCTTGAGCCCCGCGGCCTAGATGCCTCTAGTGAGTTTCCATGAACCTGTGTGTTCATATTTTAACCATGGGATCTGAATCAGGTCACAGACACCCTTTTATATTCTGCCTTTTTCCCTTAACATTGTATCATGAACATTTCCATGTTTTTAACTCTTCCTATAAATATTGTAATGGGACCTCCATCTTAATAAGAATCATGTTAATTGGGAGATCACTCCACACTACGAAGAAGTAGAACAGAGAGACCCAGTAGGAAGGGACCGAGCCTTCTCAGTAGCAGGGGACTGTGATTCAGAGAGGCTCGGGGACCTCTAGGTTGGAAGTCAGGAGTGAGCACTGCATCCACATCAAGAGCAGCACCTCTGTGTGTTCCCCTCCAATTCCGTGCGAGTGACCTCAAATGCACGGTCAGGCCCGAGACTGGAACTCACTCGGACTCTAAGCAGCGCCTGGGTATCATGGCGGCTCCAGTGCAGCTGTTTTCCTGCTGTAAAGGAAAGCCCCCGCCAGCTCCCTATCTTGCCTGCTGGGCATCCCTCTCTGTCCACTCCAGCCACACCCTCCACCCTTCTGGGGGGCACAACAAGAGGGGTGGAGAACCCATTGAAGGGAGTGGTGGCAGGAAGTGCCCAGAGGACTCTAATGTAGTGACAATAAAGTGAGGAAGGACAGGCCGGCCACTGCTGGTGGCCGACTCTTCTTGTGGCTGATGTTTGGGCGGAGGTGGACACTCCCACACGGGGATGTTGTCCTGCAGACCCCAGCCACAGGTGGGCACTGACTCCAAGGCCCCTTCCACAGCTGAGCTGCCACAGTGTGGGGCTCAGCACAGGGTGCCCTCTGCCCACACGATGCCCTTCCCACCCCTCCTCACACTGGGGAAGGAGATGGTGCTTGTTTGTCGTCAGGTGCTTCCTCTTCACACACATCCCTTTTGTTAGGATCAACAAGGCTCACCCATATCAGCTGAAGAGTCGGTGGAGAAGGAATCCTGTTTGCTGAAAGGTGATGGATGAATAGTATCCAATGGAGCAACAATGAAATTGTTGCTTCTGAAGACTGTTTCTCACCTGGGGATTGGGGACATGGGCCCAGACAGCTATGCGCTGGTTCACAGTCTGCTATTTCATTAAGAACCGTAGGAAATGTAAAAATAAGGCAAAGGAATACAAATGAATTGAAAGGGTTCTAGAATATCCTTTTTAGGAAAGCAAAGGGACAGGGAAAGTGTAGTTGGTGAAGCCTGATCACTCATGTTCCAAGATGAGAGGACAAAAATTCACTTAGAGAAAGTTGACAGAGGTAGTCAGACATCAGCATAGTCATCTCCACTGAAAGTTTGGCTGAAAGGTCAGGGTGGCGCTGAGGGGACAGCAATGAAACCCACCCGCACCGGGTGCTCCTTCGCCGTTAGAGCTTCCTGCGACTGCAGTGGTGGCGGCGTGTGGTTTCGCTGCTTGGTAACAGTGAGCACAAACCCACCCTCTCTTCTCTTCTCAGAATTTGAGGTTAACATCGTGGTGCTGCTTCACCCTGACCACCTCATCACGGAGAACTTCCCGCTGAAGCTCTGCAGGATATAGCCCGGAGGAGGGAAGCATAGAGAACGGGAGTGGCCATCTGGAAATCCAGCTGGTTATCCAAATCCTAAGGGGAGCTACAGCCAGCGGCATATACTTGTTTTTGTGATTATTCTGTATCAGAAATGAAACAGACCCTCAAATTAACTTTCCTTCCTCATTTCTTGAGGCTTCTGCTTCCAACAGGCACCTCTAATCAGACCTTTTCTTTGAAATTCAACAAGATTTCTTAATGCTATTTGCCAAGACCATTTCACAGAAAACATTGACTGTGGCTCTTGCCTTATCTGTTCCTTTTTAGGTACAGTAAAACAATTGTGACAGCAGTTTGAGCTTGCTGGAGAGTGGCATCATGGGGACAAAAGGAAACCTCTGACTTGCTAATGGATGTAGCCAGGGACTCCCCATAGCAAAGGGTCTGTGGCCAGTTGACATCCAGGATGGCTGCAAGCGCACTTGATGGTCAGGAAGTTTGCAGATACTCGCCAAGGCAGAGCGCAAAGTGCTAGCCACTGGAAATGCATGACTTCCCTCCACCCCTACTCTATTCTGTAGTTTTTTGGTTTTGTTTCTGAGACGGAGTCTCAGTCTGTCACCCAGGCTGGAGTGATCTCAGCTCACTGCAACCTCCACCTCCCAGGTTCAAGCGACTCTCCTGCCTCAGCCTCCCGAGTAGTTGGGATTACAGGTGACTGCCACCGTGCCCGGCTAATGTTTGTATTTTTAGTAGAGACGGGGCTTCACCATCTTGGCCAGGCTGGTCTTGAACTCCTGACCTCGTGACCCACCCGCCTTGGCCTCCCAAAGTGCTGGGATTACAGGTGTGAGCCACCACACCCAGCCTCTGTAGTTCTTTTTACAACATTTTTCATTATAACTTTAAATTTTTTAAGCAACTGGAAAAGTGTTCCTTGCTCTCTTGGGGGGATTTGGCTGGTGCCGAAGTGTTTCTGAAGTCTCAAGAACTGCCATAAAATCTCACGCTGCCATTTCCCTGAACAGATACATACATAGAGAGAGACAGTTTTCCAAACTGTGTCACGCAGGCTGAGTGCACTGGCAGGATCACAGCTCACGGCAGCCTCAACCTCCCTGGCTCAAGCGATCCCTCCCCTCAGCCTCCTGAGTAGCTGAGACTACAGGTGAGTGCCACCACACTCAGCTAATTTTCAAATTTTTTGTAGACAGGGTCTCCCTATGTTGCCCAGGCTGGTCTTGAACTCCTAGACTCAAGTGATCCTCCTGTCTTGGCCTCCCAAAGTGCTGAGATTACAGGTGTGAGCCACTGTGCCCAGCAGTTTCCCAGAATATATTTAAATGCAAAGTTACATGAGGGGAAAACATGTATGTTTGCTCCTGTTGTTACTGGGTAGGTTCTGAACAGCAGAAACCCATGTGCAGGGTGGGCTGGTGAAGGCCCCTCTCCGCAAGGTGGTAGCAGGAAAAGGTCCTTGACTTGATGAATTTGGTCTGCCTCTGAGCCACTGGAGGAAGCTGTTTTGAGCCAGGGTTTTTTGGCCTAAAGCCAGCATTTCCTCAGTCTCCCTTTGTGGTTCGAAGGATATGGACTATTGCAATACATTTCTTCCTTCAAATCCTGCCACTGTTTTGTTGGCCCACAACTAATAGGACCTCAAAATAAGCCATGCTGCTTTGCACACACACTAGCCTTCTTTTGTACTTTTCATTCTGGATGGGCTTGGCCAAAACAGGCTCAGGCCAAAGACCTCCCAAGCTGTATGTACTTCCAGTATCCTGAAACAGTGTTTGGTGACATAATGCCAAGGGTAAACAAGCCTGATTTAGGCACTGCTTTATCCAGGGGCTTCACCCATGAAATTAATAAAACTTATCTGAGTCACTTGAAACTTGGTTCCCAGAAAACACATTTCTGGTTTATAATCTCCTTTTATGCTCACCTGACATTAATTATCTATCCTTGATGATGTGTTTAAACTGAGTAGCAGAAAACAGAGGCCACACTTTCTGGGAAATTTTAAAGGAAGAAACCATTTTTAATGAGATGAAAATATTTAACGAATTTAAAAAGCTAATGACAATTTTGAGAAAAGGTTTGGGATGTATATTGCTATGTAATTTAATAAACTGATTTTATGGATATAAATATGACTGCTTTCCTTAGAGAATAATTATTACCTGAAGCGCATCCAGACAACGTGGCTACCTTTATCATTTCATTCAACCCTGAGTGGCCCAAACAAAGGCCTCAGGCCGGCCACTTCCTTCCACTTCTTGGTCTGACCTCTCCATGATCTGTTACTAGGCAAAACTCAGATGTTTGGCTACCTTGGGCTGCAACTGTCCCACTCTTGCCCAGGCTTGCTGGAGTTGGGGTTATCCACAGTCAGAGGTTCAGAGTTGTCAAATTCTCCAATTAGAGCAAGAGATGAGGAAAGGAAAGGGAGACGAAAGAAAGAGGCTGTGCCTCAGAAATAATAACGCCGCATATCTACAACTATCTGATCTTTGACAAACCTGAGAAAAACAAGCAATGGGGAAAGGATTCCCTATTTAATAAATGGTGCTGGGAAAACTGGCCAACCATATGTAGAAAGCTGAAACTGGATCCCTTCCTTGCACCTTATACAAAAATCAGTTCAAGATGGATTAAAGACTTAAACGTTAGACCTAAAACCATAACCTAGGCATTACCATTCAGGACATAGGCATGGGCAAGGACTTCATGTCTAAAACACCAAAACCAATGGCAACCAAAGGCAAAATTGACAAATGGGATCTAATTAAACTAAAGAGCTTCTGCACAGCAAAAGAAACTACCATCAGAGTGAACAGGCAACCTACAAAATGGGAGAAAATTTTCGCAACCTACTCATCTGACAAAGGGCTAATATCCAGAATCTACAATGAACTCAAACAAATTTACAAGAAAAAAACAACCCCATCAACAAGTGGGTGAAGGATATGAACAGACACTTCTCAAAAGAAGACATTTATGCAGCCAAAAAACACATGAAAAAATGCTCATCATCACTGGCCATCAGAGAAATGCAAATCAAAACCACAATGAGATACCATCTCACACCAGTTAGAATGGCGATCATTCAAAAGTCAGGAAACAACAGGTGCTGGAGAGGATGTGGAGAAATAAGAACACTTTTACACTGTTGGTAGGACTGTACACTAGTTCAACCATTGTGGAAGACAGTGTGGCGATTCCTCAGGGATCTAGAACTAGAAATACCATTTGACCCAGCCATCCCATTACTGGGTATATACCCAAAGGACTATAAATCATGCTGCTATAAAGACACACGCACGTGTATGTTTATTGCGGCATTATTCACAATAGCAAAGACTTGGAACCAACCCAAATGTCCAACAATGACAGATTGGATTAAGAAAATGTGGCACATATACACCATGGAATACTATGCAGCCATAAAAAACGATGAGTTCATGTCCTTTGTAGGGACATGGATGAAATTGGAAATCATCATTCTCAGTAAACTATCGCAAGAACAAAAAACCAAACACCGCATATTCTCACTCATAGGTGGGAACTGAACAATGAGAACACATGGACACAGGAAGGGGAACATCACACTCTGGGGACTGTTGTGGGGTGGGGGGAGGGGGAGGGATAGCATTGGGAGATATACCTAATGCTAGATGACGAGTTAGTGGGTGCAGCGCACCAGCATGGCACATGTATACATATGTAACTAACCTGCACACTGTGCACATGTACCCTAAAACTTAAAGTATAATAATAAAAAAGAAAAATTGCTTCAAATGAACAACAAAAAAAAAGAGGCTGTGAACAATGAATCTAAAACAATATTTTCTTTTGGGAAATGCCCGTTTTGGCAGGAATACATTTTGGCTCCGCTGTGCTGTGAATTCGGAGGAAAAGTAGGGAGGGCCGGAAAGCCCAGGGCTTCATGCAGAGTAGACATCAAGAACCCACCTGCTCTGGAGTCTTGGTGGGCAAGGGGAACGAACCTTCCAGTCCATTTCTACCGTCACCATAATTCCTGTGTCTGAATCTGAATCACCTTCTTCAAAAACTGGGGGCTGAGGTTGCCTCCACATGCTAACGCTGATTCAGGGCGGCAGCAGATGCTGGTGTTCTCAGTTCCTTCCTGCTTCCGCTTCCTGTTCAGGAACAGGGCCGCATTTTCCCATCCTCTTCGGCTGTAGGCGTGGTCACGTGACCAGGAGGGCGGGGCGCGCCTGCCTAGCATACGCTGGAGGACGGCGCCCTCACCCTGGCGGGAGGTGGATCCCCAGCGCGGTGCAGTTACATCGCAGACATGGGCTCGTCTATACGCTGCTGGACGGCCGGGGTCTGGGCTCCACAGCCGGGGGGCACCACCCTGGAGCTGGTGATAGGGGAGGGAATCGCCGCTCGGGCGCCCGGGCCTCGCGCGGAGCCTGCGTGCGCGGGAGTTCACGGGGCAAATCCTGCCCATCCTCCGCGCTCAGGCGTGGCTTCAAAAGCCTCGGGCCGGGTGGTGCAGCCCCAGCATAACCTGGCGCCCCGGTGGCTGCTGGAGTGGTTGGCTCAGAATGGAAGGAAACGGTGGGGTCTGCGTTACTCTGTGGTGATAAAAAAGAGAAGCGGCAGCTTAGCGCCAAGAATAAATGATGACCGCCGGAATCCCTGCCGTTAGGCGCAGGTCTTGGCATGAGAGCTGCAACAGGGCGGCCAGCTGGGCGCCAGGGGGCCTGGGCCGCCTGTCCGGTGCGGGTCCCCGAATATCCTGGGCTCTTCCGGGAAGTGCCGCTGCGGTGAGGCCAGAGCCTCCCGCTACGGAGGATGCGATGTGATGTGCTGTGCGTTGCTCTACTCAACGGAGCGCCATTCCCGTGGTTTCGCCTTGCTGCAGTTTCAGTAGATACCGGCTATTGATTTTGGTCTGAGACTCGCAGCCATGTGAACATTAGTGTTATTCTGGGTCAGGCCGTCTTCTAAGTGCTGTATGTTACCTCGTTATAGCGACCCTGTGAGGAGGGAACTGTTAGTAGCATTAGCAGTCTAGGAAAAGAAATCCATTTTGCCAGGCGCTTGTCCATCCGTCTGCGCACCTCCCCACCGTTCCATCCCAGGCGAGCAGTCTGTAACGTGGTGCAGTTTTGCCTGCGCTGCAGCCCATTCTTTCACCTCGCTTCATTTGGGTTTTACTTTGCCGTGTCATTGACAAGTTTTTCTATGCATTTGTTCCCATGTATGCATCACAGGTTATTAGCTGCGTCACCACGTGTTGAGACGCGCGAAGGGCTCTGTTACCTCTTCATGGTTTGAATTGTTACGTCACCCTGGCGTTCTTGAACAAAGAATTGGACAAAACACACAAAGCAAGGAAAGAAGGAAGCAACAAAAGCAGAGATTTGTTGAAAATGAAAGTACACCCACAAGGTGGGAGCAGCCCATGAGGCTGAAGGGCCCGGTGACACAATTTTCTGGGATTTAAATACCCTGTAGAGGTTTCCCATTGGTTACTTGGTGTACACCTTGTGTAAATGAAGTAGTGGACCATAATCAGTCTGATTGGTTGCAGGAGAGGACCAACCAGAGGCTGAAGCGAAGTTATAAAGCTATACCCTATGCAAACATCTGATTAGTTGCAGAAAGCAACCAATCAGAGGCTGAAGTTACAAAGTTATACTCCCATGCAAATGAAGTCTTGACCTGTGAACAGCCTCATTGGCTGTGGGAGGGGACCAATCAAAGGTACTTAGAGTTTATCTGCCACGTGGAAAAAGGGGGGTTGCAGAGGGAGTAGCCTCTGGTCCTTTTGTTACTTGGATGTGGAAAGTTGGGGTTTTCCTTTTGATTTAGTTCTAGGAAGTCAGCGTGAATTGGGCTTAGGTTTACTGCCTCCAGACCCTATTCTCCTGCCTCAGAATGGTCTCAGTTTTGATCAGCTGAGTCAAATGAAAATGAAGTCCTGAGACTAACGCAATCATTTGCAGCTGGATCCAGTTTAGGAAGGAGGCGAGTGATTAAAGGACCAGAAAGTCCGATCTAATTATATTCTAGGACTGATTTCTTCTATGTAGAGTAAAAATACTAGGGTATGTTCCAGACCCATTCAAAGGACTGAAATGTCCTTTAGTGAATGACCTCACAATACCTTCTGAGGGGTGTTTATTATTCCCATCTCACAGGTGAGCAGGCTGAGGCACAGAGAAACTGACCTGCCTAAGCCACGTAGCTCTGTTGATTCTTGGCCTGATATTCCCCCAACTTACTACAACCAACACAGAATTACAGTAGACCGCCATTGCCCTGCCATGGGTAAGACCTCATTGATGGGGACACGATCAGTTCTTCGTGAACCATTACTGTTGAAGCCACCATTCATCATTTCCAGCTGGTTTTCAAAAAGGTAGAATAAAGTTTTATGCGAAGAAATCAGTTTTCATTGTGAGAGCTACCCAAGCTAACTCATTTTGGGACTCCGAATAAGAGTAGATATTAAAAACACAAAGCAGAACAACTGCCCGGGAAAATGCTCTATGAAGGTAAGGTCTTCTTTCGAATATAAACAGTTCTGCAACCTAAAGGCTGTCAAAACTAGCCACTTTGGTAGGGAGAAAAAAAAATCATACATGTGAGTCTAAGAGGTGGAGGTGAGAATAAGCCTCCTGGGTCAGCATCTTCTCCACTATGGCCACTGAAAATTATTCATATTTGAGACTATCTTAAGTGGCTACAGTGGTCAGAGAATATGACATTACTAAGAAACAGAAGGGCACCTAATTTGTAGAATCAAAGCGGATCCAGCTATACTCACACAAAATGCAGTCAAATTATTAGAGTGTATCACTCAAAAGATGCAGAAAGGCAGACTGAGGAATTAAAACTCAGCAAGGATCTCCTGTGCTTTACTGTGCTTTTCTATGAATGTCACTGGTAAGATGGAATCCCTTGGATAGACCCCGCTCCAGGCCGGCAGGATTCTGACTTTGTAGGGCTTTTCATGTCCAACCCCAGCCAGTCTCTTTACAGTCTTGTGTATAACATACAAAAGACATATGCTGTGGAGGTTTTAAGTACTTAGAAAAGTATGAAAACAGAATTTGTGCCTATGTCTGTATATTGTCGCATTCTGGGGAGTGCCAGCTTGATCAGGACTAAGGGTCAGGATAATACCAAAAGTTTATGGTTTACTGTCATCTGCATCAACTGTCATTTCCCCAAAAGATGTTTCTGGTTCCCTTTACAAACGTCCAGCTGTGGTAGGAGGCTGAGCATGAAGACTTAGGGACAAAGCAACTCAAACGAAAAGCATTATGAGAGGTAGGGTTTGGTCAGCAAAGGCCCCATAAAGCAGGGTGTGGTCACTTCCTTTCTCAGAGGTCACTGTCCCCCACCTGGGTCAAGGACTAGACCTTCAAGAACTAGACCACAACCTCTGGGTCTTAAGTGAAAGGAAGGAGACCAGCTTTTCTGTCTACAGATGTATAGCCTCTGATGGGGCCACCTGGGGAGGCTGGGCCAGGAGCCCAGATGTACTGCCGCATGATACACCAAAAAAGGATGCACCCAGGCTTAGCTGCAGAAAGGTGAGAGAAAGGAGCAAAAAACTAAAATCTTAAATATTCATGTTTGTTTTAAAACAATTTTCGACACCAATATGTATTAAGAAAACACAAGTTCAAAGTTGAATTCAAAATCCCCTACATGGCTGGGCGCAGTGGCTCATGCCTGTAATCTCAGCACTTTGGGAGGCCGAGGCAGGCGGATCAATTGAGTCCAAGAGTTTGAGACCAGCCTGGCCAACATGGCGAAACCCTGTCTCTAACTTAAAAAAAGATAGAAAAATTAGCTGGGCATGGTAGTACACACTTGTAATTCCAGGTACTTGGGAGGCTGAGGCATGAGAATTGCTTGAACCCAGGAGGCAGAGGTTGCAGTGAGCTGAGATCACGCCACAGCACTCCAGCTTGGGTGACAGAGTGAGACTCTGTCTCAAAACAAACAAAAAAGCAAAATCCCATACATAAAAAAGATATGCTTAAGAAGTGAGTGTACTTTTACCACGATTTTCCTTTATATCTGGTAGCAAATACATGTTTTTTAATCCATGGAAACTGCAAAAATCAGTTACATGCATAGCAACAAAGGAAATCACAATTGGCTGGGTGCGGTGGCTCACGCCTGTAATCCCAGCACTTTCGGAGGCCGAGGCGGGCAGATCACGAGGTCAGGAGATCGAGACCATCCTGGCTAACACGGTGAAACTCCGTCTCTACTAAAAATACAAAAAATTAGCCGGGCGTGGTGGTGGGCGCCTGTAGTCCCAGCTACTCAGGAGGCTAAGACAGGAGAATGGCGTGAACCCGGGAGGCGGAGCTTGCAGGGAGGCGGAGCTTGCAGTGAGCCGAGATCGCGCCACTGCACTTCAGCCTGGGCAACAGAGTGACTGCATCTCAAAATAAATAAATAAATATAAAGAAATGTATTTTACCAGCCTGGGCACAAGACGAAACCCCATCTGTACCAAAAATACAAAAAATTAGCTGGGCGTGCTGGCGTGTGCCTGTGGTCCCAGCTACTCGGGAGGCTGAGGTGGGAGGATCACTTGAGCCTAGGGGGCGGAGGTTGAAGTGAGCCTAGATCACGCCAGTGCACTCCAGCCAGGGCGACAGAGTGACACCCCATCTCAAAAAACAAAGAAATGTATTATAAAATAATACAGATTTCAGTACATAGACACTCAGGCACAGCTAAACTGGAAGATATCAAGCCGTGATACTGACATATTCAGTGCATGGCCTCGGGTAGAATCACCATGAATGTGAGAGCTACAAATGCAGAGGCTTCAGTGCATGTTGTGCAGGGGACTCACACTGCGGACGCGGAGGGGGCGGGGGCTATTGGATAATACTACCTTCCAAAATTATGAACAACCCTTAGTAACGTTCAGAAAAAAACAACAAAAGGGCAATCAAACCTCAAACCTCAATGTGCACAGTTACAGCATTCCTGAGAAATTCACGTACAGTAAAGCTCACAAGATACTTGGTGTTTATACATAAAATGAAGTGAGGTCTGGACCCACCATGTCCAGCACAGTTGCCATGGGCCACATGTGCCAGCCACATGTGGCTACTGAGCACTTGCAATGTGGCTGCTCTGGATGTTGTAGACCTGGGATGAGAAAAAAAAAAGATGTAATATACCTCATTAATAATTTTACATTAGGCCAGGCGTGGTGGCTCACGCCTGTAATCCCAGCACTTTGGGAGGCCAAGGCAGATGGATCACCTGAGGTCAGGAGTTCAAGACCAGCCTGGTCAACATGGTGAAATCCCGTCTCTACTAAAAATACAAAAAAAAAAAAAAATTAGCCAGGCATGGTAGCGGGCACCCGTAATCCCAGCTACTCTGGAGGCCGAGGCAGGATGATTGTTTGAACCTGGGAGGCAGAGTTTGCAATGAGCCGAGATCACGCCACTGCACTGCAGCCTGGGCAACAAGAGCAAAACTCCAACTCAGATAATAATAATAATAATGACAATAATTTTATATTGATTTTATTTTTAAACATTTTAGATATACTAGATTAAACAAAATATAATTCTATATTCTATTTCTAAAATTCTATTTCCTCATTTTTACTTTTTATTTTTACTTATTTTTTATTTTTTTAGAGAGGGAGTCTCGCTATGTTGCCCAGGCTGAAATGCAGCGCCTATTCACAGGTGCAGTCCCACTACTGATTAGCATGGGAGTTTTGACCTGCTCCATTTCTGATCTGGGCCGGTTCACACCTCCTTAGGCAACCTGGTAGTCCCCCACTCCCAGGAGGTCACCATATTGATGCTGAACTTACTGTGGACACTCAATCAGCACAGCACACTACAGCCCAGAACTCCCAGGCTAACGGGATCCTCCTGCCTCGGCCTCCCAAGTAGGTGAGACTACAGGTGACTGCCATCGCACTCAGCTCATTTTTACTTTTCAAATTCAGCTCTTAGAAATCTTAAAATTATGGGCCGGGCACAGTGGCTCATGCCGGTAATCCCAACACTTTGGGAGGCCAAGGCAGGTGAATCACTTGAGGCCAGGAGGGCAACATGGTGAAACCCTGTCTCTACTAAAAATATAAAAAATTAGCCAGGCGTGGTGGTGGGCTCCTGTTATCCCAGCTACTCGGGAGGCTGAGGCAGGAGAATTGCTTGAACCTGGGAGGCGGAGGTTGCAATGAGCTGAGATTGTGCCACTGCACTCCAGCCTTGGCGACAGAACAAGACTCCATCTCAAAAAAAAAAAAAAAAAAAAAATTATAGATGCAGTTCACATCACTGGGCAGCAGCACGGATGTAGGTGGAGGTCAGTGGGACTTTGGAAAGTCTTACCGAGCACAGAATCAGACTTCGCTCTCTGGGACTGTCTGGCACATTGCACAACATCTGGTCTCGAACTCCCAACCTCAAGCAATCTGCCCTGCTTGGCTTCCCAAAATACTCGGATTACAGGCATGAGCCACCACGCTCGGCTCAGAATTCATATTTTAAGTACACATGAACATTTGCCACGATAGATTATACTGTGGACTATAAAACAACTCAAAGTCTTAATAATTGTAAAAGGATTTGAATTATACAAAGTATATGCTCTGACTCTTGGAATTAAATTAGAAATTAGTAACAGAAAAATATCTGAAAACTCTCCAAATACTTGGAAACTAAATAGCATACTTTTAAATAACTCATGGGTTAAAGAGAAGATCAAAATTAGGAAATATTTTGAACTTAACCAAAATGAAAACCCAACATTACAGGCCCACATGGGTTTAGTGATGACTTTTAACAAAATTTATGGAAGAAATAATACCAATTCCACACAAACTCTTTCAGAAAATCACAGAGAAAAGAATACCAAACCAGGTGTGGTGGCTCACGCCTGCAATCCCAGCAGTTTGGGAGTCTGAGGCAGGAGGATCACTTGAGCCCAGGAGTTTGAGACCAGCCTAGGCAACATAGAGAAACTTTGTGTACACACACAAAAAAAAAAAAAAAAAAAAATTAGCCCCAACTACTCAGGAGGCTGAAGTGGGAGGATCGCTTGAGCCTGAGAAGTTGAGGCTTCAGTGAGCTGGGATTGCACCACTGCACTCCAGCCTGGGCGACAGAGTGAGACCCTGTCTTTTTTTTTTTTTTTTTTTGAGACAGAGTCTCACTCTGTCACCCAGGCTGGAGTGCAGTGGCGCAATCTTGGCTCACTGCAACCTCCGCCCTCCAAGTTCAAGAGATTCTCCTGCCGCAGCCTCCCAAGTAGTTGGGATTAAAGATGCCTGCCACCACGCCTGGCTAATTTTTTTGTATTTTTCGTAGAGATGGGGTTTCACCATCTTGGCCAGGCTGGTCTTGAACTCCTGACCTCGTGATCCACTCACCTCGGCTTCCCAAAGTGCTGAGATTAGAGGAGTGAGCCACTGCACCCGGCCCGAGACCCTGTTGGAAAGGGAAGGGAAGGGAGGGGAGGGGAGGGGAGGGGAGGGGAGGGGAGGGAAGGGAAGGGAAGGGAAACGGAGAGAGGGAGGGAGGAAGGAAGGATGTCTGGGTTCATTATATGAAGCCAAATCACCTTGTTATCAAAGTCAAAGAAAGACAATATAAGAAAATATAGATTAATATTCTTCATGGACATGGATGCAAAAAACTTTTAAAAATTAGAAATTGGAAACAACTATTTCTAATTAGTTGGGACCACAGGCATGCGCCACCATGCCCAGCTAATTTTCTATTTTTAGTAGAGACAGGGTTTCACCATGTTAGTCAGGCTGATCTCAAACTCCCAACCTCAGGTGATCCGCCCACCTAGGCCTCCCAAAGTGCTGGGATTACAGGCGTGAGCCACCGCGCCCGGCCCACATGCCCAGCTAATTTTTGTAATTTTTGTAGAGATGGGGTTTCACCATGTTAGCCAGGCTAGTCTCGAACTCCTGGCCTCAAGTGATTCACTCGCTTCAGCCTCCCAAAGTGCTGGGATTACAGGCATGAGCCACCACGCCCAACCAGGAAAATGCAAATTAAAACCACAAAGATATCACCTTATACCTGTTACAATGGCTATTATCTTTTTGATAGTGAAAGAGGCCGGGCATACTCTCATGTTCACTGAATCATTATTCACAATAGCTGAGATATGAAATCAACCTGGGTGACCATCAACAGATGGATGGATAAAGAAAATATGATACATCTATAGACACCATGGAATACTATTCAGCTTTTAAAAAGAAGGAAATTCTGGCTGGGCACAGTGGCTCATGCCTGCAATCCCAGCACTTTGGGATGCTGAGGTGGGTGGATCATGGGGTCAGGAGTTCAAGACCAGCCTGGCCAAGATGGTGAAACCCTGTCTCTACTAAAAATACAAAAAATTAGCCTGACGTGGTGGTGGGCACCTGTAATCCCAGCTACTCAGGAGGCTGAAGCAGAGAATTGCTTGAAGCCGGGAAGCAGAGGTTGCAGTGAGCTGAGATCACGCCACTGCACTCCAGCCTGGGCAACAGAGCGAGACTCTGTCTCAAAAAAAAAAAAAAAAAAAAAAG
This sequence comes from Homo sapiens, assembly GCF_000001405.40. Classification (NCBI taxonomy): domain Eukaryota; kingdom Metazoa; phylum Chordata; class Mammalia; order Primates; family Hominidae; genus Homo; species Homo sapiens. Next base: position 37,212,992 of record NC_000021.9, on the reverse strand, counting down.
GGCCCTTCCTTCCCTTCCTTCCCTTTCTTTCCTTCCTTCCCTCCTTCCTTTCTTTCCTTCTTTCCTTCTTTCTTTCTTTCCCTTTCTTTCTTTCTTTTTTATTTAAGGCTGTCTCTTATGGAAAAAAAAATAAGGAAATTCTGTCATTTATGACAACATGGATGAACCTAGAGGGCATTATGTTAAGCCAGTCGGGCTGGGCATGGTGGCTCACACCTGTAATCCCAGCACTCTGGGAGACCAAGGTGGGTGGATCACTTGAGGTCAGGAGTTTGAGACCAACCCCATCTCTACCAAAAATACAAAAATTAGCCGTGTGTGGTGGCGCACGCCTGTAGTCCCAGCTATTTGGGAGGCAGAGGTTGCAGTGAGCTGAGATCATGCCACTGCACTCCAGCCTGGGAGACAGAGCAAGATTCTGTCTCATTTAAAAAAAAAAAAAAAAAAAAAAAAAAAAAAAGTAAGCCAGTCACAGAAAGACAAATACCACATGATTTTACTTGCATATGGAATCTAAAAAAGTCAAACTCATAGAAGTAGAGAATAGGATGGTGTCTACCAGAGGCTGGGGAGTAGGGACAGGAGAGAGAATGGAAATACGTTGTCAAAGGGTAAAAAGTTTCAGTTAGGCAGAAGGAATAAGTGTTCAAGATCTATTTGCACAGCAGGGTGACTACAGTTAATAATGCATTGTATATTCAAAATAGCTAAAAGAGTAAATTTCAGATGTATCACCACAAAAAAATAAGTGAGTTGGTGGATATATTTGTTAGCTTGATTTAACTATTCCACATTGTATACACATATCAAAACATCACAATGTATCCCATAAATATATACACTTATGATTTGTCAATTTAAAATAATATTCACTTCAAAAATTAGAACATTGGATTCAACAATAATATAAAAAGGATGGCCAAGTGGGGTTTATCCCAAGAAAGTAAAGTTGGCTTAACATTTAAAAATAATTTATCATATTAACAGATTAAACAAGGAAAACTTAAAATTTGATACATATAATCATCCAAATTGCAGAAAAAATTTGACAAATCTGTTATTGACTTCTGATTTAAAAAAAACTTTCAGCAAATTAGAACTATAAAAGAACTTCCTCAACCTGCTAAAGGGCATCTACAAAAAATCTACAATCAACATTATACTTAGTAGTAAAATACTGAATGCTTTCAGTCTAAGATGAAGAATGAAGTAAAATTGCCCACTCTCATCTCTTCTATTCAACATTTGGACTTAATTGCATTGTATGTAGTTCAGTAAGATAAGAAATAAAAGGCATCCAGATTGGGAAGAAAGAATTTAAACTATCTTTATTCTCAGATGACATGATTATTTATGTAGAAAATTCTACAGAATCCATAAAAAGAAGCTACTAGAACCAATAAGTGGCTTTAGCAAGGTTGCAGGATATAAAATAAATATACAAAAACCAATTGCTTTTTTATATCCTAGCAATGAACAATCAGAAATTAAAATTAAAGTAAACATTGTTAACAGCATCAAAAATAGAAAATACTTAGGGATGAATTTCACAAAAGATGTGCAAGATTGAAAGATGTGTACACCAGAAACTACAAAATATTCCTGAAAGAAATTAAAGAATACCTGAATAAATGGAGAGATATTCCATATTCACAGAGTGGAAGATTCAATCATGTAAAGGTGTCAAGTCTCCCTATATTGATCTATAGATGCTTAGATCAAAATCCAAGCAGACTTTTTGGTAAAAATTGATGTTAATTGTAAAATTAATATGGCAATAAATAGAATAGTCAACAGCAAAATTGGAAAAGAACAAAATTAGAGGACTTACGCTACATGATTTCAAGGCTCCAAGTTGAAATAACCAGTTAACTATATGCAAAAAGAAAGTGAACCTCAATCCTCATGATATAGCACATACAAAAATCAACTAGAAAATGATCAGAGACCTAAATGTAAGAACACTAAAAAACTTTGAGAAGAATAATCTTATTGACTTTGGGTGGTTTGGCAGATTTGTTTCCTCCTTCTTCTTTCCTTCTCTCCTCCTCCTCCCCCTCCCCACCCTTTCCCTTCCTCCCCCTCCCCCTCCCTCTCCCTCTCCCTCTCCCTCTTCTCCTTCTCCTTCTTCTTCTGAAAAAAGAGATGGGGAGGGGGGGATCTTGCTGTGTTGCCTAGGCTGGTCTCAAACTCCTATACTCAAGTAATCCACCCACTTTGGCCTCCCAAAGTACTGGATTACAGGCACAAGCCACCATGCCCAGCCTTGCTGATTTTTTTTAAATAAAAAAAAAACTAAGTATAAAAATAATAAGAAAAAAATAATAAATTGGACTTCATCAAAATTGAAGACTTTTCCTCAAAATTTCAAAAGACCGTTAAAAAATACTGTTAAGAAAATGAAAATGCAAGCCACAGACTTGAAGAAAAATTACAAAACACATCCGACAAATGACTTGTGTCTAGAATATATAAAGTCCTAAAAAGAAGCAACCGTCCATAAGACACATTCACTCGTGTGCCATGTCAGTTTACCATTGCCTTGGCAACACCCGGACATTACTTCCCCTTCCCATGGCAAGGACTCAACAACCCAGAAGTTACCACCCTTTTCCTAGAAACTCCTGCATAATCTGCCCTTTAATTTACATATAATTAAAAGTGGCTATAAATAGGACTGCAGCACTGCCTCTGAGCTGTTACTCTGGACGCACTGCCTATGGGGTAGCCCTGCTCTGCAGGGAGCAGCACCTGTGCTGCCGCTATGCATGGCCGCTTCAATAAAAATTGCTGTCTTAACACCACCAGCTTGCCCTTGAATTCTTTCCAGGGTGAAGCCAAGAACCCTCCCGGGCTAAGCCCCGATTTTGGGTCTCACCTGCCCTGCATCAGCCTCATGAGCAAACGTGAAGGGGAAAGCCACTGCAGCCGTGGTGTGAGGGTGAGCAGTAGTAAACAGGGGTTCCAAGGCTTTTGCCACCTGCATGCCTAAGAAGGTTTGGTTTTGGCATGGGAACCTGAGCTGAACCTTGGGGGACAAGTGGGTTTTGTATTAAGAGGAAGAAGCAGAATGGCTAGAGGAGAGAGTTGGCTTAGCAAGTGCAAATCCTGACATTTTCCAGTTACATGACCTTGGGGAAATCACTTAACCTTTTAGGTTTATTTCCTTGTCTGTAAAATGCAGGCAAGAGTAATCTCTTCTTCATAGGGTACTTGGGGAAATTAAATGCTGCAATGTTTGTGGACAGGTAACACAGTACCTGAAATGACCATTAGTAAATATCATGTTGGGAGATGGTGAAGAGCAGGGCTGGAGTGAGGGGCTTAAGGAAGGTCACATGGAGGTGGGAATTCAGATTCAGAGGCCACCACAGCCAGCTTGTGGGGTGTGGCTCTTGTTCTGGAGCCTGGGTTGAGTTTTTTTGTGTTTACTGAGCAGCTAGTATGTGCAAGGCACATTCATTTAACCCCAGCGCTCCAAGAGACTAACTTCTGAGGCCCCTGCTGCAGGGAGCAGGGCTGTGGCAGGGGTAGATGGGAGCTTGGGAAGGGGTTGAGGGGGCTGGCCCAGGCTTCAGTGAAACCAGGTGTGAGGAGGTAAAGTGAGAATGAGGCTGATGGCTTGGGGTGGGTAGCAGTGAGGGCAGGTGCTTGGGCCAGGACTGGGATCCATGGGTGCTCCCATGGGCCTGCAGGGTAGACCCACTGGCAGGACTGACTAGGTCAATTTTAAGCCACAGGAGAAAGCCGGTGGGGGTGTTGGAGGAAGCAAGGGCTCCGTAAGGCCCTGACGGATAGAGTAACACAGGTGACATCACATCAGAAATGCCCCCTACCTGGCCCCAGACCAAGTCCCCAGAGTCTAAGGCCACGTGCAAAACTAGTATTTCATGAGGTTGACCAACAAGCTGCACCGCCTGCCGCATGAATCCCTGAGCTGCCAGGCTCAGGCCACTGCCCCCCAGCCCCCACCCCCATCCACCCCCTGGGAATCCCCACTTCTGTACAATCCTCCAGGCAAAGAGCGGCTCTGGCCTCCTCGGGCTCTGGAAACACCCTAGCGGGCATCGCTCCACTGGCTTCTCTGCCTGACTGCCCGCCCCTGCCCCTACCTCCTCCCCCGTCCCTCAGGCTGCACTCAGATGACGCCGTTCCTGGCTTCTGTCTAAACCTGGGTCAAGTTTAGACAAAGAGACTCCCTCATCCCCTTCCCAGCTTCGTTTTCCTCGGGATCACCTGTGACCTCCCATGTATTGTGTGATTGTAGATGACATCCGTCTCCCCTCCTGCAGTACTGAGGCCTTCCATCATCTCTTCTGTCCCCTTTGTATGGAAGCACCTAGAACAGGGCAGCACATGAGACCAGATGAATGAATGGATGAGCCAGTGAACAGGTGAATGTGTGGAGTTCAGTGGCCCGTCCAGATGACCAGGGCCGCATGGCTCACCCCAGAGATAAAGCCAGATGCACTGGAGCCCCCGGGTAGAAGCGAAGGTGGAGAGGAGCCAGCTGAGGACACCAGACCCCTCCCCTAGGAGAGGTCCCCAGTGGGGGAGGGAGGAGGGGAAGGAGGGGGAGCTGGACAGTCTTCTGAAGGAAGGGGTGAGGCACTGTGCCTCAGCTTTCAAAGGTCTGGCAGTTTCGAGGTGGTGGCAGTTTGGAAACTGGAAGCAAAAGCGATGTGGCCTCCAGTGAGTCCCCAGTCAAAGCCGGAGTCCTGCTGGCGCTGGGGCGGCAGCCAGCGGCGGGAGGCACAGTGTGATCTGTTCAATGGCTTCCTCTTTTCAGAGGCTGCTGGCTCACCCCGCGGGAATGAGGTGGCACTTCAGGACATGAGGCTTGGAGCTGGTGGCAGATTTCTTGGAACTGGCGGTGGGGAGATCTAAATTAAGAGCTTTCTATCACACCAAATAAATAGAAACTGAAATAGAGGACTGAAGGAATTAGGCAGAATGCCTTTATACACAACTTCTGAAAAATACCTAGAATGGTATTTATGCACTGAAGTCCCAAGGTATTTGCTGAAAACAATGACAGGTCTGTTTGACACAAAGGCACATGTTACAGAGAGCAAGCTTGTCTCTTTGAAAGTGCCTGCCACAGGAGCCCTGTAACCATACCAGCTGCTCGTTGTGGAGGCTGTCCTGGCAAGGCCAAGGGACCGGCCCCAGTCCTTCCTCTGGGAGGTAAGATGAGTCACCTCTGGCATGGAGGTGTCCTCCTGGTGGCTTCTTTTTGGGCACTCCTGAAACAGACCTGCTTTGCATTCACATGCACCCTCTCAGGCAGGGCCTGGCCAGAGGCAGGAAGGGGACTTCCTTGGTGTTTCGTAGCACAGGACCTGTTGTGGCAGGGACAGAGGTTCTGCTGGGAGTGGCCCCCAAGGAACCACTAAGAGGCTAATGCAATGACAGACTCGGCCTGTCTCTGGGCCAGAGACGCTGCAGAGAGCAGTGTCTCCTTTCCAGGATGGCAGAGAACCAGGCAAGGCCAGGCGGTGGCAAGGGAAGTGAGGACCCTAGCCAAAGAGCAATGGGAAGGAGCTCTCTCAGCAGAAATCATCCCAGCAGGGTTTGCTGAGTGCCTGAATCACCATTTCAAATGTGAAATGAGAAAGGTATCAAGCACCACCAGACCAGCACCACCAGACCAGCAGAACTCCAGGCTTTACCAGCTTTTCCAGGGAAGCAAAACAGCATTTGCCAATGACTGTGGTGTTAGTACTCCAACGATGGTTGATTTCAAGCTACCAGTGTCACCCCACTAAACACAGAGTTGGGAAGAGTTGCATTATACGGTATTTCCACCATACAGATACTATAGACCTCAATAATCCCAACATAATAAGTTGAGGTAATCAGGAGTACATTGGTTTTTGATATAAGTGTATACATGATTCAATTTTTTTTTTTGTTTTTTGAGACAGGGTCTCACTCTGTCCCCCAGGCTGGAGTGCAGTGGTGTGATTACAGCTCACTGTAGCCTCTCACACCCCAGACCTTCACCCATGCCCCAGAGAACAGCAAAACAGGTCCTTGCTAAGTACATGGTCCTACCTGCTAGAACCAGGAAACTTCAAGACAACTTAAAATACCCTGTGTATTGGTCCGTTCTCACGCTGCTATAAAGAACTACCTGAGACCGGCTAATTTATGAAGAAAAGAGGTTTAATTGACTCACAGATCCACAGGCTTAACAGGAAGCATGGCTGGGAGACTCAGGAAAATGTACAATCATGGAGGAAGGTGAAGGGGAAGCAAGCATGACTTACATGGGGGCAGGAGAGAGAGAGCCAAAGGGGAATGCCACACACTTCTAAACTATCAGATCTCATGAGGACTCACTATCATGAGATCAGCAAGGGGGAAATCCGCCCCCATGATCCAATCACCTCCCACCAGGCCCTTCCTCCTATTCGACGTGAGATTTGGGCAGGGACACGAATCCAAACCCTATCACCCTGCCAGCAATGTTCTAATTTATATTTCCTTGGTGATTGATTTTGAACAAATGTGGCTATCAAAATGCCTACAAACCATCTGGATACTTGCGAAGTGCCTATTCAAATCTCTTGCCTATTTCTAATATATTGTTATCTTTTTCTTACTGATTTGTAGTTATTTGTACATTCTGGAGGAGTCTTGTTGGAAGTGTGGATTACCAGCGTCTTCCACTTCATGGTTTGCCTTTTCACTCTCTCAACAGCAACTTAAGAGTTCTTAGTGCAGACCAAAATCCAGTTTATCAACATTTTATTCTTGGAGCTAGTGATTCCTTAAAATCTTTGCCTATTCCAGGGGCAGGAAGATTGTCTGTTTTCTTGTAGAAGCTGCATTATTTTGCTTTCCATATTGAGGACTGTGATCCATTGGGAATTGACATTTGTATATGCTGTGAGAGGTCAAGCTTCATTTATTTTCATATGGAGATCTTGTTTTTGTTTTTGTTTTGAGACAGGGTAACTCTGTCACCCAGGCTGGAGTGCAGTGGTGCAGTCTCGGCTCACTGCAACTTCTGCCTCTCAGGCTCAAGTGATCCTCCCACTTCAGCCTCCCAAGTAGCTGGGACCACAGGCATGTGCCACCGTGCCTAGCTAATTTTTGCATTTTTTGCAGATGGGGTTTCACTATGTTGTCCAGGCTTGTCTCAAACTCCTGAGCTCAAACAATCTGCCCACCTCAGCATCCCAAAGTGCTGGGATTTCAGATGTGAGCCACCAGGCCCTGGCCCCCAAATTATTCTTCTTAACATAGTTAAAAGTCTCTTTTTGCCATGATGGTTTATCAATCCGACTTGATTAATGGATGACTCATTAGGATTTTCTAGTTTACTATTGTTTAGTTTCTGCATTCTTGCTAATATTTATCTTTTTTCACCTTTAAAGGGAGAATAGGAAGAGACAGTATAAAGTGGAGGCAATGGGCTGGGCACAGTGCCTCATGCCTATAAATCCCTGCACTTTGGGAGGCCAAGGCAGGTGGATCACCTGAGGTCAGGAGTTCCAGACCAGCCTGGTCAACGTGATAAAACCGTGTCTCTACTAAAAATATAAAAATTAGCCAGGTGTACTGGTGTGCATTTGTAATCCCAGCTACTCAGGAGGCTGAGGCAGAAGAATCGCTTGAACCTAGGAGGTGGAGGTTTCAGTGAGTGGAGATCATGCCACTGCACTCCAGCCTGGGCGACAGAGCTAGACTCCGTCTCAAAAAAAAAAAAAAAGTAGAGGCGATGATGGAACAAATGGTAACAGTTCTCACCCTAAGCCAGGGAGTCTGGACTACACACCTCCACTACAATGAGCCTTGCCTGGCCACACCGATGCTCCAGGGCATATCCCTAGTGAGCCCACCACAGGGCCCTGATCCTCAACCCAAACTGGATAGGAAAGGTTGACTCAAAGCTGCTCAGTCCGATAATTTGGGAAAGCCAAAAGGTGAAATGATCCATTGCTATAGAATCACAATATTCCTGAAGTCAATTCAGGGAGATCTCAGGAACAAAGCTGTTATTTTCCAAAACGACTTTGAGGTGATCTGATTTCTTCTTGCTCTTTTCACCACTGGATCGTGTTCCAATCCAGGCCACACTGAGGAAGTGGACTTCCTAACTAACGGCGGCTTTCCTACTGTACTATCCTACTCTTTCTTGTGCAATTTCCAGGCCCTTAATCTTAGTGACAGTTAGTTGTTAGCTCCGGTTATCACGAGTTTGTGTGCAGGCACTGTGCTGAGCACTTCACCAGGAATTTACTCATCTGTATACCCTCCCAGCTTCTCCTTCTGATACCTTCTTTCTTTCTGAGGTCATACTGCAGATGCTTTTTGGTCCTCATTCTGACCAACCATCCTATCACTTTACGGCCTCTGCTTTTTCAGCCTCCTGAGTAAGTACCTCAGGCTGACAGAAGGAACTTCCATCTTTGCTATTGTGTCTTCTACTGTTTCCTTTAATTCCCTTCTCCAGTCATCTGACTAAAAAACTACTCTAAAATAGTTTTACTGCTTCAGTTTGTGGTGTGTTGAGCACTTTGACCACCTGCTGCGACTGCACACACACACACACACACACATCCTTTATCCGTGGGAGATATGTTCCAAGACCTCCAGTGGATGCCTGAAACCACAGAAAATTCCAATCCCCACATATGCAATGTTTTCTCCTATACATATGTATCTATGATGAAGTTTAATTTATAAATTAGGCACAGTAAGAAATGAACAACTAGAACTAGTAATAAAATAGAACAATTACACTGTAGTAAAGATTATGTGAGTGTGGTCTCTCCCCCTTAAAATATCTTATTGTACTGCACTGTACTTGCCTATTTTCAGACCACGGCTGACCGTGGGTAACAAACTGTGGAAATCAAAATCACGAATAAGTGGGGGCACTTCTGTAGTCTTTGAGATTACCTTAAAACCGTAGTAACATTTTGCATTGCTGGGGCACCACTTCAATTTTATACCAGGCTATCCATTATTCATAACATAGATTAAGCAGTTCAGCAGGGAAAACTAATCTAAAATCTTTTTTTTTTTTTTTTTTTTTTGAGACGGAGTCTCGCTCTGTCACCCAGGCTGGAGTGCAGTGGTGCGATCTCGGCTCACTGCAAGCTCCGCCTCCCGGATTCACGCCATTCTCCTGCCTCAGCTTCCCAAGTAGCTGGGACTACAGGCACACACCACGATGCCCGGCTAGTTTTTTGTATTTAGTAGAGACGGGGTTTCACTGTGTTAGCCAGGATGATCTCAATCTCCTGACCTCGTGATCCGCCCACCTCGGCCTCCCAAAGTGCTGGGATTACAGGCGTTAGCCACCGCGGCCGGCCTAAATTCTTAAGGAATAGTCATTGCTTTAAATTAAATTAAATGCCATCAGACTAAAAATACGTACTGATAATACTTTGAATACACTTGAAAAAACAGAAGACAGATTTTGAAAATGAGCTTTCTTCAAATGAGCTTTCACTCTGTGAGTGCTCAGCATACCCAGAAGCCCCTCTATAGAGGAAACCCCATCGACAGCCTCAGTGGCCCATAAATCCACAAATGCCTCAAAAAATATACCAAGGAATGCAATTTATCTTCAACATCCTTATATGTATTCACATGAAAAATCTCTTAATTTAGCCTTAAGAAGTAAACTCTATCATCTCTGTGTGAACTCCTATAGTCGATCTTACGCAGGCACAAAGGAAAATTCTGACCCAGGCCCTAAAACGCCCTGAGATCCCTGGTCAGACTCCTCAGACACAGCATGGCGTGGCTGTTCTTTCCTGACGAAAGCACTCTTAAAATGTTAGCATGACATACATGTCCTAAGTTTTCCAGAAGAATGCATTTTTAAACTTCTCTAAGAAAGAATGGACAAGAGTGACAGTGAACTTCTCATTTTAGAATGTTCTTTATTCTGACAGTTGTTGGACAAATATAAGGCATGTTCACAAGTATCTGAAGTTATGTACAAAACACACTCATTCAACGGATGTTCCTCTTCTCCTTTTGTACTTGCTGCTGCAAACTGATCCTCATGCACGTTAACACCCATAGCGCTCAATTCTTATGGATATGCAGACAGTGTTTTGGGGACCACCGTGGAGAATCTGTTTCAAACTAAGGCGTGAGCTTCTAAGAACTAAGTCACTAAGACATCAGAACTCACAGTGAACAAAGGCAGAGGAAGGTGACCAAATCAGCTCATAAACTCATGACTCTAAGTTTCCAGTGGAACAAAGAACACATTGAAAAACATTTTTTGATCCTTCATGTTGGAGAGAAATGGAATGTGACCAGAATTCATGGTTCTATATTTACCACTGTCTAAAAGTCACAAAACAATATCTAATTTTTTCATGGTTTCTAATGCAGTTACAGTTTTGTTCTTAGGTCACAGTACAAGACTGCATGCATACTTTACACAAATATCAAACACAGAACGATTGTAACACAGATACCTCAGGGTTGTCTAAAGACACAGCTTCTCTTTTTGTGGTGGGGTGGGGAAGGAGAATGGTGGTGGCCATTTCCACACACAGCCTGTTGTGTGCTCAGCACGGCTGGATGCGGATCCCAAGCACTCGCTGACTGACTCACAGAAGAGGACAGAAGCTGCTAAGGAAGGCAGCGGAGTTCAAAGAGCAGGCTCCAACCGGGGGCTGGGATGACGGACACACAGCCTCGATTCCAGGGGGAAAAAGTCTTAGTCGATACTAATTAAAAAGTGTTAATGATTTTTGAAAATCAGATTACATCTATAAAAGATGAAAAGCAAACACTTAAAACAATCTAACGGGGGAACATAAAATAATAAAAAATCAAATGCAGATGGGATTTCACAAAGAGGAGATTTGAATCTTTTGGTCTAAATCAGCCAATATTTTAACATTAACTATAAATTATTAAAATATAGTTTGCTTATGCCCATCCTTAAAATGCAGAATCTTTGAGGAAAAATATAGGCATATCAGGAATACAGACTCTTGTAAAAAATTTAAAAAGTCAGTATCATCTCTCTTGTGGAGCTACCAGAACAGGTTTTTCAAACAGAAAAGGGGAACAAACGTGGGGAACAAACGTGGGGCGCTTGGCTATGTTAAGAATTCTTATCACTAGAATACTGCTTCGAGACGTTCATAGTACTTTCCAAAAGAAGCCACCCACCTCAAAGAGCCCTGCGCAGCCCCAGTGACCCATGAGTGTGGTAGCCGTCATTTTATTAGCCACTGTTGGCAATCATCAAAGTATTCACTCAGAGTGGGGAAATTACTTAATATCAGCGATATTAACGATTTCCATGTATTTAGCTTTGTGACACACAATGCACAAGGGTCTTCAAATGTTTGTTTTTTACACCAGTGGTAGAAAATTGTCATTCTTCGGATTCAACACACTGGTGGATGACACTTTAGTGAAGTGTGACTACCTAGAAGAGCAGGAAGGCAGCTCCTGATTCTGACTGGGCCAGCCTCTTCCAGAAGGTGACTCTTCTGTCAGGAGATCACGACCCTGGCAGGCCGGGCAAGCGCTCTGCCCTTTAAGCCACTGCTTAAAGCACTGAAAAGGAGAAAACAAAATCAGAAGATGCCTTCAGGACCATGAGGAAGCTTAGCTCCCCTGTGCTGCTGGGCTCCTTGGCAGGCGTGGCTCACTTGCCCTTGGTCTCTTGGGCCTGGAGCTGCCCAATACTCAGGGACACCAACACCCGCTCAGGCCAGAGTGTGGACAAAGCCCCAGCCGCAAACGATCCCACCTCAGGGTCAGATCCTGAGCGCTCTGGGCCTCCAACCTGGCCTCAGGGGGTGGTCTTGCCCTGATCCCCGGTTCCAGGCTCGGCTCTTCCACTTCAGCTGCGCCAAATTCCAGAGCCTGGCATTCTCGGCCCTATGACCCAATCACTCATTCTTAGCCCATCCCTTGGCCTGGCCTTGGCCCTTGGCTCTGGAACAGCCCTCCAGCCTGCACGCCACACTCCTGCTGCTGCTGCCCACACTGCAGAGGCTGTGGACAGTCAGCTAGCCCAAATATAAGACCCTGTACCCAAGGAGGCACACCACACCAGAGACTTGGCAAGTGGTCTCAATTCCTTTCAGTGAGCATGCTGTATTTATCCCGTTCCAAGGGATTAGCAAATCCCCATGGCAGAGACCTGATCTGTTCTAACCCAGCAGCAGGGGTGCACACAAATGCTCACGGTACCTAGAACACCATGATAGTTCACACACAGATCCCAGAACGGTACGAGCAGGACTGTCCCTGGGTCAGGCAGAAGGGACTCAGCTAGGTTTAGTTTTTCTCCTCTAAAATGTTAAACTGACTTCATATACTACACTAAGTCAAAAAAATGGTTTCACTGTTTCTCCATTTAGTCAAGTGTGTAAGAAATCACCTTTCAAGGAACTAATACTGCTTTGAATCTCAGCACTAACGAGTGGCTGGAGCTGCTGTTCCCCTCTCCCCACAAGGGATGGAAAGGACGGTCTCCAGAGCTGCCCTTCCTGCAGAGCTGGTGTGAGGACAGGGAGGCACTGAACACTGACACGGGAGGTTTGCAAAGAAAATAGTTTGAAAGCACAATAAATACTGATGACTAGAAAACAATTCCTTTCTTATTTTGAAAATATTTGAAGGTCCCAATGCATGCTGTAAGGATGGCCAAAAAGAGCTCTTACCCCTTTGTGATACTTGTGCCCACATTTGAGCACACGCACGTTTTTTGATTTGAACACCTCGTGGCATATTTCACAGGAACTTGCACCCAGTGCCTGTGGAAACAAACACACCTGAATAGTAAAGAATAACTACAGTTGTTTTTATGACACGAGTTCTTCCTTCAAGTGGCCTTCAAACATCTTCTGCCACAAAGGGTGGCAAATTATTCACAATTACAGCTAAACAGTCTGAGGAAACAACTTATTTTTTAATAGCATTTCTTAAGAAAAAATATAAAAATACAAAAAGAAAAGTATAAAGTTCTAATTTCCTCAGAGAAAAAACTGTTTTATGTGACCAGAAGATCCCCAGGTGAAGATTACCATACCTAAAGTACAGTATGGGATAATCACATGGCATGGTGTGAATTAATCATACATTTAATCATCTAACAGTTGAGGGTAGTAAATTCCAACACATCCACACAATGGGCTATTGTGTAGCCAAAAGGAAAATCATGACGGAAGCCCATAATCCCTGACATAGAAAGCTGGCCCCAACAGCCTGCTGAATGAAAGCAGCTAACAAGACAACATGTATCATATATAACTCACTTTTTAATAAAGGGGCTGCATGTATACATACATGCCTAGAAAAACAGTTAACAGTGGTTGCCTCAGGGTAAGGGAGATTTAATCTTTTTCTTTACTATTTTCTAGTTTCTATGAGCATGGATTACTTGTGCAAATCAAAACAAAACAAACGGATGGCTCATCCGGCAAACATCCATGGGCAGGGTTGGTGTCGGGTGCTGGACGCAGAGATGAATGGAGGGCTCTGGCCTCAGCGGCTCACAGTCTGGTGAGCATAGACAGTGCTTTCGATGTGAGAGCAGACCTGAGTGTCGCCTGGGACTCCAGGCACAGTTCTCCCTGCAGCTCACAGCACTTACCCTTACTGCACCATTAACTTCTACTCTAGCTCACTGCCTCTTAACTCTGAGCGCCTTGAAGGCACAAAATGAGTCCCATCTGGGTCTTTAGCAGCTGGCAGAAAACCTAGCTCAAACTCATGCTCTAAAAACCCCTGCTGAGGGAGTGGGCGAATGCAGGCAGCCCTGGCAGTGGGATCAAGTTCAGGGAGTGGCACTGGAGGCATCACCCCAAGGCTGAGAAGACCTTGAACTGCTGTTCAGGGTTTTGCTGTCTCTCCCAAGGCATGACTCGGCCCAGGAGGAGATGGGGCAGATGCTGCAGAAGGAGGGTTCATGCCCCTCCACTGCTGCCCATGACTCGAGGGTCAGGGAAGAAGAGGAAGTGCCAGACCGGGGAAGAGCCATTGAAGGCCTCTCCAATGCCCAGTGCAAAGCTCGGAGCCAGGTTTAGTTTGAAAAAAATATACACTTAACTTGACCGTTTTCTATTTCCTAGAAAAGATGGGCACAGTATATTTCTAACTAAAAGAAAAAAAGGACAACCACAATAAAAAAAAAAATGGAAAACAACCAAAACATTCAGCCCCTCAGAGAACATACAAAGTGTGACTAGCGTATTCAGTTTTGACTAATTCACATATCCATGCATTCAAGAGTTTAGAAAAATATATACCAAAGTGGTAATACTGATTACAGGGCGGGTTTTTAAATGCCCTTTTTATTTGTATTTTCTATTGTATGTAATACTTTGTAATTTGAAAATTAATACTTTTAATTTTAACAAACTATGGTTATCAAATTAGGTCCCAGTTTGAACACATATTTTTCTTTCTCATACAATCTGGTGAAGTTTCAGTAAGTCAGCTTTTATATCTTCGTTACTACAAACATCCATCATGAAGCAAAAACAGAACCCTCTTCTCCAGGCAATCACGGTCTATCTTGGGGTGGGTGTGGCCACACGACACATTGACACATCTGTGTAATTCCAAAGCCATGGTTACACAGAAGAAAATTATTCAAAAATGATTTCCCCAACTGTTCAAAATACCACACTGGATGTACAAAGTTCATGTACTTGACCATCTGCAGCAAAACAAGGGCAAGAGAGAGAAGGCTCAGATCCCCCACGATGGTCAGAGCCCTTGTCACTCATGTGCAGGGGCTTCTCTCCATGCTGGGCCCAAACGTATCACAGCAGACACCATGACCTCGGCCATTCACTGATTGCTCTAACTGGACACATTCAAGTACATTGAAATTCAGTTTCTAATGTTGGGATCAAATAAATTAGGTCTAGAAATGAATGGGGCTAAATCATGGATTAAAAATTTTGTTTGCTTCTTGTTTTTCATTAAAAAACAAAACTATACAGTTATACATACAATCCTCACAGGGACATCTTCTGCTTTCTGCCCCTTGGTTTTGGGTGATGGTGCAACAACCACCGAGGGTGAGCCCTGGGAGGACCTGGTCACGGGGGTGGCAGAGCTGGGCTCATAAGTCCTCTTGTCCTTTCCTGGGTTTGGCTGCGAAAATAACAGGGGTGGCGGGGAGGGGACAAGAGGGAAGCAACCAGTTATCCAACAACTTGACCATCTTCTGTCTTTAGTACATTGCTCTCTAGGTTTTGGTTTGAAGCTTTTTTTTTTTTTTAACAATTCTCATATTTTATAAATAAATAAGGATAAACTGGAACATCTAGATAAAATACCTTTTTCTTTTTCTGTTCATCTAGAATGTGTTCTGTCACTCTTTGGACAATTTCATCAATACTCAATCCTGAGAGTGAGTTCTTGTTTTTGCTTCGCACTTTTTTAATAAAACCAGCAAGCTCAGTGCTGAAAGGGAGAGTGAGTGATGAATGACAACAGAAAGTTCTCTACTGCTAAGAAATATTACATGCCAATATTAATCCAACAGCCCAACCCAAAGAAACAAAGACAAATGCACATAAAATTAATCTGAAGACCACTGATAACAACAATAACTATCTAAAAAGCATAACTTTTTTTTTTTTTTTGAGACAGTGTCTCACTCTGTTGCCCAGGCTGGAGGGCAGTGGCGCGATCCCTGCTCACTGCAACCTCTGCCTCTCAGGTTCAAGCGAGTTTTGCCATTTTTTTTTAAGAAGAGATGGGGTTTCACCATGTTGGTCAGGCTGGTCCCGAACTCCTGACCTCAGGTGATCCACCTGCCTCGGCCTGGCGTGAGCCACCATGCCTGCTGGCTAATCATATTTTAACTGCCCCATTGTTTACAAATTTCAATTTTGAAGCCTGTAATTAACACTGTCTCAGAAACTGAAATAATAGGGCACATGCCAAAGGTCATTCCTGAGCATAGAGTCCTTTGATCCGAGCTGCACTTCAGAGACACCGCCTCTACCTCATCATCTTTCACAGCTGAGACAAGAGGCAACTCTGTCCCCCTCGTAACAACCTGAACAGCGGAAACCAGAGGTGGAGGCAGAAACGCTACTGAAGAGCCTGCCATCATCCCAACTCTATTTACAGCTCTTGCTCACTCAGGTAAGGGCAGCTTTTTCCCACATTCACAAGGACCCCTTGTTAACATGTCCACATGCCCCATTCACTATGGAATTCCATCCAGTCTTCAACCTCACACTCTAACAAATCAGAGGTCTTATATAACAAGGTTTAAGTTGCTGCTGCCTTCTTTGCTATATATAATTTTGTCCCCCCAAATGATGCAAAATTATTGTTTTGCGTTCATTTATTGATACTATAACACTAGTTTTAGACAGTGCTATTGGTCTCATCAAAATCTTAGCAAATTGTCATGGGTTCTGATGAATATTACCCAGTGCTCAATGTTTTCAATTTACATATGCACATTAAAAAATTTATTTGAGGCTGGGTGTGGCGTCTCATGCCTGTAACCCCAGCACTTTGGGAGGCCAAGGCGGGTGAATCACTTGAGGTCAGAAGTTCGAGACCAGCCTGGCCAACATGGTGAAACCCCACCTGTACTAAAAATACAAAAATTAGCCAGGCTTAGTCATGCATGCCTATAATCCCAGCTTCTCAGGAGGCTGAGGCAGGAGAATCGCTTGAACTCGGGAGGGAGAGGTTGCAGGGAGCCGAGACTGTGCCACAGCACTCCAGCCTAGGCAACAGAGTGAGACTCTGTCTCAAAAAAAAAAAAAAAAAGAAAGAAAAAACCCACCAATTTATTTGAAAATACTTATCTCTATATTTACAAAAAGAAAGAAATGTAGCAACTGTCTTTCTGAGCAAAACAATTATGCAACCCTTTTCATGTTAACACCTAACTAGCCATGATTTTATCTAATCAGGAAACCTCAGTTCGATAAAGTATTAAACACAGTCACAGACATTTTCTGTTCATACCTGTTGTAACATGGGAATACCACTGACAGGTGCTCAATAATACTATTGAACGGCTTTTTTGGAGACTGGCTTGAACGCGCAGCACGTCCTGGAGGAACAGGCTGCTTCCGATCAGCCACAGGGCTTCGTTCTGACAGAGCTGCCTGGCCAGCCCGTTTTGGCCCTGTCAGCTGAGTGGCTTCAGGCTGACCAGGGGGTGGCCCTGGCAACAGCGCAGAAGGAGCCTCCCCTGGGGAATCACCAGCAGAGAACACACTAGGATCCCTGTGAAGTGCTGCGTGGTTTCCAGTCACGTCGCTTGCAGAAGTCACAAGCCCTTGGCCATCGTCGCCTGAAGACTCAGGGAGTAACTCGGGATGAACCTGTGAGGAACACACCACACCATGGATCACTTAGGGCTTCCCTTGAAGGATGAAACGCCCAAGGACAAAGGCCGATGAATAAATACAGTAACGCAGCGCAGAGGCTCCGTGCACAGGAAACCTGAATACCATGAATTAAATATTTTCGTTTTAAAAGAATTCTTGACAATAACTTGTTAGTTATTAGAACAAGAGTAGGAGGGCTCAGACTTCTAAATAATTATCTCTATAAGTCACTATTTTCTCTGTAAGATGAGACCATTTTGCCTGCCTACTGGCCCTCCTTCAGCCTCTACCTGGTTACACTTTTCCCCTTCTGAGCTAAACCATGTAGCTGACAGATGGAACATCATGGCCACCACACTCCCCAGAGCTGTCTCCATCCCAGGGGGCCGCCTCCTCTTCCCTGCCAGCTCTCCTGGCAGCTCTCAGGCCTCCGTCCACGCCTGCAGTGCTGACACTCCTCCCCATGCAGCTGCCTGAGGCCAAATCTTTTTAAAAGTTTGCAGTCTAGAATATTTTCCTGAGATCCAAATCTGCAAATCCACTTGGGTGATTCCAAGGCAACTCAAAGTCAGTGTTTTGGAAACCAGCCTCAGGCAGCCTCCCCAGTCCTGCTCTTCCCCTAGTACTCCTGGACGGAAGCCCAAGACTCACCCTCAACTCCCACGTGGACACATGGGGCCTGGTCTCCTGAGCAGCATGGCACCTGTAAATGTACCCCCAATCACCTCTCACATCTGTTCTCTTCCCTCCACCCCCACTGCCATGCCCCATCCAGGACAGGCTGATGGCAATAAACTGATAATCGAACAAATGGAAATCACTCAAGCCCCTCCCCAACATTCCCCCACATTAGTGGCAAGCTCATCTTCAAAAAGCATAGTAGCTTCCCGTAATCCTCAGGGATACATTCTGAGACCCCCCAGTGAATGCCTGAGGTCGCAAAGAGTACCGAACCCTACATATACTGTACATGAATTTCTTTTTCCTTCTTCACAATATCATGGGTAGATTTGTTCTGACCATAGATCTTAGCAACCTCAGGATACGATCTTTTCTCTTTCCTTATTGGGTTGAGAACTTTCAGCTTTTCACTTAAAGGAAGCAATATATTGCTTCTCTATGGCATATCTGATTGACCAGCATCATTACTCCCATGCTTTGGGGCCATTATGGAGTAAAATAGGGGTGACTTGAACACAGGCACTGGGGTAACGCGAGAAGTTCATCTGGTCACCAAATCAGCTTCTAAGTGGCTCGCGGGCAGGGAGCAGCAACAGCATGAAAACACTGGACAAAGGGAGGAGGTCACAATGTGACCATGTGAGAATACAGATTTCATCACGCTACTCAAAACAGTGTGCAATTTAAAACTTAGGAATTATGTATTTCTGGAATTTTCCATTGAGTATTTTCTAACTGCGGTTGACTGCGGATAACCGAAACCACGGAAAGCGAAGCCATGAAGAAGGAGGGACTCCTGTTCTGCTGCTGTTCCCTTATTTGAGACCTATCCTGTCTGGTCTAATGAAGCTAGAAGTGTCTAAGCTGCTGTAACACAGCTTAGAGAAGAAGGCTCCATTGGCTTTGCCCCTGCGTCATACTGGGCTTCTATTACAGTATGAAAGGAGTGTGTTCTCTGTCTCTCTAGGCTCCAGGAGCACTGTGTGTTCCATCTGGAACTCTAACCGTCCAAACACACCCCTCTCACTCCTTTGTCTGGTAAGTTCCTATTGCAGATCTCTGTCTCTGGGAGACTTCCAACTGGGAATCTCCCGCTGAGGCCACACCTCTAGATTAGGTTAGTGGCCCCTGATCCACGCCGCTCCAGCATTCTGCCATGAGAAACCTCACTCTGCTGCAGGTAACAATGGGTTTAAAGTCTGCCTTTCCCCAAGTCCATGTGCACTTTGAGGGCACAGCCCACATCAGTCTTTATCACCACTAATTACCGAATGAATGAATGAGGGAGAAATGAGATACAAATAATTTTTAGGCACACTTATTACTCAAGCTCCTGGCACACTAAGAGTTCCCAGAATTTAGGATATGAAAATCCTTTTGAGTATTGATAAAATAACATAAGCTAGGATTACAAACTAACAGTAAAATATCCTATTGAGAGCCAACGTTTTCTCTATACATATCTGTTACAAGAACTTGGAAAAACGATAAATGATAAGTGCCCTTTAGTGTAATTCTAACTAAAACTGCACATTCAATGGAGAGAAAAAACTGGATCTCAACAGAATATTTTACTCAGTTCAGGGTGGTCACACTTTTTCCACACTTAATTTTTTTTTTTTCAGATGAATTCACAGTAAGTTTGAATGTTTACTGTGCAAGGTACTGGTGAGAAAGAGACATTCAAGGCCAGGCTGAGATCTAATGCACATGAGAGAAGGGACACAGTGGGAGGCCAAAAGAGGGCACGCCTGACGGGGTTTCAGGGGAAGGCAGGATGCAGAGCGGGGACAGTGCTCCAGGCTAGGAACAGCCCAGGCAAAGGTCTGGCAGTAGTGGGAGGGTGGAAGTCAGGTGCTGGGAGAGAGTCTCCTCCGTCTTTAGGAACCAGAAGATTTCACTGTCCTGCCACAACATTCTGGAACTTATATCTTTCAACTCTCACACACAGTCCTCCTTTAATTTTGTTTTTCTTTTTTACCTAAGTTTTCTCTCAAGATCTAACTTTAAATTCCTATGGTCTGATCTCCTCTGGGCCTAATTCATTTCAATTTAGTATTTACTAAGCATCTATCTATGTCCAAATCTAAGAAATATGGGTTTAGCCATGTTGTAAAGTCCACAAAATGCAATTAATGCTTTTCTTTACTGTGCTGTGTATATTAAAATAAAAAGACAAGATTATTCACTGTTATTAACAAGATTCGGCAAATACCTCAAACAAATAGTAAAATATGATGTGCCGGACCAACAAAGCCCTGTATGCCTCAGGCATAGCAGCTTTTATTCTGTATTTGAGGAGGAAACCTCTTAATTTTTAGATTTTGGTCTTATGTCCCAAATATCTAGGAATAAGAGTATAATCTGAGGTGGTGATAGCGGCCTGCTTGAATCACAAAAGCAGTGCGCAACAGGCAACTGCTACTCCTGGATTATTTGTTCAAAGTCAGGAATACATATACAACACACACACACACACACACACACACACACACAAAGATAGAAGACAGGCCAAGGAACATGAGAGTGATAGAAATGTAGCAATGGTGTATTCATCTCAGTCCATCCCTCATACAGATGTAGAAAGACTGATCTATTTTATATAAGAATGTTATAAAGCTTAAAAGGTTAATCAGTAGCACCAATAA
Source organism: Homo sapiens (assembly GCF_000001405.40). Classification (NCBI taxonomy): domain Eukaryota; kingdom Metazoa; phylum Chordata; class Mammalia; order Primates; family Hominidae; genus Homo; species Homo sapiens. Next base: position 37,192,339 of record NC_000021.9, on the reverse strand, counting down.
TGAAACATTAAGGCAATTATTAACCAATCTCATCCTCACTCCCAGGAAACAACAACAAATAACTACTTTGGCCAGTTAACAAATGAATTATGGTTTAAAAAAAAAAAAAAGATGTGCTAGACTTACCGTGTTACAGGCAGGAAATGAAAGCTCAGAAATCTGCACTTTAGAAAGTTCACTGAGCCGAGAACCATTTTTAATTGCCTTAATTTGTTCTTCAAACTGAGACTGTGAGTAGAAAGTAAAGTGTGGGAAAACCACAATTGTCAATTAATACTTTGTTTCTTCCTACACATTATAAATGAAACATAACTGTCTTGGTAAGGAAATTCAAAATAAGACCTCATTAAACCGAATGCTCCAAAGCCTTTTCAAACATAACTCCTCTAATCTTACCAATCAAGGCAGAGGTCAAGATGGTTAATTTAATTAAGAAAATATCACTACTTCCGGCTGGGCGCGGTGGCTCACACCTGCAATCCCAGCACTTTGGGAGGCCGAAGCGGGCAGATCACCTGAGGTCAGGAGATCGACACCAGCCTGACCAACATGGAGAGACCCCATCTCTACTAAAAACCAAAACCAAAAACAAAATTAGCCGAGCATGGTGGCACATGCCTGTGATCCCAGCTACTTGGGGGGCTGAGGCAGGAGAATCACTTGAACCTGGGAGGCGGAGGTTGCAGTGAGCCAAGATCGCACCACTGCACTCCAGCCTGGGCAACAAGAGCGAAACTCCAACTCAAAAAAACAAAACAAAACCATTAGTTCCATGAAAAGCTCATAATACTTTCAACAAAAAAAATTATTGATAATAATAGATAAAAAAGAAATAGATTCAATATGACACCAGCCTCCCGAGAATTATAACTATCATAAAGATTTTGATGGGATTAAAAGATGTTTACAACTTACCTTTGCTTTCTCAATTTCTTTTGTAACATTAGAAAGAAACAATTCCCATGAACGTATATCAGACTCCATGTCAGGATATGCTGCAGGATCACTGAAAAAGTATAATATAAAACTGCTTTAGAAATTTTAAAAATTAAAAGCACTTACGGTCAAATAAACATCTAAACATGAGCAAAAGAGACATTTAACATAATCACATACACACAAAAATCCAACTATTTTTAAGGAATTGCTTATCTTGTAAACTTGCCACTAGAGACACTTTAGAAAATTTTAATTATTAATATAACAAAAACTCTAAAACCGAAGGGCAGAGAGAAAATAAGTCTCCTGAATTTTAAGTTCTTTTCCCAAATTTGAAAGTTTGACCGTTCTTCATCTGACATCTTTATGTTTAATATTAAAGACAGCGTCTGCATTTAAAGATTTTTTAAAAAGGTAGTCTGAAACATTCAAAAGATTCCAATCAAACCCTAATCATTACCTTAATATAAAAATAAAGGATGAGCCTAAGATAAATTTATAATCTCAGCACCTCATGAATCTCAGCACCTCATGAATCTGGTCTATTGAAAGTGACAGATAAATTGACTACTCCTAATTGAGAAGATCAAAAACACTACCAATCTGTGGGTATAGTAAGACCTCATTATACATATTGAAGAAAAAACAGAGCATTCTTTTTACCCCTTTTCTATGTTTCTATACTTTGGTGGAGAAGGCAGAGTTAGCATGGCATCCTGAAGAAAGAATCTTTGTATACTCTACCGTTTATTGGAAGAGTTGATACTATTAGATGAAATGAGTCTGAGATTATCTTTGTTTCCCAGATGAGCCACAATGCAGCCTATGGTGGGTGCTTAGTACAGGCGGTTGACTACCACTTGGTCTCAACCTCAGCTGTACTAGTCCTATATTCTAAATCAGCATTTTACTTTTAATCAGAAAAGTTTTCTCATGAAAAAAAATTAAATCTTGAAAATGAAGAAGGGGCCGGGCATGGTGGCTCACACCTGTAATCCCAGCACTTTGGGAGGCCTAGGCAGGCGGATCACCAGGTCAGGAGTTAGAGACCAGCATGGCCAACATGGTGAAATGCTATCTCTACTAAAAATACAAAAATCAGCCTGGCGTGGTGGTGGGAGCCTATAATCCCAGCTACTCGGGAAGCAGGAGAATCACTTGAACCCAGGAGGCGGAGGTTGCAGTGAGCCGAGATCACGCCACTGCACTCCAGCCTGTGCGACAGAGCAAGACACCATCTCAAAAAAAAAAAAAAAAAAAAAAAAAAAAAGAAAGAAAAAGAACTATACACTAAAACTGTCCGTGATTCACACAATCTCTGGTTCAATGCTGAGGGTTTGAAATTTGAATCAAAAGGCAAGCACCAGGAAGGATCAAAACCCTGGGATTAAAAACACAAAATCTGTGTATAGAACATGGTAAAAGGACTCAATGAAAAGTAATCCCACATAGAGAAGTGCTAAGTACTAGGGTGAAGAAGATCCTCTAGGAATCCCAGCAAGCCTTATCTTAAAAACAAACAAGGCCGGCCGGCGTGGTGGCTCACTCCTGTAATCCCAGCACTTTGGGAGGCACTCCTGTAATCCTAGCACTTTGGGAGGCCAAGGTGGGTGGATCACAAGATGAGGAGATTGAGACCACCCTGGCTAATATGGTGAAATTCATCTCTACTAAAAATACAAAAAGTTAGCTGGGAGTGGTGGCGGGCACCTGTAGTCTCAGCTACTCAGGAGGCTAAGGCAGGAGAATGGCGTGAACTCGGGAGGCAGAGCTTGCAGTGAGCCGAGATCACGCCACTACACTCCAGCATGGGCGACAGAGCGAGACTCCATCTCAAAAACAAACAAACAAGAACAAGGCCAGGTACGGTGGCTCATGCCTGTAATCCCAGCACTTTGGGAGGCTGAGGTGGGTGGATCACGAGGTCAGGAGATAGAGACCATCCTGGCTAACATGGTGAAACCCCATATCTACTACAAATACAAAAAATTAGCTGGGCATGTGGCACGCGCCTGTAATCCCAGCTACTCGGGAGGCTGAGGCAAGAGAATCGCTTGAACCCAGGAGGCAGAGGTTGCAGTGAGCCAAGATCAGGCCACTGCACTCCAGCCTGGGTGGCAGAGCGAGACTCTGTCGCAAAAAAACAAACAAAAACAGGTAGAGATTATGTGGAGAGTTGAAAAAAAATTAACATGTGTGAATATACTTTGTAAACATTCTCGCATGCTGTCATGCAGACTGTTAAATAATAGCTACTATGGAAAGCAACTTGGCAAAAAATTTTAAAAGCCTTGAAAATGTGATCTTCATTCCAAATTTTACTGCATGGAAATGACTAATAATGTGCATAAAAAGTTAACTATAAGGATGCTCACTGCAGGGTGGCTTATATTAACACAAATTCACAAACAACTCCACTGTTCCAGCACAGCAGTGTTTGGTAAATCATGACATGTTTCTATGCTCAATTACTATCCAACTTTTCAAAATTAGGTTGGAGATATGTAATTACCAATATGAAAATAAATTTCCTATATACTATTTAGTAAAAATAATTCATAAATTTTCATTTTTTCAAACACTTCATGAATTTATTCCAAAATACAAATGTTATCTATCCATTTAGAATTAGGAATGATTTTTATCATTTTTGTTTGTATGTCTTAACTTTTCTACAATTGAACATGTATCAATTATATAACTATTAAAAATAAAATGGTCCTAATACAAAATAATGTTTTTCTCAAATGGTCCTAGCTTTATCTTCTAAATGACGTGCTGAGAACACCCACGAAACTGCAATACCGGCTAATCAGCCCCAGCTTCTTCAGAAAGGCTTCTGCTTGTGACTCCATGATCTGTAGCTTATACACTTCACTCTCCTTCCAGTTTTCAAGTACGGATACCTGCCAGTAGATCAGAAGACATATGAGTATTTTACAAATGACAGCCTGAAACTATTTTAAAGGTTAAAACTTAAACATTCAAACCACTTTCCCATTTCTCCTTAAATGAAGCATGACAGAATCATCAGAACTTGATTGTATCATAGGTGAACATGAATTAGACTTTGAGATTTGAAAACAGAACAAAATGACATCACAAATGCATACCTTCCATGATCCTTTTTGCAGATATGAATAACTGTACATGGCTTTCTGCTTAAGCTATATATAAGCACAGAGCCAGGTTAACTGCATGTGTACACGAGTGTGCATTACCTATGGTCCTGCAGCAGAATAACCCTTAATAAAGGCTGCATCCTCTGCAAGTTTAGAAAAGCCTCAGAGAAGCTGTTCTCGGCAAGGGCATCAAAAGCTTCGGGGTATGCTTTTAAGATTTTAGACTCTCTGTGGCTTCCCCACAAACCAACTGGCCATTTTTGTGAGAATCACTGCAGGAAATGTAAAATGGCCTCATGGTCCAAATGATCCATTAAATAGCCTTTTAATCCAGGTGTCAGTAAACTTGACAGGGCCCACCAGGCAAACCTGCTTACCAAACGGTGGTGTGAATTAAACAAGCTCAGGAATACGGATGCTGGTGTAGGACCCAAAAAGTATTCATACTTTGGCTCTTTTTCCTTTCCTGTCCTTAGAAGCAGGTGCATAGTCAATTCTTAATTGAAAAGCCTAATGTTTGCAGACTGTATAAACTAAGTCTTTTCTTACTTTACCAGAATAATCACAGACACATATGCCAATAAATATCATTTGTTTCTCAGCTACAGAAACATAGAGAATCATGTTTCTGGAACTAAATAAAATACAGCCAGATGTCATAATTTTGATTTTTGTCTCAGTAGTTTCTGAAACAGTGTACTGACATTGCTATATATTCTTCTAGGGGCAGAAGGAGCGTATTCTTAATATGTGGATTATTTTCAAGTTCCTTTCCAAGTATTGGCAAATATGGTTGGCTACTTCATGGTACATCACTTGATTAAATATGATGAAAGTATTCAAAGTGTATAATATAGGAAATGGCTGAATTATAATGGTAAATAAGGAAGGCAGGTTACAAAATTTGGTGTACACTATGAGTGCATTTAAGTAACAACATAATACCGGTAAAACATTACAAGGCTATAGGCAAGGAAAAAGAGTGGTCGTTTTAGGGAGGATATATTATGGGTTACAGGATATCCTTTATGCACCACACTTTTCAGTAATGTCTGTTATGCCTCATATGTCATTAAAGAAACACAAAAACAAATGACAAATGCCATAGTGGTCACTAAGTGTCATGGACTCACCTCTGCAGCCACAGCTCTCTGATGACTCTCTTCATAATCCTCTTTCCCTTTCTTTATATACTCTTCTATTTTCATTTTCTCATTTGTAAGTGTGTTGCTACAAATATTGAAGGAAAAAAAAAACTTTCTTGAACAAAATTTCACAGTGAGATGACAAAGGTTTCAGGCTGGATGAGCTTTGAAACCACACCACGATAGCCTCAGCTACATCTTCCAGAGCAGTTTCTCATCTCATATTTTACTACACAATACACAGGCTCAAGTGTGCTCTTTGTGCTTTATAAGTGATCAAAGGCAGATATGAAATGGAAGTGCACATTAGGTGGGCATGCTGAGAATCAAGGTGAGGGTACTGTTCCAGTTCACCATTTTTATGAGGGCAGGTGGAGTACAATCTGGTGACATTAATAAACTGTATAGGCCGGGCACAGTGGCTTAGGCCTGTAATCCCAGTACTTTGGGAGGCCAAGGCAGGCGGATCGCTTGGGCCCAGAAGTTCAAGACCAGCCTAGACAGCATGGCAAAACCCTATATCTACAAAAAATACAATGGTGGTGCGTGCCTGTAGTCCCAGCTACTCGAGAGGCTGAGGCGAGAGAATTGCTTGAGCTGGGAGATGGTGTCTGCAGTGAGCAATGACTGCACTACTGCATTCCAGCCTGGGTGACAGAGCAAGACCCTATCTCAAAAAATAAATAAATAAAAATTTTAAAAAGTAAGCTTTATAAAACATTCCCTATCCTTTGAGCCAGAAACTCTGTTTTGACGCATATTACAAGGACAGAACCCAAAGGGAAAAAGAAATCTGTACAAAATTATTCAAAAACCGGGATGGGAATGTGCGTAAGAAACAATAGTGAGAAAAGCAGAATGCAACTGCTTATCACTGAATGTACTGGTTAGCAGTATGTGAAAACATATTATTTCCATTAGCAAGCAAGGGTTAAAAGGAAACTTTGCATAGATTCATAGTAAAAATTTAATGAACCTATAATTATAAAGCAATAACAGCAACAAACTACCAGCCTACAGTGGAGACGAATATTCCAAGTAACACAAAAGAAAAGTTTTTACAACATGTTTATAGTTTCAAGTTAATCCAAAAAAAGTTGACAACAATAAATTCAGTATTTTTATATTGACAATGGGAAATAAATGCAGAAATCTTGTAAAATAAAAATATTTAAATATTCAAAGAATATATTTATAAATTAATTTTTAAAATGCAACAGAAATAGAAATAAAGAAAACAGAAACATAATTATTTAAAAGAAATAGACAAGCAACAATATATTTCAAAGTCTACTGTGCTTGTACTCCTGGCATTAAAAGTATTAAAATATATTAAAAATAAATTTAAGCTTAATTTGCCTGATTTCAAGGGACTGATCCAGATGTAATTCATGTTCCTTTTCCTTTCCATCATTTTTCTGGGTATACCTATAAAAGCATAATCACCAAATATTAATTAATTTTGAAAAATTTTTAACAGGACCCCCACACAGTAAATTGCACCCATATCCTTAAAAACATTTCTTGATTTTTTAATATATATATTTTTACATTTTGTTTCATTTTTAGTATCTTCTAAATAGGAAAATAATTTGAGGTCATTTCCCTTTTGGGAAATTTTCCTTCCAGATCACCTTTTTCTTCACTCTAAGTCATATGCTTACAGGTAAATCACCCTATCTCAGTCTAAGATGTGCAGCTCAAGCAGAGAACACAGGTACTGCGGCATCATCATCAGTGTAACCAGAGATTCTTATTCAAAATGAGAAGATGTGGATTCTCATTCAAAATGAAAACAGCCTTCTACTCTTTAAAACAGAACTTAAAGTCAAAACAAGCATTCATGCACACACGCGGGTGCGCACGCACACACACACTCACATTCTCTGATAATCCTTCAAAACAAGTGTGTGAATCTCCGATTCTTGAGCCATGCCCTGCACAAGGCGGGTTCTGCCTCTTCTTTCATGCTACCCTGAGATACCTTTGCAGTCATCTCTGTTTACTAAAGCCGCTTGTTTCTAATACAAGCCAGTTTAACTATTATTTTACTTCTTTTGTAAAACACTTCCTCCCTCCTCTAAATAGACAAATACTGGGTGACACTCTGACACTCTCATGGAAGCCCTGCCTTCTTTCATAGCCATCTGTGGTTTGTGTCACTGTACCAATCATGAGCTCTATGTTCTAGTCATTTCTTAACGAATACTAAGTGTGATCAAGAGCACAGAAACATCCAAGAAATCATTTTTCATGTCCCTTGTGCATCTCTGAGAAAGAGATCCAAAAAGTTTAAAGATTTTACTTAAAAATCTAAATAGAAAAATTGAGCTTTAAAGCATTTATTTGGAAAATGTAAAAAGCAGGCCAGGTGCAATGGCTCATGCCTGTAATCCCAGCACTTTGGGAGGCCGAGATGGGTGGATCATCTGAGGTCAGGAGTTCGAGACCAGCCTGGCCAACATGGTGAAACCCCATCTCTACTAAAAAAAAAAAAAAAAAAATAGAAAAATTAGTCAGGCGTGGTGGTGGGCACCTGTAATCCCAGTTACTCGGGAGGCTGAGACAGGAGAATTGCTTGAACATGGGAGGCAGAGGTTGCAGTGAGCTGAGATTGCACCATTGCACTCCAGGCTGGGTGACAAAAGCAAAACTCTGTCTCAAAAAAAAAAGCAAAAAACTTAGAGAGAAGCGTGTGGCTTATCTTTAAATTGTGACAGGAAAGGTAAAGAAATCTAATAATAAAATGGAAAAAAGTCAACAATAAAAAGTTTATTCTCCAGCAGAAATTAACTTTTATGCTAGTACAGAAAAAAAATTTCTTATCATTAACAGCCTCTAGTTACCTTGTCTAGTTTGACAGTATGTCTGAATTGAACAAAAAAAGTATGTTAAATATAAATATTTCCACACTTTTTAGTAACAAAATGACCAAGACTGGTCATGCTCAAATATTAGAGGTAAAAAGCTTTACAGACATTATTGTTTCCGTAAGTGTGTTCTACTAGTGAAGCTACTTTGATCATCAAAATGACATGACACAGGGAGTGAAAATTCTGAGGCAGTGTTTTACTTTTCCTCATTGTTTGAGGACTGCCTAAATGTAATGCTAGCAAGACTCATAATGAAAGTCATCTGATCATATGGCATGCGGCATGGAAAAACACAAAAGCCCTTGAAAGGTGAGTGTGTAGCGTGGCCCCCCAGTGAACCCAGCCTCCCATTATTCATGCCCTTGAATCTGGACCAAGCCTATGACTTGTTTTAAGGAATAAAAGGTAGCAGAGATGATGCTGTGACAGTTCTGGGCCTGAACCTTCAGGAGGCCTAGTGGCTTCCACTTCTGCACCATTTGAAGTCCTTAGCTACCATGTAAGAAGTCTGGCTATCATAATAGAGATCATATGGAAGGACCACATAAATAAAAATCACAGAGAGGCTACACAGAGAGAAAGTGAGGCCAAGCCACCCCAGCATCCCAGCTGAGGCCACCCCCAGTCATCACCCAGCTAAATTCAGCCACATGAGGACTCCTGGCAAGACCAGCAGAAGAATGGCCCAGCTGAACTCAGCCCAGATTGCAGGACCATGAGCAAATACAATGGCTGCTAATAAAGAAACTGACTTTTGGGTGTTTTCTTACACAGTGGTAGAAAACAAGCTGAAGAATTTGACCTATCACTGTTAAGAGCAGAGGGAGGTTAGGGATGGATCACAGAGAATCTTAAAACACACTCTTGGCCCACCTGACAATCATTCCTAGGATCTGTATATGTTATCAAATCGTTCACACTACAAGACAAATTTTAATAATTTATAGATTCAGGATAAAAGTAATTATAAATAATCATCACAGAATCTTACTTTTGAAAAGAACCTTAGATTTTAGACCAGCCCCCATGTTTTGCTGATAAGAAAAAAGAGGGCCAGAGAAAGGGATGGTGTTCAAACTGGAAGGAAGTCAGTTCCTTGGGGATTCTCAGTTCCATGCTACTCTCACTTTTATATAATTTATCTGAAAAAATGTTAAGTTTAGAAAAAAATTCAGGTGAGATAATTACTCAATGAATACTTTTTTAAATGAGACAAAACAATGAAAACAGTATTCATTTTTACTTTACTTGATGTAGTTTAATATTAAATATCAAAAATGTGAAAATAACCAAAAGCCACAATATTTTTTTTTAAATAAAAATTACTGCCTTTCAATCATTACTTACATTTCACTGGCATTTGAAACCTTTTTAATTTTCTTCTTCAGTGATTTTAGTCTTTCTTGGATTTCTTTTTTTTCCTGTTGCCATTTTTTAATTTCTCTTTCCAAATCTTGAAGGAACCAATCTAATTCCGTCTTTGAGATCTAAAAACATTTAGAAAGTACTTAAATAAATGGCAAAATATACTTTTTAACAAAAGAGACTGAAAGGCTAGAATTGTGACGGTGCCATAGCTTAAACAATGACCTAAGTTCAGTGGAACACACTCCCAAGCTGGCGCCCTGTGGCAGACTATGCCCCCCAGCCAAGCCTGGGACACCAAGTCACACCAGACAGCCACATCCTACCCGCTACGTGTACCTGATTACAGTAAGACACCCCGAAGAACCACTCCGACGTGCCCAGAAGTGTTCACACTTACTCTCCAGCCTAAATGATTCTCTAATCTACAGGGAGTGTATGCATGTTTTAGTTGGCAAGGCCAATAGTTTTTGTTTGCTTTTATAAATATAAATGTAATCCTCTTGCTGGTCATTAAAGGCATTTGGGTTGAGATACCTGCCAGAATTTCAGGCAGTGTGACAAAGAGAAATGAAAACCTCTTTGGAGACAATGCTAGTTACCGTTCCCCTGGAGGGTTTGGTACAGCACCACTTGACACCTAACCCTCTTTGTCAACTTCCTATGTAGTTGCTGGTTTGAAACTTCTGAATCTACACATTCTCTAAAGGTTTGATGTCTTTTTTGAAGTATCATCTATTTAATTGTAGCAAGGGGTTTGGGTGGGGCACATGCTTATAAATACCAGTCACTTATAAGTAAAACATTCCCTATGTTAATATTTCTAATAATTAATTTAAACGTGAATCAAAGCAATATTTAAAGGAAACAAATATTTTCTAGTTTAAAATCTCACTATTATCAATGACGGCTTAATGAAATCCTAACTTCACATTTGCTTTAGGGAAACTTTTAATTTTTTACTTCCTATCAGGTTCCCTACAGCCTGAACTTCCTGCTTAGGCTTAGAGCACACGTAGGTCATTTCAGCTATAGAAACTCGAGGTCTTCTCTGTAAGAAAGGACACTAAAGTCAACCTACATGGATTCCATAGGAAATCATGGCCCTCAGGTCAAAAGCTCTATCAACTTAAGAGACCACTACTCCCTCTTCAGCCTTAGACACCAAGGTTTTCATGTTTTTTAAAGGCAGATTTGCTAACCAGTCAAGGTCCTTTAAGATTTCTGAATCCTACAGCAGGGATAAGGTTGATTTTGGCACAGGACAACTGTTCTTAGGTGGCAAAAATTGAACAACAGCTCAGTAATGTTCCCTTTAACATAGGAACCAGTTCTTCCCACATCTTCTTAGCTGCAACCTTGTTGATCCTGAATTTCTTGAGTCATTACTGTGACTGAGGTGACCACCATGCCTACTCTACTTAAGAATCCTGTGTTCCACCTGGTTCGGTTCTACCAGGACCAATGTGAATTTGTATGCCTTGCTGCTGGCAGCCAAGCCAATCTTGTTTCTCACCTATCCTGTGCTCCTATTCTGAGCCAATGATCTCACCTGGGATCCATCCCTTTGGCTGGGAGATTATGTGCAACCACAAGGTTATGCTGAGGCATAAGAACCTAGTTGGCAACAAGTACCTAAGGGAGTTCAAGTATCAAGAAGCACAAAGTATTATAAACATATGTGCACATACATACACATATAGCTCAGGCAACGAAAATACCACATGAGTTCATCTTCTGTTTGTACTAACCACTGCTGAATGCCATAGCTGCCTCACAATGCTAAACAGGTCAGCTATCACGAGCTTGTTTCTGACTGCATGGAAGACAGAATGATCTCCTGAACGTTTTTCTTTCAAACTTAGCATAAAACAAATAGGCTATACACAACTGTATCTGCTATATTACAGTTTATTGACATAACTATAAACAATTTCTTTTTCTCAATTAGGAAAAAACTTATCTTTTTTATTAAACCTCAGTGTTGTTCTAAAATAAATATTTGAGGTACCTTTGATAATATATACATAAATATTTAATTTTTTTTTTTTTACATTTTCTAAAGTTTTATTGTTTCATTCTTACTGAAATTAAAACATTCTTTTTTTTTTCTCCTTATAAAGCCATTTTTTTTTATTATACTTTAAGTTTTAGGGTACATGTGCACATTGTGCAGGTTAGTTACATATGTATACATGTGCCATGCTGGTGCACTGCACCCACTAACTCGTCATCTAGCATTAGGTATATCTCCCAATGCTATCCCTCCCCCCTCCCCCCACCCCACAACAGTCCCCAGAGTGTGATATTCCCCTTCCTGTGTCCATGTGATCTCATTGTTCAATTCCCACCTATGAGTGAGAATATGCAGTGTTTGGTTTTTTGTTCTTGCGATAGTTTACTGAGAATGATGATTTCCAGTTTCATCCATGTCCCTACAAAGGACATGAACTCATCATTTTTTATGGCTGCATAGTATTCCATGGTGTAAAAAAAAAGATAATATATACATAAATATTTAAAAGACAAAATAAAAAGAATGCTAAGCAGATAAAGAAAACAGAATAGAGAGAGAGGAATGACAATACAAAACCATGAGTGAGAGTAATATAAAAATGAATGGCATGCAGTCCTAACCATTCTTTAGAAATAACATGAAAACTTTCTGGCAGACAAGGTCAAAGAGAAAATATAATGAACTGTACAATTCAATATAAAACATAAAAACAAACCAGTTGCACAAGAGAGGCCCTGGAAGTGATGGCAGACAGAAGGGCCTCAAGAAGAGGATGCTGCAGAAACGCCCCACAAGACCAGCACAGAGCCTGACACTTAAGAGAACATTCAAGAAATATCTGTCACATGAAAGAATGGATAATATCCCCAACTCCATACTAGCAGTAAACAAAGCAGCAAACTTCACAGAATGTGAGCCTGATGTCCTCTGATGTAGGCTGATAGAGAACATGAAAACACAATTCATTAAATGCAGCTTTTCAGGGGCCAAGCACACACTGTTTGATAAACATTTGCAAAGCTCCTAGTTTGTATACTAAGCTAGGTGCTGTCAACCAAAGATAATTTTAAAAACCACCCTTCTGGGGCTGGTGGCATGTGTTTGTAGTCTTGTCTACTCAGGAGTCTGAGGCAGGAGGATCCCTTGAGCCCAGGAGTTCTACCTTGGCAATACAATGAGACCCCCATTCAAAAAACAAACAAAATGAAAAACAGTCCTTACTTTCAAGATCACAGTTTGGTAGAGAAAATATGCATAAAAGATAATTACTATACCATACTATTTGAAAAATTAATGTGAAATGGATCACAGACCTAAATGGGTAAGCAGTGCGCTTGAAGTAGACGGGTTTCTTAGCTATGACACCAAAGGCACAAGTAACAAAAGAATAAGAGAAATTGGACTTAGTGTACTCAAAGTAAAAACTTTTGTGCTGCAAATGATACCATTAGGAAAGTGAAAAGGCAACCCACAAAATGGAGACAGGAGATACATTTACAAATATGGAAGATGGAAGTAAATATGTGCAAATCAAATATTTGATAAGCAACTTGTATCCAGAATATAGAAAAACTCTCTGTTTTTGTTTTTTTGAGACAGGGTCTTGCTCTGTTGCCCAAACTGTAGTGCAGTGGCAAGATCATGGCTCATTGCAGCCTCAACTTCCTGGTCTCAAGTGATCCTCCCACCTCAGCCTCCTGAGTAGCTGGAACTACAGGCATGTATCCCCATACCTACCTAATTATTTATTTAATTTTTTAATTTTTTTGTAGCGAGTGAGGGTCTCATCACATCGCCCTGGCTGGTCTTGAACTACTGGGCTCAAGCAATCCTCCTGCCTTAGCCTCCCAAAGTGCTGGGATTATAGGTGTGAGCCATCATGCCCAGCCCTGTTTTGTTTCTTTTTTTTCCTTTTGAGACAGGGTCTCACTCTGTTGTTGCCCAGGCTGGGGTGCAATGGCATGATCCTGGCTCACTGTAGCCTCAAAACCCCTGGGCTCAAGTGACCCTCTCAGCTCAGCCTCCCAAGTAGCTGGGACCACAGGTGCGTACTATCATGCCTGGTTAATTTTTTAACTTTTTGTAGAGATGGGATTTTGCCATGTTGCCCAGGCTGGTTTCAAACTCCTGGGCTCAAGCGATCTTTCTGCCTTGGTCTCTCAAAGTGCTGGTTTTATAGGTGTAAGCCACCGCACCTGGCCCAAAAACTCTTATAAGTCAATAATAGAAAGACAAACTCAATTCAAAAATGAATAAAGGATCTGAGTAGACATTCCTCCAAAGAAGATATACAAATGGCTAATAAGCATATGAAAAGATGCTCAACATCATTAGCCTTTAGGGAAATAAAAATCAAAACCACAATGAGATACCACTCCATACCCATTAGGAGGCCTAAATAAAAAGACAAACGATGATAAGTGTAAGTGAGAATGGAGAAACTGGAATCCTTATATACTGCTGGTAGGATGGTTTTGGAACAGGCTCGCAGTTCCTCATACGCTTAAATGTGGAATTGCCATATGATCAGCAATTTCACTCCTACATATATATCCAAAAGAAATGAAAACATATGTCCAAAGAAAAACCTGTCCATGAATGTTCACAGCAGCATTATTCAGAATAGTGAAAAAGTGGAAAGAACGCAAATGTCAATCAACTAGTGAATGAATAAAATGTGATATAGTCATACAATAGAATATTATTCCACAGTAAAAAGGAATGACACACTGATACATATTAACATAGATGGATGTACATGGATGAACCTTGAAAACACTATAGGTGAAAGAAGACACTTATAAAAGACTACATGTAACATGATCCATTTATACAAAATGCCCAGAATAGATAAATCTAGAGAGTAAATCAGTGGTTGCCAAGGGCTGGGATACAGGAGAGAATGGGGAGTGACAGCTAGTGAGTATAAGATTTCTTTTTAGGTTGATGAAAATGGTTGAAACTTAGATTGTGCTACACACAGACCTGGGCATATATCAAAACCATTAAGTTGTCTATTTTTAATAGGTAAATGTTATGCTATGGTTAATTATATCTCAATAAAGATGTTATAAAATGATAATTACCATCTCACATAGTCATTATTACCACCACTGCATTAACAAAGGCCTGTAAGCAAGCCTGAGGTTGCCATCAACAACTGTTTCCTCAAGAAAGTGATGCCCAAAGGAGAAGCAGGAGGGAGTCAGGCTCAGGGAGAAGGAAAACCACTCCAGGCAGAAGGGATGGTACTGGGAAAAGGTTTGGAAGTGAGAAATCGAATGACAAACATTATCCATTAAATTAGAGAACAATGTAGAGAACTGGCAAGGGAGAAGGCGGAAGATGAAGCAGGCACCAATCACAGAAGGCTCTTGGTAATTACTGAGTGTTAGTAAATTACTGGCGCTGACCTACTGTAGTGGAGGGATGGCATTCATAGCTCCATCCTTCACACTCTAGCCATTCCATTTATCATGTGACCTTGCAGTTCCCTTCGCTAAGGAGGCAAAGTCTATCTTCCCCAGCCCGGGCTCTGGCTGGCTATGTGACTGCTTTTGCCGGTGGGGTCTGAGCAGACCTGAAGTCAGTAGAAGCTTGAAAGGTGCCGTGTGGCCATCTTTGCTTGCCTTTGCACCTTCCTACTGCCTTCAGAATAGGATTTTCAGGGTGGAAGATGCAAGACATGTGGAGCAGAGCTAGTTGTCCCAGTCATCCCAGCTGAGGCCATTCTAGATCAATCTACAGCCAGCTGAACCCAGATATGTAGGCAAGAACAGCAAAGATGCTGCAGAGCTCTTGCTAGCCCTAAGGTGAACTGACCCAGCCGAGCCCAAGCAGGACCAGCTGATCCAGACTTCTACGCTTAGCGATTACAGTCATGTGTCACTGGGGTTTTGTGGCTGGGAGTCACTCAGCATTATTATGACAGTGATTAACTGATATGCCTACACTGCTGTAAAGTGGTGAGAAACATTCCTAACAGTTAGTTGAACTAGGCCGTGGAGCTGACCTTCTCTTAAGGGAGAACAAATGCATGGGCTCTGAAGCCTGACACAACCTGTTCTGCCACTTCGTACTGGTGTGGCTTGGGGAAAGCTGCATCAGCTGCTCCCACCTCCATTTCCTCACCAGTAACATGGAGATTTATTTATGTACTACAGTATAACACTATTGTATAAGGACTGTTTTGAGATTAAATACATGTAAAAACAATTGAGTGTGGCACATAGTAGGAGCTTCATAAATGATAGATTTAAAAAAGGCTGAACTTGACAAGGACCCATGACTGAAGAGGAGAATCCCACCTCTGCACCAGTGTGGGCTGAGGAAGTTTTGGCAGGCAGGGCCAAGATTCTGTTCTAATACAGACAAAGGTCCAAAATTCTACCCTGTAAATTATTCTGGGCCAAATAATTTGACAGTGTTTTAAGACCTAATGTTGACTCAATGCCCATTTTAGCATCTCATTAAAGCACCTTAAGACCATATGTCCTGGGCAGATAGGGAGTGACTGATTAATAAATATGGGGTTTCTTTTTTGGGGTGATAAAAGTTTTCTGGAATTAGACAGTGGTAATGGTTACACAATAATGTGAATATTCAAAAAACCACTAAATTGTATACTTTGTAATGGTTAAAACAGCAAATTTTATGTTATGAGAATTTTATTCTCAAACAAAAATGAACCTATGTCCTTCAGCAATATTGCAACCAGTTATAACCTGCCAGTCATAGGTTAGGGTACAATAAAAACAACAAGAGATTCTGGCTTTAAAAAAGCTACTTTTGGCCAGGCACGGTGCCTCACGTGCCTTTTGGCCAGGCACGGTGCCTTCCCAGCACTTTGGGAAGCCGAGGTGGGAGGATCACAGGAGGTCAGAAGTTCAAGACTAGCCTGGCCAACATGGCGACACCCCATCTCTACTAAAAATACAAAAATTAGCCAGGCTTGGTGGCGTGCAGCCTGTAATCCCAGCTACCCAGGAGGCTGAGGCAGGAGAATGCTGGAACCCGGGAGGCAGAGGCTGCAGTGAGCCAAGATCATGCCACTGCACTCCAGCCTGGGCGACAGAGCAAGACTCCATCTAAAAAATAAAAAAAAAAATTTAAAAAGCCACTTTTCCGCCGGCAGAGAATAGATAACTGGCCTAATTGCCTAAAGAGGCCATTCTTAGCTCATGAATAATAATAGAACCCCATCAGCTATATATAATACCTCGCTCAGATTTTTACTGATGCTTAGTATATGCTAAGCATTCTTTTTTTTTTTTTTTTTTTTGAGATGGAGTCTAGCTCTTGTCGCCCAGACTGGAGTGCAATGGTGCGATCTTGGCTCACTGCAACCTCTGCCTCCTGGGTTCAACTGATTCTCCCACCTCAGCCTCCCGAGTAGCTGGGATTACAGGCGCCCACCACCACATCAGGCTAATTTTTGTAATTTTGGTAGAGATGGGGTTTCACCATGTTGACCAGGCTGGTCTCCAACTCCTGACCTCAGGTGATATACCCACCTTGGCCTCCCAAAGTGCTGGGATTACAAGGATTACAGGTGTAAGCCACCGTGCCCGGCCTGTATATGCTAAGCATTCCTTTTTTTTTTTTTTTTTTTTTTTGAGACACAGTCTCGCTCTGTTGTCCAGGCGGGAGTGCAGTGGCGTGATCTCGGCTCGGTGCAAGCTCCGCCTCCCGGGTTCATGCCATTCTCCTGCCTCAGCCTCCTGAGTAGCTGGGACTACAGACACCCACCACCATACCTGGCTAATTTTTTTTTTTTTTTGTATTTTTAGTAGAGACGGGGTTTCACCGTGTTAGCCAGGATGGTCTCAACCTCCTGACCTCGTGATCCACCCACCTTGGCCTCCCAAAGTGCTGGGATTACAGGTGTGAGCCACCGCGCCTGGCCATATGCTAAGTATTCTTAAAGTGGTTTGTAAAAAAACAATTTGCTTAGCAGAGGCACAAGCAGAATTTTGGGTGGGACAGTTCCTCCTTGAGTACTGTACTTACTATCTCTGGCTAGCCCCTGTCCTTTTTCAACCACCCCAGGTGAGGCCTCACAAAGCTGTGAAGTAGACAATACATTATTAATGAGAAGACCGAGGGTCAAAGAGGCTGAAGAAATTGTCTAACATCACAAAGCTACTACATGGAGGTGCTAGGGTGTGGTATGGGCAGTGGGACTCTAATGCACTCAGATTTCTATAGCTTCCCTGTTTTTCTGTTCTCTATAAGGGGCTGGGTATGCATTTGCTACATCCAAACATGGCATCAAGTAACTGGAGTATAAAGGAAAAGTTGGTTAGCTCATAACCTCAGCAATCTGCAGTCAAAGGCCAAAGGGACATATCAGGAAAAGCCACTCATTTCTTTCTATGTTTTAAGAAATTTCTCCATGAGCTATGAGCGTAACCACCATTAATAAAGAAATGACTGTGGCTAAATCTCATCTACTCTTATGTGGACACCAACCCAAGGAACTCAGATTAGCGACTTATCCTGGTAGGGAATAGGTATACATTTTACGTGGCAAGTCTAATAACTTATCAGGCCTGTGATCTGGGGGGCTTAGTAATTGCCCTTTTAAGGCACTCTTGAGTAGGGCCACGCAACAGCAGACTCAAAGCCTTAACAAGTTAAAAAAAAGCCTGAGAGCTGGGGCCCTCCCACTGGGTGCTTTATTTCCGAGACTCTTCTGGACTGACTGTACAAAGAAAGAGCCTTGATGAACTGTGCACACAGAACACACAGTCAGACCAGCAATTTATAAAGCCAGGAAAGCCTCGGCCAGAAAGAAAGATATCTCACCGGCTGAATGCTACCTTTAAGACTATGTCTCCAATCTGCCTCATCACTCAAACAGGCAGCTACAGGAATTCCCACATGGGAATTAAAACTGAAGTTTCCTGAGGCAATATAAAGTTTATAAAACTATTTTGTTTTGTTAAACCCACAAGTAGCTTATAGAAACTTGTGTTCCATGTGTCACTATGCTGTGTAGGATTTTGTTCTTCTTTACTTCTCCCAGCCAGGAAACTGAGTAAAGTCTCAGGATCTATCTAATTCTTCTTGTCCTTAGACTCTCCCCAGCCTCATCTTGAGTATAAACAGGTCCTGGGGAATGTTATGACAGTTACCTTTACAAACTGACCCTAAGATTTCTACTAAAATCTTAGTAAATAGGTTTCCTGATTAAGGTCCCACTAAGCTAGTTTTCTTCTATTTAATATGTTATCCCAGCTATTGATCCAGACTTCTGGAACAAATTCCTCCTTTCTTAAATGAATTACTATTCTTTTGTTACCTTTCTAAACAGATGATGGTAGCTTTTAAAAACAAATGCACCATGATTTCCTCACATCTGTGATTCCATTTTCTCACTAATTCAATCTGGCTTTGCCACTAATTGCTATCCCTCCACTAGCCATGTATCTGATGATCAGTCTTGACTAACAGAATTCAAGGTCAGCAGATCTCAACAAAATACTCTGGGTGACTTTACAGTTCTAGTATGTCTAAGGCTCCATGTGTTATTCTTATACTTCCTTAGGAGTAAGATGAAGATGATGATCATAACAGTAGCAGACAATACTTACTGAGTCCTTACTAACGAGGCAGTTTTAAGTACTTTATAAGTATTAATCTAACCATACAAAATGTGAGTTATTATTACTCACATTTTCCAGGTAAGGAACTAAAGCACAGAGAAGTTAAGTAAATTGCCCAAGATTAGAACTAGTATAGAACCATGCCTAGATCTGAACCCAGCCAGTCTGTCTCCAGGGCTCTCATTCTGAACCTCTATTCCTATGCTGCCTCTCAATATAAACAAGAATTTACCTCAGAGCTCAGTCACCATAAAATAGAGTTTTAGTTAACCAGGGAAACTGAACTATAGCTAAACGAAAACCCAGACTTACAGCCCCTTTCTCATAAGGCAGTTTGCAGAAGTTCTAAAGCATGGCAACAGCCACTTTAATATGTCATGAAGAAATCTGAAGCAGGCGATTCTGAGAAAGAATCTTTTGTTTAGCCACCAATGCAGAAGTTCAGCTGAGGCCGCACAAGCACAGCTACACTCACATTCTCCTAACTATGCTACATGCAATTAAAGACAGGTTTCAGACAGGATTACCTTGTTTTCTTCTAAGTGCCTTTTCAACTTCTCTTCCAGGTCCCTGGTCTCTTCTAAGCCCTTAAGTTTTATCTGCTCATAATTTTCATACACTTCTTGAAGTTGGTCTTGTAATACTTGGTGCTCCTTTTCAATCCGTGAAATTTCCCCCTAAAAGTGAATTACAAAACAATCTATTAAAAATCATTTAAAATGCCTACTTATGATCTTGTTCTTTACTGTTTCTTAAAATAAACAAAGGAGAGTAAAAAGCAGATGAAAATTTACAAGGGAAATGTCACAATCATTCAGGAATTAAAAACCCCTAAACACTGCTTAGCAAAACCAGCACTTTTATAAATATAATCATTCATATTATTGAAATTCATAAATTCTCCAATCTATACTATAATTAGTTCTGAATATTTGCTTTAGAAGGGTTCAATACCAGATCAACAGTTTGATTTAAATGTCACTCTCCACAATTAACACCAACGATTATTTATTAGGTTTAAAAAGCTGCACATATTATACATATTTTAGATATAAACAGAACATTTTAACTTTGGCTTTACTTTTAGGTGTTTCAAATAAATAGTTGCTGGTTATTTCAAAATGACAAATTAAAATATTATCTATGAATTATTGTCAGTTATATTTCTTGCACCAGCTTAACAACAACAAAAAAAACCCCAAACCCAGAAACCATTCTGTTGGCAAACAATAAATGTCATTTATGTAATTATTTTTTAAAACCTTTCAAACTGCATATAACTCTGAAAGAGCATCTGTTTGATGCTGGCAGCTTCTCCAGCTGCAGGTAACTGTCCTCCCTGTGGCAGCCAGGCTTTAGAAATCTATCCCAGGCACAAACCTGGTCCAGCTCTGACATTTCCTGTACCTTCCCCCAATACCTTAGTATCTTTCAAGTGTAAAAAAGCAGGGAATCAAGTATTTGAAACTCTGTGAATGATCAGTTGGAGAACTGTGAATTATGGTCAGATTGACCATACATGCCCTTTTGCCTTGGAGCATGCCACTTTGTCTGCTCAGACCGAAAGTTTAGTACTATAAATAGAGTCCATGCTTAACTAAATTAATTAAACAGTCAACCTTACTATCAACCAGGAGCAAAACTTTATGGTTTAAGACTTTAGTTACCTCCATTTTAATTCTTAATTCAGCAAAAGGATCACAGTGAATAGTAACTTGCTGTCGTGAATGAATTTACATGCCCCAAATTACCAACAGAGACAGGCAGGAAGCTAAATGCCACCTCTATGTTATTACATTTAAACTTCACGATACTTCTGTGAGAAATA
Source organism: Homo sapiens (assembly GCF_000001405.40). Lineage (NCBI taxonomy): Eukaryota > Metazoa > Chordata > Mammalia > Primates > Hominidae > Homo > Homo sapiens. The sequence continues at coordinate 37,171,443 of NC_000021.9, read as the reverse complement.
CATTATGTTTGCCTTTAATAGATCAGAGAACCAAGTGATGCAACTTCTCAAAGTCCCAGGAGAAAGTAGCAATGCTGGGATTCAAATGCAATTCTCACTGGTTGAGAAGCCAGCAATCACCTATACTAGCATCAAGGTCCTAAAACTAACAGCTAATTTAAGAAAGCATTTGTGAACATTCCCATCACTGATAAAAACATTCATTTGATGGTCAAAAGCACTGACTCATTAAACAACAGAGCCTACCTGGTTTAAAGCTAAGCACAGCATAAGACTTCAACAACAGTAAACAGGCCAAAATGTTCACTATAAGACTGCCTGTAAGCATAAAAAGCTGATACAATCTAAATGTTCAACAACAAGAAATTGGTCAAATAAATGATCACACATTAATAAAATGGAAAACCAAGTATCCATTTAAAATGATGCTATAAATCGTATTTACTGATATGGAAACAAGTCTACAATATATTAATTGAAGCCTGCAAATTTCAAATAAAATATATATGCTGTGATCCCATCTTTTAAAAACTATTGTTTAATTATATGTAAATGTTCAAACATCCTGGAAGGCTACACATCAAAATATTAACATGAGTGATGGGAAGGTAGATGATTTTCAATTTCTCTTTCATAATTTTTGGTATTATTCATTTAAAAAATTTAAGAACTCTATATATTATTTTATCATTAGCAAAAACTAAACACTATTTGTACAAATAGCAGCAGGAAACACAAGCTCTGACCTTCTTCCTACTTAACTAGACATTGATCTTGTCAAACATTCCATATCTAACTATAGAACTGCTTTTTAAATGACAGCATGATATTTCATTTTATAGGTATATCATAATTTAACTAGTCCGCTATTGATGGAGGTTTAGATTGTATTCAATTTTCTGCTGATTCAAATACAGACAAAACAAACATACAAATCCCCTTGGCTCACTGGTCTCTCTATACATATATGAGTGCAGATCGATTCCTAACTGCCTTCCCAGAAATTTCAGTTTCACTATCTTTCAAAATGTGAATGATTGCTTTTCCTATTTCAAGTGGGGTGGGCATCTGTTTATATGTTTAAAAATCATCTGTATTTCTTTCATTGTGAATTGTCTATTCACATCCATTCTCATCTTTGTGACAGATTGTTGATCTTTTCCTTACTGATTTATAGAAACTTTGTTGTTAAGGAAATTAGTTCTCTATCTGTTTCACACTGCACATAATTTTCCTTGTTTCTCTCCTGTGTTTTGATATGTGTATGTGTATGTATTTGTTGTCATACATATGCTATGCATATAGGATATACACATTACATGCATGTGTATATGAATATAAACATTCTTTTTTCCCATGCTGTTTACTGATCTTACAAAAAATTTTTCCCGTTTTTTTCCTGGATACTTTTATAGGTCCATTTTTTATGCTAAAATCTTTAATCTGCCTGGAACTTATTTTGGTATAAGGAATGAGGTAGGGACCAAGATTGATTTTTTCTAGATGGCAATCCATTTCTCCTATGTATTTAATAATCCAGTTTTTGCTCACTGATAATTTGCCATCTTCGGTTTTGTTTTTTGTTTTTTTTTTTTTGAGACAGAGTCTCGCACTGTCGCCCGGGCTAGAGTGCAGTGGCGCAATCTTGGCTCACTGCAACCTGTGCCTCCTGGGTTCAAGCGATTCTCCTGCCTCAGCCTCCCAAGTAGCTGGGGTTACAGGTGTCCACCACCACGGCCAGCTAATTTTTTTTAATTTTAGTAGAGATGGGGTTTACTATGTTGGCCAGCTGGTCTCAAACTCCTAACCTCGTGATCCACCCACCTCAGCCTCCCAAAGTGCTGGGATTACAGGCATGAGCCACCACACCCAGCCAATCTACCATCTTGATTGACTGACTGAGATGGAGTCTCACTCTGTCGCCCAGGCTGGAGTACACTGGCGTGATCTTGGCTCACTGCAACCTCCGCCTCCCAGGTTCAAGCAATTCTCCTACCTCAGCCTCCCAAGTAGCTGGGATTACAGGTAAGCTACCACACCTGGCTAATTTTTGTATTTTTAGTAGAGACGGGGTTTCAACATGTTGGCCAGGCACTCTCATATTAATGGTCTATGTATGTGGTAATATAGATAGATTTATATTGTGTTTTGATATTTAGTTGCACAACTCCTTTTCTTAGTTTCTCTTCCATACCCATTCTTGATGTTCATTTTTACATATGAAGTTTAAAATCAATTTGTCTAGTTTCAAATTAATCCTGTGCAGTAACCAGGCCTCTTGTTAGTCACAGCCTTGTATAGACCTCTCCTACCATGTATCAGGGTTGGTGGATTGATCTATGTGACCAAGAGAATGCGCAGAAGTGATAATTTGTGACTTCCTAAAGCACTGCCGCTTCTGCCTGGTATCACACACTCTGGGAAAAGCCAGCCCCATGAGGTCAAGCAGGGCTAGGTGGAGGTCCACAAGGCAAGGAACTGAAGCTTCCTGACAACTGCCAACATCCGCTTGCCAGCCATGTGAGTGAGCTATCTTGGAAGTAGAACCTCTGGGCCCAGTTACTCCCGCAGATGACCAAGCCCTGGTCAACATCTTGGCTAGCTACATGAGAATCTCCAGAAGCATCCAACTAAACTGCTCCTGAATGCCTGACTTAGCGAAATTGTGAGATTTCACAATTGTGAAATATTTTACTGTTTTAAGCCACTAGCTTTTGAGGTTGTTTGTTATATATACAGCAATATACATAACTAATTTGCCCTGTTCATGTATATACTGGGATTGTGTTAAATTTTAAAAAGCTTTAGGGAGAACCAATCTCATTATCATAATATGTGTTCTTATCCAAGTACATGAAATATCTTTTCATTTAAGGCTTCTATGTGTCTCTCCATAGCATTTAAAAATTTTTCTTTATATACATTTAAGTATTTTATCTCTTTTTTGGTATTGAAAATATTTTCTTTCAACATACTTTCTAACAGGTAATTGTTTATATATATTTTTATATACAAGTATAGGTTTATATAGGTTAGTGTAGGTTTTCAGTTGATCATTTTGGATTTTCCTGGTACACAGCCCTAGCCTCTGTAAATAATGATACTCACATCTCCTCTTTTCTATCTTCTTTCTTTCTCATATCTGCTTTCTCAGTTAATATACCCAGGATAACAATAAATATTAATGGTGATGTTTTACCATTAAGCAAGATGATGGCTTTTGGCTTAAAATATTAGCATGTTGAGAAATATTCATCAATTCCCATTTTCTTACTAGTTTTGGTCAAGACAGTGACCTGAATTTTATCCAATACCTTTACAGCAACTTTGAGTTGATAAGACAACTTTTCTCTTATGATGCATATTAACGAACTAAATTATATTAGTAGGTTTTCTAATTGAATCATTATTATAGTAGAGAAGGTCTTTATCTTTCTGTATTATTCGCATGAATAAGCTTACTTATAAATTATTATATGCTCATTATACCAGTTAAAACAATAAAGCTGGCCAGCCTGGATGACAGTGAGACCGTGTCTCAAAAATAATTAAAATAAAAATAAATAAAATTTTAAAAATAATAAAATAAAACAATAACGCTGTTATAATTTGAAATAAGTATGCTGGAAAAAAATTACCTTTTCCTTCCCTTCTCAAATTTCAACAATAAAAACAAAATCATTTTTTTGTTATGTTCTCAAGCTTATTCCATGATAACTTTGTGTGGAATAAGCTGACTCCAAAATAGTTCTAGTTCATCATTCCATCTAGATAAATTAATGAAAACTAAACCTTTAAACAGTTTAATGTAATTTTGACTCACTTGTCGTTCCTCAAAAGGATTATATGGCTCAGTATTGACTTCTTGGTGTATTATGTTCCAAGATACCTGTGGGCAAAACAAAAAATAAAATTCACTTTATCTCAATCGCTCTAGTAAAATAAGCCCATCAAGTAGTAACACTTTAAAACACACCCACAATTTTTTCAAGTTTTTTTTCCCATTTAGATCATGTTCCATGCTTTCCGTAAACATGTATATTAGGAAAGTTATTTAGAATTAGCATATCTGGAAATGATTATGATCCATTGCTCTTAACCTATTTTTTTCAAAGCTTCCTAGAAAACATAATGAGTGGGGCAATTCAATAAGGATTTAATGAATTCATACCCTATAAAGGCAACCATAGGAGAATCTTGATTTCATCTCTTCCTTGTTAGGAAAGAACTCATACACATCCCTCTTGTTTCTACCTGGCTGTCTCTTTTTAACATTCTCATTCCTCCCCTGGTTTGACAGGAGAAGCTGGGCCTGTGTAGGTCAGAGTCTTCCTTTTTCCTTCTCTTTCTGAGGAGCTGCCAGCACATTTTCCCTTCCTCCTTCATGCGCTAAGTCCTATGGGGCAGGCACCCCACGCTGGAAGGCCTCCAGGTGGGCCCTCCTGTAACTGGCAGGTAAGGCACTGTGATGCAGGCTACACTTCCAGCTAGCACTTGAACTTTCCTACAAACAGCCACCTTCTCCTCCAGCACCTTTATTAATTCTTAGGATGACGTTTTGGCTCCACCTGCTGTCTTATTTCTCAATCTGTGTAGAATTTCAGTAGCAAAGATGGGTATTGTTTATTGGACCCAAGCTTCTTTCTGAGAAGATTACCTGTCATGCCTCACAAAAGAGTTCATATTTTAAAAGTATTTTCAGGCAAAAGCTTCAGTAATCATTATAAAGTCAATCAACTTTAAGGATTCTTGCAAATATAACGGCAATGAAAAATGAAAAGGAAAATTTAACTTCAGTATTAAGAAGACTTTTCTATTTAACTCTTACCTGTATGGCAACCATCTGCACGTGTGGAATGTTTGTTACTGCACTGGTGCTTTCTGGAATTACTTCACATTTGTTGTTAGAATTTCCACAGTGCTCATCATTTCTGTTAGACTCACTCAGGACTGTATGAGCATCACCTGTGCTGCAGTGTGACTTTACAGATATTCCCAAAGAGCCCTCAAGGATCTGTGTTTCAGAGGCAATCTGGTGACCAGCAACATTCTCAGCATTCAAATGATGACCCTCAAAATAGGCAGCAGCATTTTTATCTGCTCTGTCATTGGCTACAAAAGACGGCACCACTGGTACTGATCTTGGTAGCTGATATTCAGGAGAAAGGCTGGCCAAGGGTGTATATATGCTGGTGTACTGGGGCAAACCTGGTAACACGTTTATGTATGCTGGCGGTGTCTGGGTGATATCAAATCTCTGGAAAGGAAGATACGTACAGTATCCTGTGACCAAATGGGATTGAGCCCAATAAGTTGGTTTCACATCCTCAAGAACCGGTTTGGGGGAATTACAGGAGACTCGCTTGTAATTTGCATCCTCAGAGCCTGGTTTAGGAGAATTAGAAGAGACCCCTTTGGGTTGCCCATCCTCAGAAACTTGTCTAGAAGAATTGTCGGATACTGGTTTGGCCTTCACATCTTCACAAGCTGGCTTGGGAGAATTTGCAGACACAGGTTTGGGTTTCACATTTTCAAAAGCTGGTGCTGAAGATGAATCTGACACTGGTTTAGACTTTACATCTGGTTTAAATTCCCTAGCAGCTGGATTCAGTTGTAGTTTAACTCGTACATACTCCCCTGCTTTTGAAATTTCTTCTACTTTTGTTTTAATGTTTTTCTTCTTCCTTTTTTTCTTGAGCCGTGATGCAACCTTCTTCAGTGCAATACAGTTGTCAATCACAACAAAACGAGGGCATCCCAAGAGAAAAGGTTTTAAACCTCCTGCTTTTTCTAGTATCTGTCGAGTTTCTTCTGGGAAAAACTCATATTCTGCAGAGAACATCTTGTTACTCATGTCCAAGGGACCATGTTCCTCCAAAAACTGAGAGAAGTAACTTGGAAAAAATTTACATTTACATGAGTTACTATAAGGAAGTACTTGAATATGTCTATTTGAAAAAAACTTTTATTCTCCCAAAGGAAAACACTGTTTCACTTTTCACTGATCTCAACCTTTCCTCAACAACAAATATAACAAACATAAGGTTAACTGCAATCAATGATACTATAAAGAAAATTTTGTCTACCTCCTAGAAAATGATCATTTAAAACTTTTCTGGGAGCAGGGGAAAGCAAAAGGAAATCAAAAAGTTATTTCATAACTTTCAACTATGTAATTACATAATTTATTCTAAAAACAACAACAAAAAATTTATTCAGGAAAGATAATAATGCCAATAAGAATTTTAAATAAAAAGAGAAAATCAAATCTCAAAAACAAATCCTATTTGAATTTGCGTACAGTAAATACTGAAAACTACATACTTTAGCTTTACTTTTGGATGCCTGAAGCAAATTCTAGCATACTTTAAGAAATAATAGTATAATTTTACAGTTGTTTCCACACTGTCACCCAAGAGTTCTCTGGAAATATGATTTGCTCAGCATTTCAACTCTAAAGAAAAACCATGAAGAAGGATCTAAGAGCACAGAACTAAATAGGAATGATGCAATACAGGAAAACAGAAGAAAGGGCCATATGGTGGATATGCTACTGACAGGACTTCCAGGAGAAGAGTTGGCTTTTAAATTAATACTCTATTACAGACCTCAGCCCTTGATTTATTTTCTTAAAAGGAAGGCCTCATGCACTATCTAATAACACAAAGCTCAAAATGGTAAGCTATCTGAGATTTTCCTGAATTTTTTACTTGTTTTATCCACCCCACTCAGTATCGACTTAGTAGCTCAAACTGACAAAATCAATAATCATTAGGACTCTAAATTTAATAATTAAAAATCCTCAGGGCGGGGCGAGGTGGCTCATGCCTGTAATCTCACCATTTTGGAAGGCTGAGGCAGGCAGATCACTTGAGGCCAGGAGTTGGAGACCTGCCTGGCCAACATGGTGAAACCCTTCTCTACTAAAAATACAAAAATTAGCCAGGCATGGTGGTGCAAGCCTGTAATCCCAGCTACTCGGGAGGCTGACGCATGACAATCACCTGAACCTGGGAGGCAGAGGTTGTAGTGAGCAGAGATTGCACCACTGCACTCCAGCCTGTGTGACACAGCAAGACTCTGTCTCAAAAAAAAAAAAAAAATCCTAAATTAACTTTGTGTAAAATGTGGCAAAATCTCTAAAAACAGGCACAAATTAAACAACTTCTGATCTTTAATTGGCAGCCTTAGTATAAAATAATGGTTGTAAAAATTTCAACCCACTTACTCATATAGAGTTGAACATTTTTGTTTTGGGTTCATGTCCCATAGCTTCTTATTGCGGACAACATATTCGTTACTGTGTTGGTCATAGAGAGCTTCGAATTCTTCTACATCTTGCCGAAGATGGTCAGGCACTGCAAATGGGCCTGCAGAATCTGAATTTCGATTGCTGGTAAATAACAACAAAAAACACCCAATTTTGTGGATGATAGACCTTTGGTTTATTATTTAACCAGAAGAATGTCTAATTGAAATAAACACAATAATGGCAATATATTACTCAGCTCTATGTTGCAAAAAAATAGCACCAGGGAACTTAGTGTAGAAAAGTTACCCTTCCACAGTTATAGGCGAGAAATATCATATCTGACAATCTAAGTAAGCACTTTCAATTATTTAGTCTTGCTCCAAAGAGCAAAATTCTTAAAACTCCATATTTTTAAAAAAAGTTGCATTAATTATAACTTGTTAAATGACTGAAAGACAAATGAAGATTGTATTATAACTGCTATAAATTAACTTAAAGTGAGACTGAGACTGGTAAATGGTATTAATAAAAGGTTTTTTTTAAGCCAGGTGTGGTGGCTCACGCCTGTAATCCCAGCACTTTGGGAGGCCAAGGCAGGCAGATCACTTGAGGTCAGGAGTTCGAGATCAGCCTGATCAACATGGAAAAACCCCGTCCCTAATAAAAATACAAAATTAGCCAGGCGTCATGGCGCATGGCTGTAATCCCAGCTACTCAGGAGGCTGAGGCAGGAGAATTGCTTGAACCCAAGAAGTGGAGGTTGCAGTGAGCTGAGATCACGCCATTGCGCTCCAGCCTGGGCAACAAGAGCGAAACTCCATCTAAACAAAAGTTTTTTTTAAATGTAAGATGTTAGCACTCTAAAAAGATGTAGTAGTTTGAGTGTGGACTCTAAAACCAGGCTGCATGACTTAAATCCCAGCTCTGCTATTTATAAGCTTTGTGTTCTTGGGCAAGTCGCTCTGCACTGTGCCTCAGAGTTTCCTTATCTGTACATTGGACAGAATATAATAGCACTTACCTCCTAGGCAGGATAAGTGGATTGAAAGAGTTTATGTATGTAAACCCCCAAAACAATGTCTGATACATAAGAATTAATCTCAGTAAAGGCTATGCTATGGTCTGAATGTTTGTGTTTCTGCAAAACTCATATGTTGAAACCTAATCACCAATGTGATGGTGTTAGGATGTGGATTCTTTGGGAGGTAATTAGGCTCTACCCCCATGAATGGACTTATTGCCCTTATAAAAGAGGCCCCAGAGAGTTGCCTTGTCCCTTCCACCATGAGAAAACACAGCAAAAAGGCACCATCTATGAACCAGAAAGCAGGCCCTCACCAAACACTGAATCTGCCAGTACCTTGATCTTGGGACTTCCCAGCCTCCAGAACTGTGAGAAATAAATTTCTGTGTGTAAGCCTCCCAGTTTATGGTATATTGTTATAGCAGCCCAAACTGACTAAGACAGGCTATTATTTTAACTTAAAACAATTACCCTACTTAAAGAATCCATGAAATGACCACGTAATTTTTAACTGCTCTGATAGCTCCTTTAAGAAATGAGAAAAAAAAAACCATGTTGTACATTTTTGGTTCATAAAGGAGTATGATATAAAAAGGTTACTGCTACTCACTAGTTTTATTTCTTAAATATTTGTTTATTGAAAACTCAGTTTTGACAACCAGATGGCATTGAAAATCACTAATATATAAGGTGAAAACATAACATCATATACAGCTCCCAAAACAGCTTCCTCTCTTACAGGCAAAAATGCCTAGTAAGTATTAACAGGACATTCTCTTTATTGACTATTTTAAAGAATAATTTCTAGACATTTTTCTATGATTTTCCCACAGAGCCTTGCACATGGTAGGTTCTCAATATGTACTTAGTGAATGAATGTCACCAGTGTCGTGACTTTAACACAGTTTGAATGAATTCTTAATGCCTTCTAGCCACACTATATAAATGTAATCAAGATGGAATTACATCAGGTTGTCAGATGCACAGCTTTAGAAAGGAAAGTTAGGGAAATAAAACACAAGTTTATATATATTAAATTAACACAACTTATTAAGTAAAGACATTTGAGTTAAAATGAAGCAAAAATTTAAAAATTATACTTACCTATGGTCTTCACTTGAAGTGATGATCTCATTATTTGAAGTTACTGAAGTTGTTCCAGACCCAACTAACATAGGCTGGTTTAAAAGACAGAAAAATGACAATGATTTTCTACCTTAAAATTCCATTAAAGAGAAAAATCATTAAAATTGATGAATACTTATATAAACACACATACAAATTGCTGATATATAAGATCTATCCAAATTTTCTTATAAACAGGAACACATAGTAATAAAAGTTTCAACAGCCAAAAATAAGCTCAAATTAACATTTAGGATAGTTTCCAATGCTCCAAAAAAATTTAAATGTTACTCAGTTTAAACTCCCATTTTATCTAAACTAAATACATAGTCAAAGATAAAAATAAAAGTTGTATTGGAACTCCTTAACTGTTCTCATCCTTTGAAGATTTGCTACTCTCTCTCACTCCATCCCCCTTTCTGCTCCCCACATACACACAAGAGCCATGAAGAACCCACCAAAGACTTAAAAATTGTGCCCTACTTCTGGCACAGTGGCTCACGCCTGTAAGGCCAAAGTAGGCAGATCGCTTGAACGCAGGAGTTCTAGAACAGCCTGGGCAATATAGCAAAACCCCATCTCTCCAAAAAATACAAAAAATTAGCTGGGCATGGTGGCATGCGCCTGTCATTCCGGCTACTCGGGAGGCTGAGGTGGGAAGATCACTTGAGCCTGGGAGTTTGAGGCTGCAGTGAGCCGTCACTGTACCACTGCTCTCCAGCCTGGGTGAGAGAAGGAGACCCTGTCTCAAAAATAAAAATAAAAATGCCCTACTTATCTAATGGGCTTGGAGGAGAGCCTTTGGTGAGAGGAAGGAAGGGATTCTATCAATCCTGGGACTGTCATAATGATTAGTATTCATCATTTTTAGTTTAAATATGTTATCTATTTTTTGAGACTTATTTATTTTTTGGGACATTATGACAATTTTTTTTTTTTACTCAGAAATACCTAGAAAAATAAAAAAGACAATAAAGAATACGAGTGTCAAGACTTGCTATTATATAATATGAACCTGGAATTTCTTCAAAATGTAGAAGACTGCCAAAACATCTTTAAGTCCTAGAAAGTCTTTCTCTACAAATGTTTCAAAATATCCCAAGAATTGCTCAATTCTAATGTATATGTCCAACTAACTATTTTGGAGAGTTTAGACAAGAATTAATACAGAAAATACTCCATACCTTTGAATCCTTTGGCTTCTTTTTCTTGCTTTTGTTTTTCACCTTGGTTGAACTAAACTAAAAAATGGGGGGAAAAATCAGTGAACACTCAAATAACAGCATTATGAAGCTCAACATAAAGAAACCATATGAGTTTTTACAGACTAGCCATAAGTTAAATGTACATAAAATGTTTAACAAAAATAACACTACAGTGTATCAGCCCAAGTGCTACGATTTATAATAGAAAACAAACAAAATTTAATAATACTAATGTATACTAAAATTAAGTTGTTCCAACATTTTTATCTTATTTTCCACAGGGTTGGACTGTTATTTCAAGTAATTAATCAGACTTTTAAGTAATTCCAGTTAGATGCCATAATAGTAAATTTATTATTAATATATTTCTTTTACTAAGCCAAACTAGACATTCTGCACCTGACCAGACACTGGGGCACAAACAGTGAATAAAGAAGCCTTCAGCTCCTTATGGAGTATTTCAGCTGTGTTTCCCTGCTTAGCTGGGCAATATTTGATGGAGCAGATTAAGACAAAATTTCATATAGATAGATGATTTGCTCCTGAAAATCAGTAAACAGGCATTTTTCTCTTTGAAAACTGCCACAATGTTGTGCTTTTCTCTATTTACTCACTTTCCTAAACTGAAGAATTTCTGAAGAATGAATAAAAGGCAACTGCAAACTACTAAGGAAGACAACTCTGGAACTGTTTTAACTTAAACGTAATTTAGAGCCACTCAAAACAAAGTCCCTTTGTTTTCCTTCTAGAGCAGAACATTAGAAGTTTAGTTATTAAAGACAACTTTTCATTTTTATGCCAGGAGATGAAGAACTCTTCCTTTCTTAATTAGAATATTAATGTTTATCAGCTCTGAAACTTTATAGAAATTGTCTAATTTAAGCCTCATAGTTTGCTGATTATTGCTCCAATTCCGAGAGGAAAACTGGCAGTGACTTTCTAATGAATAATAGTACGTACTACCCAGACGTCCTTTTAATGTGGTTCTTGAATGCTGGCTGTGATGTCAATAAACACTGGCCTGGGTCCCCTTCTCATCCTTGGTTTAACATCAGATTAGAACGTAAGATTCAAGTGATCCAAGTAACTTACCGGTGCTTCACCACTATCTTGTTTCCTTAACACAGTACAGCGGCTGTCTGTAGGAATATACAGATGGTTTTGTGAGAAAACTAAATATTTACATTTCCATATAGTACACTAAAGCCTTAAAATAACTCCTCATACTACTGGCATAGGCCATGTTCTATTCCTTATTTGGCTTTGACACAAGTGTAGTTTAGAAACCAAGGGCAAAATGGCTGACTAAACGGGAAACCAACTACAAAGAACCATAAAACTTCAATCTGATTCAGCATAATGTTGAGTGCCTTCTAGGTACCATCTATGCTAGTCCTGGGAATAGAGATGCACAAGACAGTCCCTACCATTGATGAACTCCTGTTCTACTGCCAGAAAGACAAACAGACAAACTCCTGTAACCCAGCGTGCTAAGGACCACGTGAAACACAAGGCAACAAAGGCTCACGAAGGACTCAAGTCTGAAGTCTGCAAGGGAGAGGCCCACAGGAGGGGCAAAGAAGCTCTGAGGTAGAGGGGACATTTAAGTTACTCTTGAAATGAACAAGCAAAGGGGTGGGGCATGGCTGGGGGAACTACGTGAGTGAAGACAGGAGGCAGGAAAGCACAAGGCAGGTTTGGGCACAGTCAGTAGTGGGGTGTGTGCTCAGAGATAGAGGATGATGATGAACCCAGACCCCAGATGATGTGAACTTAATCTGCAATTAAAACTAAACAAATGTTTCCCAAATTGAATAGTTAACAGAATGTTAGACAGATGTTCTAGAAGAGTCACTAGCTGCAATATAAGAGGAAGACGGAAAATGGGAGATTCTAGAGGCATGGAGTCCAGTTTGGAGGCTACTATAGTGGTCTAACTGTGGAAAGACAACTAAGGTCTTGGCCTCGGGAAGTGGGGTGGACAGCAAAGGACAGATCAAGGACAAAGCTCATTTGGATTGATGACAAACAAGTTATACTCTTAATACTGAAAAGAAAGAATTGAGACTAATTACAGAGTTTCCTGTTTAAATACTAGATATACAATATTATTGACTGAGATAAATTGAGGAAAAACAGATCTCTGAAGATGTGATAGGTGGGTTCAGTCATACTGCTTTAAGGGGCTATTTGGCTGTCTCACAGAAATACCCTAGGGGATCATGCATGAAGAGGTCAGGGAAAAAGTCGGGGCTCTCAATTATCAAAGCACTCATGACATTGTCAAACACTCTGATCTACAAGATCAGTAGATTTTGAAAAGTTTTAAGAAATATAACTATTCTTTTAAATGAAGAGATAAAACTGAAAATGTTTGGGGTGAAGGTGGAAGGCAGAGCTACTGCACTTGAGAATCCATTGGGATTGCCAATAATTTGGTTAGTGGCTTCTGACCTCATGACTAGAAACAGAGAAACAGTGGCAGCTGGAAGTGCTGTGTATTATATGTAGAGAACACAAGTTAAAGGACGAGTGTATGCTGAGAGGGAATTGTGTCCTTTTTAGTTGTCTTGTTTTGTGATCCAAACATGCATCAGGTTTTGTAAGCTCAGTCCCGGGACAGCATTTTATTACCAGCAGCAGCAAACTGATGGCAATAAATTCAGGCTATCAAGTAGCATGTCACCTTCAGTCATGAAGCAGTATCCTGAAAAGATAAAGCCATCTGTATTTGAGTGTGCTCTTTTCTAAGAACTTTTGTTGTCAAAAGTAAGCTTTCCACTCCTTATATGCATTGGAACTTTATCATCTGTGACACCATCGTACAAGGCCAGACCTTTTAATGTACCCTTTAAAACAAACAGCATGACATTTAAAAGTCTAACTCCTAACAACACATAAAGGAGACTTCTGATTCTGAGGGACTTGGGGATTATCATAATATGTTCATATAGTATGAAAGGTAAGAAATTATCATTTAGAATCTAGGAATATTATAATTTTTAAGTAAAACAGGACCACACATGTCACTGCCTCCAAATCATCTCATTTTAATGTGAGGAAATTAAGATCTAAGAGAAAAGAAGGAATTAGCTGCTAGCTAGCTAGTTAGTTCAAGCTGGACTCCATGCCATTACCCAAATAGGGTCCCCAATTCCAAATAAGCCCTGACACCCAGCTTTCTAATTCCACTTTCACGTTCACAGCCCATCTGAGACTCTACCCCTGCACCACAGCTTTCCTCTCTCCCAGGGAGAAAGAAAGTGTTGGGTCCTTCCTTTGATGCCCTTGGCACCTTCTCTGGCCCTCCCGTATTGAGTTTACTACCATGTTACTGTTATTAGTGCATGCTTCTTATTCTCTTTTCTAGAACACAAGGTCCTCAAGGGCAGAGACAAGTGTAAGCATTTCTGAATTCCTTCTCAACACCCATCACTGGGCCCACAGGGTTTTTAATGAACCAAACTAAGGAAGAAGCTGTGCCACAACCTACTTTTCCTGACCCCCAGTTCTAGGCTCTTCCCATTAAAACATCCTAGAATGCTATCCATTCTAGATTCTGCAAACATCACCTACTTCTGCAGACCAATGTTTTCTAAAATGCTATAAATCAAACCACTTACTAATAGATTCTGTCAGTGTAACATGCAATCTTTCCCATGATGCTGTGAAAATATCTAAGACGGGAAGAACATTGTGTATTGTTAGCATAACATACCTACATTTGAGTATCTCTTTAACTGATAAAGTAAAAAAGCTTCATGATATAAAAAAATTGCTACTGTTAATCACTAACTTCCCCACATAAACTGATTGTACCATAATAATTTTCACTATTTTCTTTGTTATATATTTAAACAAGCTAGGTCCTTCACAGATTTTTTCCCCCTTAAGATTAAATGTAATATAAGTCTAAACTCAGTCCACATACCCATTATATCAAAGAATTCATCTAAAGCACTATGCAATGCTGGGAACTTGTCTCTGTGTTCTTCTAGCAGCCATATTAAACAACGGGCTTCCTTCAATGATGCTGGCTCAGAGAAATAATCAAGTTGCTTTCCTTCTATAGAGTCTAGTTTGTGACCATATTTCTCATTCCAGAGGAAAGTCATGATACTAAAATCAAGCAGTTTAAGAGATGCTCCATAACGAGAAAAGAAAGTTCCTGTGGCATCTAAGCCTGTAATAAAAACAAAACCCAAATCAGAAGAGGAGGGAAATTATTTACTGTAAAATCACATTTAGTTTCACATCTCTGAAAGCAGCTGATTATAGTTTGCTTATATTCTCAGCAAAAACATTTAAATAGTTGAGAACAGATTCGTTCAAGCTATTGGGCATTTTAGAAACACCATTTAACATTGTTAGGCTAATTATAATAATTCTTGTCTATTAGATTTGAATAATGTGGGCCAAAGCCTTCTACTATCATAGTTACCTTTATTAGACCTAGGAGATGAAAGTATAGCATTAAATTCCTTTAAAAATATAACAATGAGGCCAGGTATGGTGGCTTAGGCCCGTAACCCCAGCACTTTGGGAGGACAAGGCTGGAAGATCACTTGAGCCAGGAGTTCAATACCAGCCCTGGCAACATAGCAAGACCCCTATCTTTACAAAAAAAAAAAGAGTTAGCCAGGCATGGTGGTAAATGCCTGTAGTCCCAGCTACTTGGGAGGCTGAGGTGGGGGTACTGCTTGAGCCCAGGACTTCAAAGCTACAGTGAGCTATGACGGCGCCACTGCACTCCAGCCTGGGTGATGGGGCAAGACCCTATCTCTAAAAAAAAAAACAAACCCAAACAATGTTTTCACTAATTCATAAAGACTTTCATTCCAATTAGTATAAACTAGCAAGATTTTATGATTCTTTATATGGATTCCATAGTAATAAAACATCAACAATATGCAGAATCTTCCCAAATGTGTCTAAAAGAGGAAATGGGTAAACCCATTCCCCAACACCTAAAATAACATTCCTTATTCCCCAAAATGTGGGTCCTCACCCCTCTCTACAAAAATCAAGGTGGTCAGTATGCCTACTTTTATTCTCCACTCTCCAAATTAGAAAACAGGTGACTACAATCTCATACAGACTCCTACTGAAATGACGGTGAAGCCCCACTCCTGATGAACAGCCAGCAAAAAGGAGCTCTGTCCAGTTTCTCCATCATGCCTCTAATATAAAACGGTCACTTCTTCCGAGGGCCTTAGTCAACAAATGAAGTCAACAAATGAAGCAGAGATTGCTCAGAGTCAAAATTATCCTAGACTGCTTGCTTCTGGATTAAAGAGTTAGCTTGCAGAGATCATGTTGCAGGAAAATTAGGATCTTTAAACACCAGAATAAGGGACCATGTAGAATACTCACACAATAAAAGATTTATGAGAGCCCAATGAAAAAATAGCACATTCCCGTTCCCTATCCACGTCAGAGCTTGTGGTCAGTGAGGGGAATGCAGGCAGGCAGTGTTCACTATTGGGATGTTAAATTTATCTCACTAGTGCTCTATTATTTCTCTCTCTCCCTCCCTCCTTTCCTCCTTTCCTCCCTTCATCTTTTGCTGAACATAAAAACTGGACCTCTCTTATGGTAAATATGTGCATGATGTAAGTCCACCCAATAGTCGTTTTATTGAAGAAAATTCCAGGAAATGAAAACTGCTTTACTTACTATTTAAGTAAGTGTGCATTTTACTTCAGGACTGTAGTAACAGCCTTACTAATTAACATGCTTGAACTCATTTCACAACTTTAAATAAAAATTGCTACTTTAAATAGTATACATATATCCTTATTAAAATGATACCTTTAATCTACAGAATAAACATGGATTATATCGACCGGGCGCGGTGGCTGACGCCTGTAATCCCAGCACTTTAGGAGGCCGAGGTGGGCAGATCACGAGGTCAGGAGATCAAGACCATCCTGGCTAACACGGTGAAACCCCGTCTCTACTAAAAATACAAAACATTAGCCAGGCGTGGTGGCAGGCACCTGTAGTACCAGCTGCTCGGGAGGCTGAGGCAGGAGAATGGCGTGAACCCGGGAGGCGGAGCTTGCAGTGAGCCGAGATCGCGCCGCTGCACTCCAGCCTGGGCAACAGAGCGACACTCTGTCTCAAAAAAACAAACAAACAAACAAAAAAAACACATGGTTTATATCAAAAGACATGTTCACCCTTTCCTGCCAGTGAGCTGGAGGGCTCAAGTGCTGCATTTACCTGAATGAACAGTGGCTGGCAGTCTTGACCGTGTAGCATAACCCAGGCAAACCTATTTCTCCAGTCCTGAGTATCTCCTAAAGCATGTTAAAGCAAGCATTAACTTTATAATTTGCTTACTTGATACTCACTAGTGACAATCTTGTCACTTAAAAATAACTTTCCGGGATCACAAATCCATGAGGATCTATGTTCAAAGCAGGCATGTTCAGCTGTCTAACTATGCCAGGCTTGCTGCCATCTTACATCGTCTCTTCTGGCAGAAGCTGACCAGTATCTTCTCTGAAACCCTAGAATTCTAATAGCCCCACGTTTCTAAACATTCAGACAGGTGGGGACGGCTGGCAGAGGCTTAGCAGGCCTCACTCTGTGGTCTGCGGCTAAAGGCCCTGCCTTTTTCCCGTGGCGTACTTTAGCCTCTTATCTAATAGCTGCCGACTGAATGAACTATTGTGCTAGGCCAGTTGCTATCCAGTCAGCAAGATAAATAGTGCCCTGGTAGGTGCCCAAAGCATCCCTACCTCGTGTTACACAACAACTGTATCTGCAGCTGCCTTCTGCAGTCCTGCATGGCTTTAGGCAAAGCGCCTGCTTTAGGGGAGGGCAGGGGGCTTGCTCACTCTTCCCTTCTCCCAGCCAAGTTACGAAAGTCAGAACACAGTACAGAGTTATATAATCCTGTGATTTACCACAGCTCAGTCCAACCCTAGGATATGTTCCTCTTAATCTCTAGATACAGATTTGCCTTAGGTGACCCTGAGCAATTAGTCTCATCCACTCTTGCCTCTAAATTTTTCTTCAAAGAATCTGAATTATAGATTTGTCTTCTCAACACAGCTCCTGAGCAGGGGGCAGACTCCAGGATGTGTTATTTACCATGGTTGTGCCTAGTATTCACACATCTACACATTTACAAATAGTTTAGTCTAATATAGGTCTGGATTTCTTTACTGACTGGTCTTTCCTTAGATTGCACCTTTTGAAGAAGTATACTGTAACCTATCTATAAAATAACCTAAAAATTGTGGTGTGCGTGTGTGTGTAATAGTTTTTCTGTTTTTTAAAGGCCTTCATATATTTAGTTCTTTTTTTAAAAAATTCTTTTAGAGACAGGTCTTGCAACATTGCCAGGTTGGTCTCAAATTCCTGAGATTAAGCAATCATCCTGCCTCCGCCTCCCAAGTAGCTGGGACTGGAAAAGTATTCTTAACCATACAAATTTATAGTCCTGCATTTAAAGTTATAAATTATATGGCAGGAAAATGAAAATGACTCAGAGACCTACACTTCCCCTTCGTATTAAAGTTTATTGCTCTGGAATATAAAGGGACATACCAAAGCTATTAAGTTTTTGGATCCAGGCGGCTAATTTGGGCTCCACTTCTTTAAGCTCACTCAAAACATGCAGAAATATTCTTGTCTTTACTCTGTTATTTTCTTGAATCAAGTGGCGAATAACATAGTCCACTGCTTCATTTAGAAAATTTCTGCTAGAAAAACAGGTTGTATAGTCTTCTGTGCTCAAAACTTTCCAAGAAAGCAATTCTTTGAGAAGCATGGCTGTATTCTGTATGCCGGATTTAATCTTGTCAGCATACTGCTTTATACACTGTAGAATTCTGTCATCAAGGAACTGACAACGCTGAACATTGTCTACAGTTTCTAAGGATAAATAACAATGGTTAAAGTGATAAATAGGACTAATTCACAATTACATAAACTTAGAAATAACAAAATTACATAATATAAAATATGATTCAGATTGATTATACTGTTTTACTAAACTCAAGAAACTTTAATTAGAAATATAAACACTTAACAATACTTTTGAAAAGACATGAAAGTGTACGCTAAAATAAACATACCAAAAGTAAGCATTTTACACCCTTCATTCTGAACCATTCATGTAGTAGCATTTGAAACTTAGTTCCTCTAGGCCAGGCGTGGTGGCTCATGCCTGTAATCCCAGCACTTTGGGAGGCCGAGGAGGGTGGATCAGGAGATCGAGACCATCCTGGCTAACACGGTGAAACCCCATCTCTACTAAAAATACAAAAAATTAGCTGGGCATGGTGGCGGGCACCTGTAGTTCCAGCTACTGGGGAGGCTGAGGCAGGAGAATGGCGTGAACCCGGGAGGCGGAGCTTGCAGTGAGCCGAGATCGCGCCACTGCACTCCAGCCTGGGCAACAGAGTGAGACTCCGTCTCAAAAAAAAAAAACAAAAAAAAAAAACAACTTAGTTCCCCTAAAATACGGCCACTTCCTTCAACAATCCTAACCCAGCCTCATCAACTACCTTAACTTTATATACAATAAATATGTTTAGTCATTAAGCACAGAAAGTTAAAATACAATCTCTGAAAGGTTTTTCAGTGGGAATACAATCTCTGAAAGGTTTTTCAGTGTTCTTTACACCAACCCAATTCTGTCTTCGAGTAACAGAAGACAGTGATAGTATTAAATTACTAAGTGAAATCTTTATTTCAATTCAATAATGATGAATATAAGGCCCAAAAGATGCTTACATTTATACATTTAAATGAGAGTATATTATTCTTATCATGCCTTTGGCTTCTGCATACCTTTCTGCTCTTCATTTTTGGGTGGATTACTTTCTCTTAAGTCCTCCTCCATTCTTTCTTGTGCTAACTTTTTTGCTTCTTTTTTTTGGATCTTTCTCTTCAATTTTTTGTCTTCTTTCAGTCTTAGTTTCTCTAGGCTGATAAACATTTACAATTAGTGACAACTCAATGAACTGTTTTCCTTTGACTATCGTAGAAACCATCTTCCAAGCAATATATTAGAAGTTTTCCTTTTTTAATCAGAGCCCGGCCTACATCTTCCATTCAATGTAAGAAACTGTCAGTATTGTCAAAATAAGGGTACTTGTTTCATGAAAACAAAAACCTCAATGATTAGGTGATGTCTAAGGATGCAGTCTACAGATTGTATAGATGTCACTTTCATGTATCTAAGTTACTTCATAGGGTAAACAGAAATAGTACAAATTACTCTGCAAAATAATTCATGTAAACTCTCATTTCTAAGAAAGGTCCCATAGTAAAATATAATTTTCACATCTCAATAATAACCCACAACACTATAATTTGGTTGATCTGGTTACAATGAATTCTCTCCAACAAATAATTCTGTTCATCTTTTCTTTTGCTTTTTCTTGGTCACAAATGATAAAAAAAAATCACTTCTTAGAAAGAAAAACAAGAAGCAGGACCAAAAAGAAAAGAAAAAAGAATCTGAATTATTTGATCTAAACAAAAAGCTATAGAGAAGTAATAATTTAGACAGTACATTGAGTATTTCAGGGTAAAAAATAGTCATAGGTTCAAAATGTTTACTGAAGAGAGATAAAAAGAAAAATATGCTTTTGGAATTAAAGTTTCAACAACTGAGAGCAAACTGTATAGTTTTTATATAAATGCCAAATCTATTAATCAAACATGTAATTTCACAGCATCAAATGTTATAATTTTAATTGTAAATTCAACCACTAGATAAATAATTCTGAATCAAGTTTTTAGTATTTAATCATTCTAGGCTAGTTCTCTTTAAGTTTTAATTTTCCATAAAAATCATTTTAAAAAACACTTATTTGAATATATGTATACACAGCCAATTTTTAAAAAGGCATAATTTAGAAATCTGCATTTAATAGAATTATATTCTAAGAGACATCATCAAACCACTGATTGATTGTTAAAAATCTTACCTAGAACATTTCTGTTTCAGAATAGGTCTTGGAGGAACCTTTTCTTTTATGACCTTGTGTTCAAACTTTAAATAAAACAAAGACATCCAAAATTTGTCTCATACTCCCATGACATAAAACACAAAACCACAAGTAACAAGTATTTCAGAAGCACACATAATGTTCAGTTTGATAGAGAACAGTGATGATGTTCTGACCCAGACAAAAGCCCAGAAAGCTTTAGCAAAATAATTTACTGAAGAGGAACAAGAGGGTAGACACACTTGAGGAAAAAGTTTTTAAAAAATTAAGAGTAAGCAGACGATCTAATAAAGTGTAAATATTATTACAACTACCCACTCTTGCCATTCCCATGTCATGAAGTTAAAGGTAATCCCTCAAGACGCTCTTCCCCCTCCCTAAAAACCTGCACACCCACTACTGCCCAAAAGTTTACCGGGATTAAGAAAATGAAGTTATCAAAAACAGTAAAAATAGTAAAACTAAGATATAAAAAGCCTCCTTTTCCTATTAAGAAATAAAAGAATATAAGAATGCTTTCATTACAATGAAGCATTCTCACATCCCAGTATTTCCTATATTTTCTTAAATGAAGTAATTGTTTCTTTCCTGGAAAAGATCCAAATTACATGATATCTACAAATTCAAATCATGTTTCAAAAGGTGTAAACATTTTGGTTATCTATCTAACAAGGTTTCCCCTTTATTACTTACTTCACATTTAACTTCACCACCACTGCTGAAGATGATAATCTTAGAAATGACACCTTCACAGTCAGGGGTAAGACATATTCCTTGTAGAAAATCCTATTTGATTAAAAAAAAAAAAAACAAGAAAAATGTTATGTCTAGGGGGGATAAATCTATACACGTATACTATTTTTACCACTAGGAACAGTCAAAATACGGACTAAAACCATCTTCAGGCAAGTGGTGAAAATCCTTACTCACTGCCATGCGAATTTTAAGGCTTCCGTGTAGGAAAAATATACTTTCAGGTGTGGGTCTGACCATGTGACTTGTTTTCATCAATGCAAAGTGACCAGACATGACATACACATGTCTAGACAAAAGGTTTAACAAACACTTCATAGACTGGACATTGTTCTTTTTCCTCTGACACAGGAAGATGTTCCAGAAAAGGGTCATTCTTCAACTTAGATTGAGAAACAAGGAATAGAGCCACACAAAATAAAGCTGCTACAGCCCAGTCCCAGCCAACAACTGCAGAACTGCAGGACAAGTCATGTAAGCAAAAAACAAACTTCTCTGATGTATGCCACAAGATATTTGGGTTGCATCACTTCAGCATATCCTAGGGAAAGCTGACTAATTTACAGAGTGTATTTAAAATGATGGGAATAGTTAAGACCACTAAAAGAGGGTATATCACTAGAGAAACTCAATTTAGGTAAGACAAAGACATAGCAGAAGTGACTCAAAGGTGACAGTTATTTACTCATATCATTATATTGTTAATTAATTATGTGAAAATGTACAAAATGTGAGAATTTATTTCTACCATACTTTAATAATTGCTATTGTTAACAGATGCCTAGTACAACTGCCTCATTCTTTCCCCAATAAGAACAGTGGTCTGCATAAGCCTAAGAAGTGTAGGAAAAGGTCCATAGTTTCTATAGATCAGAAACAAATTCTATGAATACAAATAAGATTGTAATACTATGACTTCCCTCAAAGTATGTCTACTTAATGGTAATTAACATCATTATCTTGGTAATAAGAAAATCCCTGGAGAGAAATGGCAGTTTAAAATTGAAGTTGATCTTTCTTCCCAACATTAAAAAAATTGTTTTGAGTTGACTTCTTAGTACAAATTACCTCATCAAATTTTGGTTTTGAAATCCCTAATTCCACATCAAAACTTTCAAGTGGGGCCTGGTGCAGTGGCTCATGCCTATAATCCCAGCACTTTGGGAGGCTGAAGTAGGATCACTTGGGTCAAGGAGTCTGAGGCTGCAGTGAGCTACGACTGCACCACTGCACTCTAGCCTGGGCAACACAGTGAGATCCGTCTCTTTAAAAAAACAAAGCCTCTATGGTTAATGCCTTTATGATTGTCCAAATAAAAACAAATTTGATTTTCCACTTTATTATTAAAGTTATAATTTAAAATTTTCTAATTATGTGCAGAATGTTCAGGAAGGAATTCTTGGGGGAAAAATTGACATACAATAAGTATACTGAAAAATTCAGACAATCCTGTTATGCTTTACCTTGTCAATTTTATCATTAAAGGTTGTAGTTTTTAACTTCTTCCAGCAATTCATGTGAAATTCTATTTTACAGTACTGGCAACAGCTGATGCGTATAAAACCCTAGGGTTACAAAAAATTTTTTAATTAACGTTTTAAAGATGTCTCTGCACACTCACTCACTACAACATACATAAAGACAGAGAGAGCTTGACTAACATATTTATTTCCACAGCATAAAGTTGCATCATTCTTCAAAATATATCAAATATTTTATAAACATTATTTCATCTGATTTACTAACCAGGGACATTGGAACAGCAGGACAAGGGCAGCTACTAGCTTCTTGAATAAACCAGTATAACTCAATTAAGTGCCAGACTTATCTCAAATTTAGGTCTCTAACAGCTAATTCAATGATCACAATGACCTTTAGATTTGGGACTCAAATTTTATGAGAGATCAGAATTGCAACAAATCAGAGGTAACAATCTCACTTTGTTTCCTATCCTCCTAAGGTAGCTTGAAGAGGAAAAAGAATGAGCCAGCCTGCCTTCTCAGGTCACTACCCCAGCCCAGAGCGTTTATACATCAGTGGCTCTGGTTCCCATGTGAGACGATGTAGACCTAAAAAAGTCCAGGAAGGCTGGGCGTGGTGGTTCATACCTGTAATCCCACACTTTGGGAGGCTGAGGGGGTGGATCACGAAGTCAAGAGATCGAGACCATCCTGGCCAATATGGTGAAACCCTGTCTCTACTAAAAATGCAAAAATTAGCTGGGCGTGCTGGGACACGCCTGTAATCCCAGCTACTTGGGAGGCTGAGGCAGGAGAATTGCTTGAACCCAGGAGGCGGAGGTTGCAGTGAGCCAAGATCGTGCCACTGCACTCCAGCCTGGGTGACAGAGTGAGACTTATCTCAAAAAAAAAAAAAAAATCCTGGGAAAGGGGTGGACGACTGCTAACTAGCCAGAGAACTTGGGTGCCTCCAATTACAGATTGTTTTGAGCCCATTTTAAGAAATGATTTTGCAAGTTAATGTCCCACTGTACACTCATTATTTACCTTAAAGTCTGGATCAGTTATGTATATCTGGATCTTAGAATATCCATGGCACTTCTGATAGCAACAAATGGCATCTGGCACTGGAGGGAACTTGCATTCTTCAACAAATTTCTCTAACAGCATCTAAAACAAAATAAACAAAAATGATACCATTACAATACTAATCTGTCAATAAAAATGCTTGTGATTTCAATAACCTCTTGCCATCAAAATATTTTCAGCATAAGAATGACTAAATTTTTTCACCAACAACAAACTACATACAACTTTTAAAGTTTTTCCTTTTAAAAGGAAGGCTGATAAGAGACATAAGAGAGATTTAAAAAGAGGACTGGACAAAATTTTTTTTCAGAATTTCGAAAGAATCAAAATTTTGTCCTGTTACAATCATCAAATCGCATTTTATAATTTACAGCTCTCAGAAATCTTCCATAAGCATTAAGAGGAAGTCAAGTAAGGCAGAATAACCCTTAGGGTAATCCTGAGGACTTTACCAGGCTCCTCTTGCCCAACATCACCTCATCCAGAATCCTAACACTCCCATTATCTTCCTCCTTGCAGCTCTGCCACTGTTGTTTGTGGACTCCCTGGAGAATTATTCCACTGCTAATGAAGCCCCCAAGAGACTCATGCCATGCTTCCAGTGCTGGCTTTTTGTTATCAATAGCTCCTATGCCTCTATCCCAATCTTGTATGAAGAGAGGTAAATCCAAGAATCCCTGTGTTGTATTTTTTATAATAGCTTTGTTGAGACATAATTTACACACTATACAACTCAAATGAAGTGTACGGTTCGGTGTTCTTAGCATATTCACAGGATGTGCTGACATCACCACGGTCTAAATTTAGAACATTTTCAAAAAGAAACTCCATACGCATTAGCAGTCCCTCCTCATTTTCCCCTAACCTTCCAGGCCCAGCAATCACTGGTCTACTTTCTGTCACTATATACAGACTTGCTTATTCTGGAGATTTCATAGGAATGGACTCACACAAGCCCTTTGTGTTTGGCTTCTTTTACTTAGCATAATGTTTCCAAGGTCCATCCATGCTGCAGCATGTTATCAGTACTCTTTTTTTTTTTTGAGACAGCGTCTCACTCTGTCACTCAGGCTGGAGTGCAGTGGCACGATCTCAGCTCACTGCAACCTCTGCCTCCTGGGCTCAACTGACCCTTCCACCTCAGCCTCCTGAGTAGCTGGGACTACAGGCATGTGCCACTATGTTTGGCTAATTTTTGTATTGATGGGTTTCGCCATGTTGCCCAGGCTGGTCTTGAACTCCTGAGCTCAAGCAATCCTCCTGCCTTGGCCTCCCAAAGTGGTAGGATTACAGGCGTAAGCCACCAAGACTGGCCATTTGTTTTTGAGGCAGACTCTCACTCTGTTGCCCAGGCTGCACTGCAGTGGCACAATCAAGGCTCACTGCAGCCTCAACCTCCCAGGTTCCAATACTTACGTACCCATTTATCAGCTCACGAATACTTGGGCTATTTCCCATTTTGGGCTATTATGACTAATGCTGCTATGAACATTCATGTACAAGTTTTTGTGAGAACATGTTTTCCTTTCTCTGTACACACCTAGGAGTGAAACTGCTGGATCATATGGTATGCTACAGTTTGAATGTTTGACCCTCCAAACCACACATTGAAATCTGATCCCCGGTGTTGGAGGTGAGGCACAGTGGGAGGTGTTTTGAGTCATGGCGACGAATCTCTCATGAACAGATTAATTCCCTCCCTGGGGTGAGTGAGTTCTCACTCCATTAGTTCCCTAAAGAGTTGGTTGTTAAAAAGAGCCTGGCACTTCCCTGTCTCTCACTATATGATCTCTACAGACAGGCTCTCCTACGCCTTCTGACATGAGTAGGAGCTATTGAAGGCCTTCACCAGCAGGTGCTGACACCATGCTTCTTATACAGCCTGCAAAACCATAAGCCAACTTTTCTTCATAAATCACCAGTCTCAGGTACTTCTTTATAGCAACACAAATGGACTGAGACATGGTAACTCTATGTTTAACTGTTTGAGGAACTGCCAGACTATTTTCCAAAGCAGCTGCATCATTATACATTACCACCAGCAGTGTCTGAATGTTCCCATTTTTCTACACCCTTGCCAATATTTATTGTCTGCCCACATCCTAATGAGTGTGAAGTGGTATCTCACTGTGGTTTTGATTTGTGTTTCTCTGATAGCTAATGATGCTGAATGTCTTTTCATGTGCTAATTTTGGCCATTTGTATATCTTCGTTGCAGAAATGTCTATTCAGATCCTTTGACTACTTCTTAGATTATTTGTCTTTTTATTATTGAGTTGTAAAAGTTGACTTCTGTGATTTTAAAAGCTTCAGCCAAAATCAAGTTCTGAGTACATGTGAGAGTTCACTACAAGTAAAAGCCTATCTCAGTCATTTCACACGTAAGTCTTTCTAGAACAAGCAAAGCATCTTTATGCTTCTGGATATGAGACTAAATTCATATTTTTCTAAATCTTCAAGTACCATCTCAGTAACTGTGGTAACTTTATGATGAAACAACAATACTATACCTTCCTCTAAGTACAACCAAGTCCAGCAGAGTGCATGATCATGCATACTCAGAAGTCAGAATGCCTGGACTCAAGTTCCAGGACCACAATTTGCTTGCTGTTTCACCTTGAGTGCATCATTTCACCTCTCTAAACTTAACCTTCCTCATCTGTAAAATGGGAATGATCACAGTGCCCCCCTGCACGGGGCTGCTATAAGGATTAAGCATAATGATAAATGAAGGTACACACTGGCACACAGAAAACATTCAATAAATGTCAGAGATTCTCATTAGACAGTAGAGGGGAAATGCGTGTAAGGGAGGTGGGGATGGAATGCTCCTACCTCTCCGCCTCCTGATACCTGAGTCAGTCAATGCAGATAAGCATTCACAGTAAGAAACACTCTGCAAAAATAAATGGTTACCTTTATTTTTTGTGGCTGAGACTCTTCAATAATCACATTACTCGTGGGCCAAGTTAACACTCCAGGAAGACGATAAATCAAGGTTCTTGCTTTCTCAAAGTGATTGAGAGCTTCTAGAAATCTAAAGTCATAATTATGAAAAAGGCATTAAAGATGTAAAATGGTATTTTCACTCCCTTCAAAAGTCACCAAAGATCTCAAGCTTACTGGGACGAATACATTTGATGAATCACTGAACAGCAATATTCAATGTAACCTAAATTTTCTTTAAAAAAACAAAGTCACTATTGCTGTTTGCTATAAAAGTAATATACATTAAACACAACTCGTCTTGGACACTGGCTTTATTGTGGCAGGTGTACACTTTTTTGTTGTTTGTTGTTTATATATATATATTTTTTTTATTATACTTTAAGTTCTAGGGTACATGTGCACAACGTGCAGGTTTGTTACATAGGTATACATGTGCCATGTTGCTGTGCTGCACCCATTAACTGGTCCTTTACCTTAGGTATATCTCCTAATGCTATCCCTCTCCCCTCCCCCCACCTCACAACAGGCCCCAGTGTGTGATGTTCCCCTTCCTGTGTCCATGTGTTCTCATTGTTCAATTCCCACCTACGAGTGAGAACATGCGGTGTTTGGTTTTTTGTCCCTGCAACAGTTTGCTGAGAATGATGGTTTCCAGCTTCATCCATGTCCCTACAAAGGACATGAACTCATCCTTTTTTATGGCTGCTTAGTATTCCATGGTGTATATGTGCCACATTTTCTTAATCCAGTCTATCACTGAGGGACATTTGGGTTGGTTCCAAGTCTTTGCTATTGTGAATAGTGCCGCAATAAACATATGTGTGCATGTGTCTTTATAGCAGCATGATTTATAATCCTTTGGGTATATACCGAGTAATGGGATGGCTGGGTCAAATGGTATTTCTAGTTCGAGATCCCTGAGGAATCGCCACACTGACTTCCACAATGGTTGAACTAGTTTACAGTCCCACCAACAGTGTAAAAGTGTTCCTATTTCTCCACATCCTCTCCAGCACCTGTTGTTTCTTGACTTTTTAATGATCGCCATTCTAACTGGTGTGAGACGGTATCTCATTGTGGTTTTGATTTGCATTTCTCTGATGGCCAGTGATGATGAGCATTTTTTCATGTGTCTGTTGGCTGCATAAATGTCTTCTTTTGAGAAGTGTCTGTTCATATCCTTTGCCCACTTTTTGATGGGGTTGTTTTTTTCTTGTAAATTTGTTTGAGTTCTTTGTAGATTCTGGATATTAGCCCTTCGTCAGATGAGTAGATTGCAAAAATTTTCTCCCATTCTGTAGGTTGCCTGTTCACTCTGATGGTAGTTTCTTTTGCTGTGCAGAAGCTCTTTAGTTTAATTAGATCCCATTTGTCAATTTTGGCTTTTGTTGCCATTGCTTTTGGTGTTTTAGACATGAAGTCCTTACCCATGCCTATGTCCTGAATGGTAATGCCTAGGTTTTCTTCTAGGGTTTTTATGGTTTTAGGTCAAACATTGAAGTCTTTAATCCATCTTGAATTAATTTTTGTACAAGGTGCAAGGAAGAGATCCAGTTTCAGCTTTCTACATATGGCTAGCCAGTTTTCCCAGCACCATTTGTTGAATAGTGAATCCTTTGCCTATTTCTTGTTTTTGTCAGGTTTGTCAAAGATCAGATAGTTGTAGATGTGTGGTATTATTTCTGAGGGCTCTGTTCTGTTCCATTGGTCTATATCTCTGTTTTGGTACCAGTAACATGCTGTTTTGGTTACTGCAGCCTTGTAGTATAGTTTGAAGTCAGGTAGCGTGATGCCTCCAGCTTTATTCTTTTGGCTTAGGATTGACTTGGCAATGCGGGCTCTTTTTTGGTTCCATATGAACTTTAAAGTAGTTTTTTCCAATTCTGTGAAGAAAGTCATTGGTAGCTTGATGGGGATGGCATTGAATCTATAAATTACCTTGGCAATATGGCCATTTTCACGATATTGATTCTTCCTATCCATGAGCATGGAATGTTCTTCCATTTGTTTGTATCCTCTTTTATTTCATTGAGCAGTGGTTTGTAGTTCTCCCTGAAGAGGTCCTTCACATCCCTTGTAAGTTGGATTCCTAGGTATTCTCTTTGAAGCAACTGTGAATGGGAGTTCACTCATGATTTGGCTCTCTGTTTGTCTGTTACTGGTGTATAAGAATGCTTGTGATTTTTGCACATTGATTTTGTATCCTGGGACTTTGCTGAAGTTGCTTATCAGCTTAAGAAGATTTTGGGCTGAGACGATGGGGTTTTCTAGATATACAATCATGTCATCTGCAAACAGGGACAATTTGACTTCCTCTTTTCCTAATTGAATACCCTTTCTTTCTTTCCCCTGCCTGATTGCCCTGGCCAGAACTTCCGACACTATGTTGAATAGGAGTGGTGAGAGAGGGCATCCCTATCTTGTGCCAGTTTTCAAAGGAAATGCTTCCAGTTTTCGTCCATTCAGTATGATACTGGCTGTGGGTTTGTCATAAATAGCTTTTATTATTTTGAGATACGTCCCATCAATACCTAATTTATTGAGAGTTTTAGCATGAAGGGCTGTTGAATTTTGTCAAAGGCCTTCTCTGCATCTATTGAGATAATCATGCGGTTTTTGTCTTTGGTTCTGTTTATATGCTGGATTACATTTATTGATTTGTGTATGTTGAACCAGCCTTGCATCCCAGGGATGAAGCCCACTTGATCATGGTGGATAAGCTTTTTGATGTGCTGCTGGATTCGGTTTGCCAGTATTTTATTAAGGATTTTTGCATGGATGTTCATCAGGGATATTGTCTAAAATTCTCTTTTTTTGTTGTGTCTCTGTGTTATTGCTGTTTTTGAGATGGAGTCTCACTCTGTCGCCCAGGCTGGAGTACAGTGGTGCAATCTCAGCTCACTGCAACCTCCGCCTCCTGGGTTCAAGTGATTCTTTCTGCCTCAGCCTCCTGAGTAGCTGGAACTACAGGCACGCACCACCACACCCAGCTAATTTTTGTATTTTTAGTACAGACAGGGTTTCAACATATTGGTCAGGCTGGTCTCAAACTCCTGACCTCAAGTGATTCACCCACTGGCCTCCCAAAGTGCTGGGATTCCAGGTGTGCGCCACTGTGCCTGGCCAAAAAAAAACTTTCTTTAATTTAAAAAAAACTATAAAGGAGGTTCTAGGCACATTCTAAGATGGCTGGGGGGGGGATTCCCCAAAATCTCATAAAATTTCCCCTAACAAGTTACATGAAAATTTAAAGACAGTTAGAAATTATAAATAATATTCAATCAGTCAACAATTATTTCTTTATAATCTAACATACCTACCTCTATATTGGGTACAAGTGGCAGAAACAGATTTTCTTTTTTTAAAGCTCAAGACATAATCCTGTCCCCTCAGGGACATACTGACATTCGGGGAGACAAGACTAAGAGACATGAGGCATTTAGAGAACAGCTTCAATATTAAACTGCAGGTAAGGATTACAACTACAATAGAGTTCAGAGGACAGACTTTTATATTCCTAACTCACTCATGATGTCTTTGAACACATATATACCTCTTATTTAAAACCATCTTCATACAGATTTTTAAAAAATAATTAAATCAAAAAAATTAAACAATCAGATTTTAAAAACATTAGTTTATATCAATTCACTCACTATCTATAGATGATTATACACTAGACTATTAAATCTTTAATGTCAAATTACTATATTGTTGACTTATTAGATTTAAAATCAGGAAGTACCAAGAACTGCAATGACTGGCCTTGCTTTAACAATTAATACTGATAGTGAAATTTCAGGTCCTCAAAGTAAATCACAATTATGATAGTGTGCTACAGAGGAGATATCAAAATAATTCTAGAAAATGGATCATTATCACATTGGATTTTAAATGAGTTACCAGCCTAGAGCTTAAAGTAGTGTCATTTCTACTAACCTGTTTTTTTTCAAATATACTTTTCCAATTCCACAGTAGGCCAAGCAATCAAGGCCCTCACTGGGGTAGTGTTCAATAATCCTCTTAAACTGGTTTTCGGCTTCAGATAATTCCTTGAATAGCAGTGAAAACAATGATCACTTACATACAAAGAGAAATACTGAAATAAATTTTATCTAAAGGTTGATTTTTTTTATAATATTAAAATAACAACTGCATATCCCCAAATTCCTGTGGCAAAATTATACCTCTGTGTTTCACTTTCTTAGGAATTATATAAATTTCTGATCATATGGATAGTCAGAGACACAACCAAACCAATCCTGCTGAACACATCAGACAATCAACCTATAAGCATTTACTAGTACGCACTAAGGGCCTGGCGTGTGCTGGCTAATACTAAAAAGAGTCAAATCGTGTTTTTGTTTTTGTTTTTTAAAAAAGGCTAATTATGGTGTAAACACACCATAACATAGATCCTATTAAGTGCTAATCCCTTGGAAGGAATGCCATTCCAATGACGTTGTCACAGTCTTTTGTGGCACAAGACGGATGAAAGCTCTGTCTTAAAAACAGCCCATTAGTAAACACTTAACATAGCTTAGAGTACATTCTTTTTTGAATATTCTCAACAGTGAAAAACCACTAAGTTGAATGAATTTTGTTTTTGGAAAACATCCAAAAGATACATAGTTCTAAGAAATACTGGTAACCCTACTGTGAGTGAAAAAAAGAAATGTCACTACAAAATGGAGCTTTGAGGCCAGTTCCAAAGGAGGCATTCTAAAAACGTTTGAAGCAAGGGCTGTCCTCTGATGAAATTCTTTTAAACATGTAAGTTCTACTATAACACATTTTTTTTTTCTAAATCAGTCTCGCTATTTTACATTAAATCACAAATGTAATAAATGATTTCTTCAATTCTAATAAGGTAAAATATGGTATTTATTATTATTCTGTCAGGAATAAAATGAAAATCATGAAGTTCTGTCTCCAACTGTCTCTTGGAAAATAGAATTAGAGAGCATTCATGGGAGACATTATTAATCTGTGACACTGAGATCAAGGAAAATGAATCTTGGGCACTGTCAACTTCTGGGAGAGAACAGAACGTAAAAGACTACTTAGATCCTCACTAGGTGGCAAGTTAGAGTTAAACCTTCATCTAGACAGGGAAAAATAGAGACCAAATTATATATTATACTTGAGGTAATTCTAGAGCATTTCAACATTTATAGCAAACTCAAAACCTCAGAAAGCAAAGTTATAATGCCAAACAGTATAGGTAGGTAAACATTCCAGGAGAGCCAGGCAGGAGCATGACTAATGGAAATCCTGGGAGCTCATGTCTATACACTGACTACATGCAGTTATAGGAAGCCTGCAATCTAGAAATAATACAATATCCAAGTACTTTCTACGTACAAATAAGAGATACTAACGTTATCATTGTTACCTTTGTTTTTCTAGGAAAACAGCATAACACGAAACCTCCCCAGGTCCATTCCCTCCTGGCCATCACTAAAGGCAGCCATTATCTTAAATTTTATATAAACATAATCCATATTTTTTCACTTTTTTACAAGATGCACAGAATTCATAAACAGTATATAGTACTGTTATGTATGTTTTCCAAAAAGTATATAAGTGGGATCACAATGTTTATGTCCTCCAACTTGCCTTTCCCTCAAGATTATGTTTCTGAAATCTATCAATCATGATACATTACATACTAATTTTTACACAAATAAAAAGTAGATTCCCACTGATTGCCTGGCAAAGCCTTTTTCTAATAGGAAACTAAATATTCTTTAAAAACACAAACTAAATTAAACTGAGATATTTCAGACAAAATTATCAGAAGGTACAGAGAAGAAAATGGGTAAAAATGAGAAAATAATTTTTATAAGATATGTCAATATCATTTTAATTGTTTATTACCACTGTTACAAATCTTACCTCAGGCTGTCCTATTCCAAGGAGAGAAATGGCAAGTCCATAGACGACCAAAACATAGTTAATCATGGCCAGGTTCAATTGCTGTCAATAAAAATGCCTCAGTTAAAAATCTGAATATAATTCTGCCCAATTTGCATCCAGTCACAACAGAAAAAGAAGTGTAATAGAATCTCACTAATCAATCTTACGAATCAATGATTGTCATAAAATCTCACTAATCAATATGATTGGCCAAATCAAATTAGAAAAGAGATTTTTGTTCCAATAAAGCAGTTATCCTGCTATTTAAAACACAGAATCACTGTCTCAGAGTTCCTTGAGGCATGATTCATAATAGATTAATTTATAATTAAAGTCATATTATTTTGCATATAAGCAGTACTAGTGACAGATTAAGACATTTACTTAGCTATTATAGGCATACCTCAGAGATACTGTGGGCTCGGCTCTGGAGCATCACAATAAAGCAAATATCACAATCAAGTGAGTCTCACAAACTTGTGGGTTTCCCAGTGCATATTAAAGTTATGTTTTAGCGATACTGTAGTTTATTAAGTGTGTAGTAGCATTACGTCCATTAAACAATGTACACACCTTAATTTAAGACTTTATTGCTACAAATGCTAATGATCATCTGAGGGTTTACTGAGTCATAATCTTTTTTTAAACTTTTTTTAAAATTATACTTTAAGTTCTGGGATACATGTGCAGAAGAACGTGCAGGTTTGTTACACAGGTATAACACGTGCCACAGTGGTTTGCTGCACCCATCAACCGTCATCTACACTGGGTATTTCTAGTGAGTCATAATCTTTTTGTTGGTGGATGGTCTTGCCTTGATATTGATGACTGCTAACTGTTCAGGGTGGTAGTTCCTGAAAATTAAGGTGCTGTGGCAATTTCTTAAAATAAGACAATGAAGTCTGTCATACTGATTGACTCTTACTTTCAGAAAAGGTTTCTCTGTAATGTGTGATGCTGTTTGACAGTATTTTACCCACACTAGAACTTCTTTCAAAATTGGAGTGAATCCTCTCAAATCCTGCCACTGCTTGATCAACTAAGTTTCTCATTTCAACAATATTCCAGCATCTTCACAAGGAGTAGATTCCATTTCAAGAAATGACTTTTTTTGTTCATGTATAAAAAGCAACTCCTTATCCCTTCAAGTTTTATCCTGAGGTTGCAGCAATTCAGTCACATCTTCAGGCTCCACTTCTAATTCTCTTGCTTGTTCCACCACATCTGCAGTGACTTCCTCCACTAATGTCCTGAACCCCTCAAAGTCATCCATGAGGGCTGGAATTTACTTCTTCCAAACTCCTGTAAATGTTGATATTTTGATCTCTCACATGCATCATGAATGTTCTTTATGGTATCTAGAGTGGTGATCCTTTCCAGAAGGTTTTCAATTTACTTTGTCCAGATCCAACAGAGGAATCACTATGGCAGCTATAGCCTTATAAAATATGTTTCTTAAATAATAAGACTTGAAAGTCAAAATGACTCCTTGATCCATAGGCTACAGAATGGATATTGTGTTACCAGGCATGAAAACAACATTCATCTCCTTGTACATGTACACCACATCTCCTGGGCAATCAGGTGCATTGTCAATGAGCAATAGTATTTTGCAAAGAATCTTTTATTCTAGCAGTAGGTCTCAACAGTGGGCTTAAAGTACTTAGTAAACCATGCTGTAAACAGATGTGCTGCCATTCATGCTTTGTTGTTCCATTTCTAGGGCTCCAGGCAGAGTGAATTAGCATAATTCTTAAGGGCCTGAGGATTTTTGGAACATAAATGAGCACTGGCTTCAACTTAAGTCACCAGCTGCATCAGCCCCTAATGAGTAATGAGCCCATCCTTTTTGAAGCTTTGAAACCAGACACTGACTTCTCTCTAGCTATGAAAGTCCTAGATGGCATCTTCTTCCAACAGAAGGTTGTTTAGTCTCCATTGACAATCTGTTGTTTAGCGTAGCCACCTTCATCAATGATCTTCACTAGATCTCGATAACTTACTGCAGCTTCTCCATCAGCACTTGCTGCTTCACCTTGCACTTTTATGTTATGGAAATAGCTTCTTTCCTTAAATCTCATGAACCAACTTCTGCTAGTTTCAAACTATTCTTCTGCAGCTTCCTCACCTCTCTCAGCCTTCACAGAATAGAAGAGTTAGAGTCTTGCTCTGGATTAGGCTCTGGCTTAAGAGAATGTTGTGGCTGGTTTGATCTTCTACCCAGACCACTAAGACTCTCTGCATCGGCAAGAAAGTTGTTTCACTTTCTTGTCATTCATGTGTTCACTGAAGTAGCACTTTTAATTTCCTTCAAAAACTGTTTCTTTGCATTCACAATTTGGCTATTTGGCACAAGAGGACTAGCTTTCTGCCTGTCTTGGCTTTCAACATACCTTCCTCACGAAGCTTAATCATTCTAGTTTTTTATTTAAAGTGAGAGACGTGCAACTCTTCCTTTCACTTGAATACTTAGAGGCCATTGTAGGGTCATTAATTGGCCTAATTTCAATATCGTGTCTCAGGGAACAGGGAGACTTAAGGAAGGGGGTGGAGATAACAGCTGGTTGGCAGAGCACTCAGAACACACACACACAATTTATTAAGTTCCCTTTCTTACATAGGCACAGATTGTAGTGCCCCAAAATAATTACAATAGTAACATCAAAGATCACTGATCACAGATACAGTGATAATGATAATGAAAAAGTTTGACATATTGTGAGAATTACCAAAATGTGACACAGAGACATGAGGTGAGCACATGCTTTCAGAAAACAGACTTGCTTGACACAGGGTTGCCACAAATCTTCAATTTGTAACAAATGCATTGTCTGCAAAGTACAATAAAGCAAAGCATAATGAAACGAGGTGTGCCTGTACTTTCTTCCTGGGTGAAAAGGTGTGACTAAAGATAGTTGAAAACCTTGATTCAGAGAAAAAGCCAGTTCTAATGACCCTAAACTATAGTCAAGGAGAGAATATAAACATGGATCACATACTGAACATACTCATGAAGTCTGAATTGGAGCAGTACCTGCTTCCCATAACCTGAAGTAGATTCAGCCAATCTCAGCAAGGTCTTAGGTACATTACTACAATGAGTTAAGCCCTTGGTTCTCTTCTGCATTCATCTGAGGTGCATTAGCATTGATAAACAAGTTATGATATGGCAAATTTACCTTTATTTTTTGAGGATCTAAACCGTTCAGCAACTCTGTAAAGGCCTGTGCAGCGCTGCGGCAACGCTGCTCCAATAAGGCCATATAGCCATCTTGAATTAAGCTTCTCAGCATTTTCATTATATTAGCAAAATCCTGGAAAAAAGAAATTCTATTTCAGTAACCTGAATCTACACATTTTTAATTTAAAACCTAAGATGCCAAGTTCATAGTAATATTTTATAACTAATGATAAAATGTTTACATCAATACCCAAACTACCCTTATTCATCATATTCCTTTCTCAGCACCACACTTTTAAAGTGAAAATGAAAAGGTACTGCTTTACCATCCTAATTGCAACACCTCTTCTGTTGCCTGTGACAAAGGTGGCTCATTTTACACTACATGGTACTAAGCCTCACTTGCTCTCCAGACTAAACAGACAGTATTTTTAAGTTTTAACAATATATATGAAAAACAACAGCCATCATTTAAATAAGTAAGTTGTTTGGGAGTAGAACAATTAGACACTTAAGAACATACAATCAATATTCTGATCACTACCAGATTTTAACAACTGCCATCCTGCTCTGAAACAAACCTTAATTCTAAGCAAGAAATAAATACTGTAATTGTTAACTGTACTCCTGCCTAACATATATTTGAATATAAGTAGATAAAATTACTGGGAGAGATAACAATAGGTTAAATGCAAAAGGAATAACATAAGGAATAAAAAATAAAAACAAAATTGCTATCATGTGCCCTTAAAGTGAGAAAAACTTTGTAATTTGAATACGCATTATAATTTGAATTCATATTTTAGTGACATGGGAATAGCTGTAAGTCACCAAAGTTCCACAAAGATTGGAGAGGCAAGGCTAGACATTAAGCCTAAAATCTCCTCACTCCTTGCTATACACGTGTGCGCCATTCAAAGGGGCCGCAAATGCAAATATGTATGTTGTATTCCTCACCATTCCTAACAATGAAGATCCAAAAGGAGGCCCCACTGCACAAATCACAGAGGAAAAAGCAGTTTGGTTACCCATTAACAAAAGCCTTCTGCTGGCTTTTTTTTTTTGAGATGGAGTCTTGCTCTGTCGTCCAGGCTGGAGTGCAGTGGCAGATCTCGGCTCACTGCAACCTCCACCTCGGGGTTCAAGCGATTCTCCTGCTTCAGCCTCCTGGGTAGCTAGGACTACAGGTGCACGCCACCACACCCAGCTAATTTTTTGTATTTTTAGTAGAGATGGGGTTTCGCCATGATGGCCAGGATGGTTTCAATCTCTTGACCTTGTGATCCGCCTGCCTCGGCCTCCCAAAATGCTGGGATTACAGGTGTGAGACCCTGCACCCGGCCTCTGCTGGCTTTTGAACCAATGAATCAAAGTTTGGCAGAACGCTCCCCAGAATATGCATAGAAAAGAGCAGCTTTCAGAAAAACTTAAAAGCTCGATGACAGCCATACTTGTTTTAAGATATGAACTTGAAGTTATAAATGATGATATACTAGCCCTACAAATACTAGTTATTAGCCTTGCATAAACTCATTCAATTTTAATCTTGTTCTCATTCTTTTTCTTTCTTCTTTAAAAGAGACAGGGCTCCCAAACTAGTGAGAGGCTTAAAAAAGAAAACAAAAGAAAATAATAAATAAATAAGACAGGGCCTTCCTATGTTGCCCAGGCTGGAGTGCAGTGGTTAATCCTCTCACCTCAGCCTCCTGAGGAGCTGGGACTACAGACACGTGCCACCATGCCCAGCTTTCTTTATCAGTCTAGAAATCAGATCCATACAGCCTCATGCTTTCATTGGAAGTCACTTCCCTCAATACGACATAAATGATCTGTCCTGAAAGCTCCAGCAGAGCAGGCCGAAATCATATCACTGTGCACCCAATCTCTCTCACTCCCCAGCATATGGAGAGAGCCTCAATCAAACTGTGTTGAATGAACAAACAGAGGCTCAAAAACAGCGATCATATTTATTTAAATAGTCTTTTCATCTTCACAGGCTGTCATCTATTTAAGTATTTCATGGTGTTTAGAGTCAGTAAAAATCAATGTAAAAAGATATAATTTAAAATCTCCAACTTTAAGAAATTCTCAAAAATGTTTTTAAGCAAATGATTAGGAATCTATTTTAGTTCTTTGTAAAATATCTGTTATGTATACCTAAAAAAAGATCCACATGTTTTGAAATGAGTATTCTATTCCATGTTAATGTATATTTTCCATCATGAAGTAACGTAAAAAGAATTTTATATACAACATTATCTGATTAAGTTAAATCATTTAAAGAATAAAAGTTTGCCCTCTAATGATTTTAGAATAAGTATAATGAAACTGTGTTTAAATCTTTTAAAAATATTTAAAGTTAATACTACTGTTAACTCTTTGAGAAGCAAATAATTCCACAGTGCTAATCATTAGTTAAACCTCTAGCTAACGTAATTATCAAGTTAATATTTAAATTAGTGATAGATTGGATTCTTAGCAGTCATATATATTAAATGATATGTCTATAATAGCTGAGTGCAATAGCTCACACCTGTAATCCCAACACTTTAAGAGGATTGCTTGAGGCCAGGAGTTTGAAACCAACCTGGACAACACAGTGAGACCCCATCTCTACAAAACTACAATATAATACAATAATTATATAAAAAAAACTTAGAGATGTACATGATTAGAACCTTATTCATGTGAACAATGTTTTGTTCAAAGAGTTTTGCTTTTTCCATTGGAAAAGCTTCTCCATTACCTGGTGTGCAGCTCTGGAAGATTTAGAAAACTGTTTCTCCAAGATGTTCTTCAAATCTGCTGGTAAAGTCAATGGTGAACTAGAACTAAAAGAAAAAAAGCATTTTTAAAAATCATTTTAAAATAAAAGTTCTACTCATATAAAGAAAAAATAGGGCCAGGCACAGTGGCTCATACCTGTAATCCCAGCACTTTGGGAGGCCGAGGTGGGTGGATCACCTGAGGTTAGGTGTTCGAGACCAGCCTGACCAACATGGTGAAACTCTGTCTCTACTAAAAATACAAAAATTATCCTGGCGTGGTGGTGCATGCCTGTAATCCCAGCTACCTGGGAGGCTGAGGCAGGAGAATTGCTTGAGCCCAGGACCGAGATCTTACCACTGCACTCCAGCCTGGGCGACAGAGCAAGACTCCATCTAAAAAAAAAAAAAAGAAAAAAAATAGAATCTGAATATTAGTTCGCTCTCATCCCTCCAATGTGACAGATAGAAGAAAAAAATATATTTACTGAAGGCCATGTAAAATAGTGAGTAAATGGTGAGCCATACAAGTTGGCCATTCTTTGGGGGGAATTGGCATTTTGGCAATATTTCTATTAGAAATCTCTAAATCCAATGCAATCTCAATAAACATTCCTATAAAATCAGAGGTGGAGGGAAACCAGATGAATTGATTA
Source organism: Homo sapiens (assembly GCF_000001405.40). Taxonomy (NCBI): domain Eukaryota; kingdom Metazoa; phylum Chordata; class Mammalia; order Primates; family Hominidae; genus Homo; species Homo sapiens. Next base: position 37,132,091 of record NC_000021.9, on the reverse strand, counting down.
TAAAGATGATATGGAAAAACAGCTTTTGAAAAAAGAGAAAAATTAAGGGGTATTTGCCTTGATCTGTAGTCACTAGTAACAACATGGGCCTAAAACAATAAATGTGCCCAATAAACAGTGCAAAGATGTTCAATGTGATGGGAAAATCTAATAATAAGATACAAGCATTTCAGAAAGTCTGACTCCCTAAGTTGGTGAGAGTAAGAAAATCTGAGGCACTCGATGTGGAGTTTTCTGAAAGTACTTCTGACATCCAATGTGTAGATTTTCTCCAATACCAAATATTGTCATTTTTCCGTATCAATTCAACTGTCCAACACAAAATGAGTGTGCAATAATGCAATTCAGTTCTGATACTAACTCCCAGAGTTAGCGCAGACCTCACAGGGTAAAGAATCAGTCCCACCAGACTGCCCTCACTTCAGCTGCAAGTGGGGTGCACAGGTCACCCACACTCCTGCCCTGCTGACTACAAGAGGGTTCCCATGAGTCCCTCTTCAGGCTCACTAGAAAAACAATGGAACTCAAGGAAGTGCTTACTATTACCAATTTATTATAAAGGATACAACTCAAAAACAGCCAAGAGGAAGAGATGCATAGGAAGGTTGGGGGGCGCGAGGAGCTTCATGATCCCCTTGGGCATGCCACTTTCTCAGCACATCAATGTGTTCGTCAGCCCAGAAGCTCCCCATGCCCTCTTTTAAGGACTTTACTAAGGTTTCATTATGTAGGTATGTAGGTACAATTAAATCAACCACTGGCCATTGGTGCCTAACCTCAATTTCCAGCCCCCCTCCTCTCCTTGGAGGTCAGGTATGAGGCTGAAAGTCTTAACCCTCTAATCAGGTGTTTGGTCTTTCCAGTGACGAGACCTCCTCCTGAACTATCTGAGGCACTACCTTGAGTCACCTCATTAGCATAAACTCAAGTACATGGAAAGGGGCTCATGATGAGTAACAAAATACACTCCTATCATTCAGGAAATGCCATGGGTTTTGGGAGCTCTGTACCAGGAACTGGGACAAATACCAAATATATATATATTTTTATTATACCACACCCTCCTGTAGATTAGTCGGAGTGTGAACAGTGCCTATTTTCTAAGAGAACCATTTCACAATATCTGTCAAAGATAAAATTACATATCCCCTTTGATACAGCAATCCCACTACAGAAACAACTTCTATACATTATTTACAAAGTATTTATTGTAAATATACATGAACAGGTGCACAAAGGTGTATGTGCAAGGATGTTTGAAGTACTGTCTGATCTATCCCTCTCAAAGGAAGAAGAAAAAGAGAGAGATGGATAGAGGGATAGAAAGTGAGGGAGGAAAAGAGGAATGAAGAGCCTAAATGCACAAAAATGGGGGATACAGCCATATTACAAAATACTGTACAGCAAATGAAGAATGGAAGAGCTCTGTGTTCTGAACATGGGAAGAAACACAAGATATTTTGTAAAAGACAAAAAGCAAGCTGTAGGCCAGAGTCATTCTAATAATAATGAAAATGATGGTGGTAACAGTAATGACGACTAAAGTACACTGAAGATTTACTATGTTCCAGGGCTCTAAGTGTTTTACGTGGTTATCCCATTTAATGAAGAAATAGTCCCATATGGTAGATATTACCTAATAAAGGAGTGTTCAGTTGGAAAAGTGAAACAAAATATCAGAAAAATAAATTTTTTTTAAATAAAACAGGTTAAAATTACAACTCTGCATTTAAAAAATTATCATATATTAATATCTGGTTTCTTTAGGGGTACAGGGGAGGGCAGGGAAGAAGACTCATGATTTTTCTATCAAATAATAGAAAAACATAATAATATGCTATATCCTTGCTTTGTATTTAATTTTTGTAGCAGCATCCAAAAATGGTCATTTTTGAAAAGAAATGAGACTTCACTGATTTTTTTTTAGTGTTTTGATATTCAAATCATTCCCCCTGAAGCATCTATCATGGATTCAGATTAAGAAATGGAGAAGAAATTGAAAACCAGTGTATTGTGGCAGACATGGCTTTGCTGTTTCTCCAACATCACTTTAATTCACTTCATAAACTTCTGTATTAAAAGATTTACAATTTCACATTGTAATCAATTTATATCTTGTTGTCAATGGGGTGTTAACAATAAAGACAGGAGGCAAGGCCAGGCACACGCCTGCAATCCCAGCACTCTGGGAGGCCAAGGCAGAAGGATCACTTGAGGCCAGGAGTTCAAGACCAGCCTGGGCAACAGAGCAAGACCCTGTCTCTAAAAAACATTTAGTTTTAGTTATCCAGTCATGGTGACGTGCACCATAGTAGCAGTAGTAGTCCTGGCTACTTGGGAGCTGAGGCAAAAAGAATCACTAGAGTCTAGGAGTTCAAGCCTGCAGTGAGCTAGGGTTACACCACTGCACCGCAGCCTAAGTGATAGAGCAAGACCCTATCTCAAAAAAACAAAAAAAAAGATAGGAGGCAATTAATTACTGTTAATTTTCATGGGGATGTTTGATAGAATTCATTTTAGAAGTAGTCAGAATTCATTAGGAAAGATTTTCCTCTAACAATAATTACTCAAAAGGGCATCTGAAATATGCATACCCATGTCTGCGTATGCAGAGTAAGTTTCCCAATAGTCATGAAACTGTTAACAGTGTATTCCTGGAGGAGGCCTTAGAGAAGGGACTGCAGGAGGGTCAAATGAGGTGAGCAGGGAAGGAGGCTTCATGTGCACCTTATATCTCTCTTAATGCTTTTTCCTTTTAGAGTACATATTCTGGGATTTAAGAAATTAATATGGAAATATTTCATATTATGTGACTTTCAGAAGTCAATATATTAATATCCAGGATTAATAATCCTTTAGCCAAAAATTATCCTTTCCTAAAGATATGCTTTTGATATTTGAAAGGGATTTTGGTAGTCATCATAATACATACATTAAAGTAGCTAATACTCGAAAAACAATTTTTTTTCCTTTTTCTTGGGAAGAGTATATTAAGGGGAAAAAAACATACCTTAGAGAAAAAACATACCTGAACTTTTCTGATTCATTGTTTCGAGATTTTTGTTTTCCTTTATGTTTTGGAGGCTGACCTGTGAACACAAAAGTATTTGTTCCTAAAATCTGTACATAAAAATCTACAAGCCTGAGAGTAAAACTATTTTTAAAATATAAATTGGAGTAAGAAAACAGAAGCAGAAATGTGGTACGTGGGTGTAACTACAAAAGGGTAAGCCAAAAAAGAAGCTACTGATGATATTTTTCTATATATAATAAATTAAATTATTAAAGATCAATTATAATAGTGATCATTATGATTTAGGTCTACCATAGATACAGAGAGATACAGGAGATAACTCCTGTTCTCAGTTTATAATCAGATGGGGTGAAAAGACACATCACTTCAGTAGTTAAACAACAATCATCCTTATGAAGAAAAGAAAATACTGTGTTGTTATTGACATATAAATTGCATAGTCAGTAATATCTCTCACAACTCACAAAAGGGAAAAATCACCTAAGCTGGAGTGGCTGAGAAAAATGTTAGTGAGGATATGGCATTTGTGTTCGGTTTTGAGGAAGAAGTACGATTTGGATAGAATGGCCTGAACTCAAGAGTAGAGAGTTCATTTCAGAAGCACTAAGTAAACCTGTGTGATTTCAAGACCTCAAAAAGGGTGGAAGGCTGGAAAAGGGCTGCTAAGGCAGGCTGAGGTGAGTGTTTACAGACCCTTAGCTTCAGATCCAGCTCTGTGAGCCCAGATTTATTCTGCTGGCAGGAGTAGGAAACCACTGCATATTTTTGGGCAGGGAGAGCCATGCTCAGAGCTGTGTAGAAGAACTGGTATGGCAGGAGGAGCAGGGTGCATCTGATGAAGGTTTAAGGGGAGGGCACAGACACAAGTCAGAGCCAATGTAATAAGGAGGGAATGAGAGCCTGGGCTTTGGTGGCCTCAGAAAACAAAAGCAGCTTTTGGAAAGGTAGAAGAATTCTAGTTTGATTTCCATTCTGTGACCTTGGACAAAACTACTTAACCTTAATCCTGGAACCTCAATTTCTTCCCCTGTATGTAAATGCTGAAGGGTGGACAGAATTTATTTAATTAAATGATAGTAATGGCCTGAGAAATATGAAGAAATTAAAAGCTATCTTCCAAAAAAAAGTTTTATCCTCAAAGATGTTTTATATGCTGTTGGAACTGCATCAGGTAGGACAACTGCCTGAGTTTCCCCTCCCTATCATTACGCTAATGTGCTAACCAAATGGAAATGCTCAATACTAAGTAGCTGTATCTATGGAACTAACTGAGCCTGAGCGAACATGGAGCTGCAGGTCACAAAAAATAGAAATGGCTGCTAGAAGCAAAACTATGGAAAGAAAAACCAACCACCCAACAAACAAGACAAGGGAAAAGAGAGGATCACTAACTAAAAAATCAACAATCTCACCTGAAGAATCCTGGGAGGAACACCACCAGGCTTGAGGTCAGTCACTGTTATGTGTGACCACAACCTTAAGCCATCAAGAAAACCTGTATTTTCCTAAATTCCGTGTTAAAAGGCAGGGAAGCATGTAATATACTTTAGAGGATTTTCATCAAACTCTGGTGGTATTAAGATTCAGAAATAAATGAAGCACAAAAATATTCACTTCTCCAGAACCTTCATCTCCAAATGATGCCAAGTAATGAGGTTCTGCGGTGTCTGTGTTTACTAGATATGTAAATAAATACATGCACTGAGCACACACAACTTAAAACAAATGAGACTTAGCCTACAGCACTGTTATGGTCTGGATATCTGTGTCCCCGACAAGATTCACATGTTGAAAACCAAATCCTCAAGGCGATGGTAATAGGAAGTGGAACCTTTGGGAGGAATTAGGTCATGAGGCTGTCCCCTCATGAATGGGATTAGTGCCCTTATAAGAAGAGACCCCAGGCTGGGCGTGGTGGCACACACCTGCAATCCCAGCACTTTGGGAGGCCAAGGCGAGAGGATTGCTTGAAGCCAAGATTTCGAGACCAGCCTGGCCAGCATGGCAAAACCTTGTCTCTGCTAAAAATACAAAAATTAGCCTGGTGTGGTAGTGCATGCCTGTAATCCCAGCTACTCGGGAGGCTGAGGCAGGAGAATTGCTTGAACCCAGGAGGCAGAGGCTGCAGAGAGCCCAGATCATGCCACTGCACTCCAGCCTGGGCAACAGAGCAAGAATCTGTCTCAAAAAAAAAAAAAGAAAGAAAAAGAAAAGAGACCCCAGAGGGCTGTCTTGCTCCTTCTACTACATGAGAACACGGCAAAAAGATGGCCATCTATGAACCGGGAAGAAGACCCTCAGCAGACATCGAATCTGTTGACATCATGATGATGAATTTCTCAGCTTCTAGAAATGTGAGAAATAAATGTTTGTTGCTTATAAGCTATCTAGTTTATGGTATTTTTGTTACAGCAGCATCTGTTCTCAATATGGGTGATATCACCCCCAATAGGGTGAAAATTAGTTATTGGGAGACAAAATCAATTCCTTTTATACATAAAGCGCAGATGCACATATGGTACATAAACAGCTATTAAAATTTTATGAGGGAGAACAATTAGATTTAAAAAGGTCTAAACAGGCTCCTAGCAGGTGGGAGGAAGGGAGGCAATAATAAACTTTCAATAATGAGAAACAACAGCCTAAAAAAAATTAAGAAGCAGACCAAAAAGAGCTATGTACTTCATCTTTTCCTTTCCTTTTATTTGAATTTCCAAAATTACATTCACTAAATAATACAAAAAGACTGAGCATTGATTTCAAATAAATATTCAATATTTTCTTAACATAGAAGCATTATAAAGTAAAGGAGAACAAGAGTGGATATAAGCAAGGCTTGTGCACATTGTAGGGCATCCAAATTTAGGAGACATTATATTAACTTGGCAACAATTGATATAAAAACAATACTCACTTGATGGTGGTGAAAATTCAGGATGACAGTCACAATCATCTACCTTCAACGCCTCATCCGCCACCTGCCAATGAAATTAGTGAGACTTAAAAAAAAAAAAAACAACCCAGCCATGAAGAATTCAATAGCTATATAAAAGAATTTAGAATAGAATAGGATAGAATTCACCCTAGCAGCTAAAATATGCAGCTGGTTATTAAGCCTAAATGTATAAACAAGCAAACAAAATGATAACTAATGATAAGGATCATGATATGGCAACGAACAAATTCTTGAATGACAATTCTATTTCTATTGCCTAGCACGATGTCTGACATGACAATTGTTCAATAATGTTTGAATTAACACTATCACATCTGTACATAAAAATCTACAAGCCTGAGAGTAAAACTATTTTTAAAATATAAATTGGAGTAAGAAACAGAAGCAGCAATGTGGTATGTGAGTGTAACTACAAAAGGGTAAGCCAAAAAAGAAGCTACTGATGATATTTTTCTATATATAATAAATTATTAAATATAATCAATTATTAAAGATCAATTATAATAGCGATCATTATTATGATTTAGGTCTACCATAGATACAGAGAGATACAGGAGATAACTCCCGTTCTCAGTTTACAATCAGATGGGGTGAAAAGACACATCACTTCAGTAGTTAAACAACAACCATCCTTATGAAGAAAAGAAAATACTGTGTTGTTATTGACATATAAATTGCATAGTCAGTAATATCTCTCACAACTCACAAAAGGGAAAAATCACTTAAGCTGGAGTGGTTAAGAAAAATGTTAGTGAGGATACAGCATTTGTGTTTGGTTTTGAGAAAGAAGTACGATTTGGACAGAATGGCCTGAACCCAAGAGTAGAGTTCATTTCGGAAGCACTAAGTAAACCTGTGTGATTTCAAGACCTCAAAAAGGGTGGAAGGCTGGAAAAGGGCTGCTAAGGCAGGCTGAGGTGAGTGTTTACAGACCCTTAGCTTCAGATCCAGCTGGAAATGCTCAATACAATTCCAGATCCAGCTGGAGATGCTCGGTATAAACTCCTCTCCCTAACTGAACACAGTCTCTTAGAAATTTTCAATATTATCAACAAGAGGACTTTTCCAACAACCGAAGGGAAAAGATACAAAGAGAAGCGGCAAAATGGTTATTTTTAAAAATATGTTGGAAACACATAAATGTGATTTCAAAAGAAATTCTGTGACTTTCAAATATTATTTACGTAGTTATATGAGATACTCAGATTATTTATTTAAAAGAGAATCATTATTTCAGTAACAATAGGCAAAAAGGGTTCAAATCGCCAAAAATTTGGTTTCTATTACCACCAAAATATTACTGTAAAAATATGAGACTATCTATCCTTGAAAAAAACTGTAGTTTTCAATGGAGCTTACCTTTAGATTCTGATTACCACCGTTGGCCATTTCGTGATTAATTTTTCTGAAATCTCTTTCCTTCTCCACAAAGTTAAGTGAAGTAGTAAATATAGGTGCTGATAAACTCCTAGGTGTGTAGGCCCTAAGTGGGGGAAAAAAGGAATTATTATACATTTTTTGAAAGTTATCCTTTGAATGAACAGGTTGCAGCAATCACAGCCTTTTTTCCTTGAAAGCAAGGTATTATTGTTTTAAAAAGATTTCCTACCTGTGAGATGGGGCTTTATACATAAACATTATTTTATATTTGGCATTAAACTCAAAATAATAAAGAACAGGTCAAGGGCTGGGTGCAGTGGTTCACGCCTGTAATTCCAGCACTTTGGGAGCCCAGGGCAGGTGGATCAGCTAAGGTCAGGAGTTCAAGACCAGCCTGGCCAACATGGTGAGACCCCCGTCTCTACTAAAAATACAAAAATTAGCCAGGTGTGGTGGCATGTGCCTGTAATCCCAGCGACTGGGGAGGCTGAGGCAGGAGACCTGCTTGAACCCAGTAGGCGGAGGTTTCAGTGACCCAAGATCGTGCCACTGCACTCCAGCCTAGGTGACAGAGGGAGACTGTCTCAAAAAAAAAAAAAAAAAAAAAAAGAACAGTTCAAAAAGAAGTATTCTGCGTTCTAACATTTAAATATCAGCTGGGCACAGTGGCTCAGGCTGGGCACAGTGGCTCACTCCTGTAATCTCAGCACTTTGGGAGGCCAAGGCGAGCGGATCACTTGAGGTCAGGAGTTTGAGACCAGTCTGGCCAAAATGTTGAAACCTCATCTCTACCAAAAATTCAAAAATTAGCAGGGCGTGGTGGCAGCCGCCTGTGGCCCCAGCTACTCAAGAGGCTGAGGCAGGAGAATCGCTTGAACCCGGGAGGCAGAGGTTGCAGTGAGCCGACATCATAACACCGCACTCCAGCCTGGGTGACAGAGTGAGACTCCGTCTCAAAAAAATTAAAAAAAAAAAAATACCTATGACCTTGTGCTAAATTTAAATATCCTAAGTTAAGTTAAATTAGGATACTAAAATTAAATTTAAAGCCTCCACAGCCAATTTCTTTATGTCTACATGTTCAGCATGCTACAGAATTAGCAGCTTCGGTATCCCAGACATCTGAACAAGAATGCAGAAAAACATTTAATCTGTTTTAATTGCCAAATAAGTAAAGGTAGAACCCTGGCTGCTATTGCTTTCTTGTGAGCATACTCAAGTCTATCTGTTGCCTATTTCTAATAGGAAGTATCTTAGCCTTTGAAAGACATCAGGAAGCTGGAAATATTAGGTTGGTGCAAAAGTAATTGTGGTTTTTGCCATAGATACTTCCAAGACAGAGGTGAAGGGCACAGGGCACAGGCTATGTCCTAGCTCTGTGCTGCCAGGAGTTTCATGGCCAAACTGGTCCCATCCAAGCATAGTAATGTCCAATTAACATTTCACCCCTCTTTTCCCACAGGATTAGGCTACTGAGCTTATATCTATATGGTTCACTAAAACAGCGAAATAAATCTGACAACTTACAGGTCACCTGATAACACGGACACTTAAAAAACTACCTCTCTTCCTTCCATCTCCAACTTTACTGTGGTTGCTATTAGCTCCTAAAGCGTCAAACATAAGTGATTCTTAAATTCATGCAGCAAAGCCATTCCTAGTAGTAGCAGCTACTGACCTGCTATTAACTTACCTGTTTTCATAAAAGGCTTTAATTGGATCCTTATTTGCTGTTCGACCTATAAAAGTCATCACACACACACACACATAGTAATCAATGGATTGGCAACACAGACTTTAAAAGATTTCAAATTTACTTTAAGCTGATAGTAAGGACCTCAAATTTAGAAAACTGAAAAGTAAATCTAAGCAATTTTACATTTCTAGATGTCTTTAGTTTTAGGATGGTGTCAACAAAATGTTACACAAACTTTGTCTGACATTCCATCACATGTGATCATTGACAAGATGACAGCAATATGTAAATCTGAATCAAAGGTGGCACCTGTCTTCAAGGAGCTCACCATCTTATTACATAATCATGTTATGATGGATAACAACATCTGCCGGTCAAACAGAGCTGTTCAGCTCAGCTTTGTACAACCCGAAGAAGAAAAAGCAGGAAAGACTCATACACTAAAAATGTAGACTAAGGGACTTTCAGGCATTGGAGAAAGCAAAAAGACTTAGGAGAGAAAACAAGGAGAGAATGAAAATCTACAACTCCTAGCCTGCACAGCCAATTTCTGCTATATATATAAAAAACATTATATATATATATATAATATATATATATATATATTATATATATATATATTCAGCACGCTGCAGAATTAGCACAAATGGTGCGGAAACATCAAGCAGCTCTACTGAAGGGTCTTTTCTTTAGGAAATAACTTTAGCAATGAAGGAAATATTTTTAAATAATTTTGTTTCAAAAAAGCTTTTATTTTATTCAAAATTTCTGAAAGGGATTTTTTTTTCTACAGAGGAATAAATAACAATTTGGTTGCTGTCTGTTTCAAATAAAAAGTACAAATCATTTATAATTACTTAATGGATAACATGTAACTCTACACAGATAGAAATGAAAAACTCAAGTGCCATGACCAAGATAACATGATAAAATAAGGATAAATCATCTGAGGATTGATTTGTGGTCCTCTGTTAATCCAAGAAACCCACCCTCCAAAGTTTGAAAGGGAATTAAGACTGTAACCAAAAGAATCTTAGGTGAAATACCTTGTAGGTCTTCTATTTGTTTTTGTAACTTTACATGCTGCTGAATTAGATCCTTGATTCCCTCAGGGTCATTTTTACAGAGTTTTTGAGCTTTTATGTTTGCTTGCAGGGCCCAGTCATATTCCCCCAGCATAGAAAGAGCATCACAATAACGATAATGACCCTGTTCCAAAAAGATAAATTTAATTTTTTCTCAAAAATATGCTTAAGTTAAAGAAAACAGGTAAGGAAAAATGTTTTGCTTGAAAACTGATTCATTACTTAAAATATTAGATTAGGTCCCTACCAATGAAAAATAAATGTAAAATGTTAATACCTCAGGAAATAACATTACCTAATGAGCTAAGTGAAAAGTTATAAATACACAAATAATCACAATAACTAAGGATCAATATTTTTGCTTAAGAAATTTCTGTACCCCCAGCAGAGTTCAACTTTTGTTATATTTTGCTAACAGAGAATATAATAATTTTGTGCCAGATAAAGTAAAAAATGTCATTCATTATAAATAACTTTATGTTTTAAAAATATTTGAAGGCAGTAACAATCTCTAAGTCATCGCCTTTCCTACACCTGGAAATCGAGAAGTTTTTAGAGCTGGATGGAACCATGGGCCTGTGCCATGGTTTTCCGATACCTCCGAAGAGTGCAGACAGATGGGGGATGTGCTCAGGCTAGATCTTCCATCCAGCCGTCTCCCCTTCACTCAGCTTTTCATTGTTATCTCTAAGTGCAGCTCCTGGCTTTAAGAAACCAAAAACCAGGGATTTACATTTAATTCCAATGATAAGGGTTTTTTGCTACAGAACCAAAATCTTTGCTGGTCCATTTACATATTTTGGAAATCTTCTATATTAAGTATAAACTTTTTAATCTACAAAGCTAACAGTACCAAAACCTGAAGCTAACTGAACCAACCCTGCTTCTAGCTCCTCCCAAACCAAATTCCCATTTTAGGCACAGTACTACTGGCAAGGTGATTTACTAGTGAAAGAGGCTAGAGGCTAGAAACTGGCCTAATATCACACTTACTTAAGAGGCAAACCAAAGAACCCTGATTTTTATGACACCTGGTCCAAAGCTCTTTCCTCTTCACTACACATTTCACAAAGAACACTGTGATTCAGTGAAAATCTAGGAGAAATTATAAAAAACAAACAACGCTTTTAAGAAGGATCAGCTTTTCACTACAAGAAGCCAGAAACAATTACGTGGGTACGTGTTTATGCAGGTTTACCATAAGTAATCCTGCTCTGGGGTACCGTGTGGCTCTAAAGGTTCTGGAGTTTTTTTAGACAGACTATTTGGGCTTAGCTCAGACTCCAATTCATATGGCATTTCATTAAACTCTGTTTTGCTGAAAGGGTATAGGCCATGCTTCCTGACACCTAAAGTATAAGAAGACAAAGGCATCTCTCAGATAGGCTACAAGGTCAAATCCTATCCCCTAAGCATTTACGGACTTCAAAGTTTAAATAACTGCATTAAAAAACCCACAGCTAGCATAAGAAATAATGATAGATCATAAACCAAATCTACTAAATTTGCAGAGAACTTTATTTCTTTCTCTTTTCTCCATACTTTTCTCACCTTTTATTGGATCCTTTTCCCTGAACCCTATAAAACATAATGTAACTCCTGTTAGTTGAGAAAAGACTTAATTCAGACCTCCCTACTGAAGTTATTTCAATGAAGCTTAAATTAAAGGTATCTCAGAGTTTCTGAAACCCAATTACAATAAAAAGGTCTTTTCACTATCTCATTCTCTATCACACATGTGGAAATTCCCTCTTGCTCATCTCTCTAGTCTCCCCTCACTTAGGAGACCACCATGTTCCCACTTCTCACAGTAACAGCAGGACTGTCAGTTCCAGTGCTCCACCCCAACAATGGACGGCACGGTGGAAGTGTGGCTGTAACCCAGGAGACTGGCCAATTGAAATGCACTACTTTCTAGGTCAAAGCAATAAATCCACAGGTGGGCACATGACTCAATCAGAATCAGTCTGAGGCATCCCTAAGGTCTACTGTACACACACTGAGAGAGGGTCTCCTTTTCCTAGAATTAACAGCTACTCATGACATCAGTTTGCAGATCCCACTACATGGTAAAAGTCTTTTTAAAAATAAAACCAAGAGCGCCTACACTCTAACCTCCACTTCTGACCAAAATGAAGTAATAAGGACTTGATTTTTCCCTCCTACCTAAAACAAAGACAAAAGATAAGAAACCACAGCTTGCAAGACATTGAAAACAAGGCAACAAAAGAGAGTATGAAAAACATATAAAGTAAGCCCTGTGATTGATCCCGCTTACTGATAAGAATGTCTCTAAGCCAGAGCATGGGAAGAGAAAACCTAGGCAGAGACTGGCAGCCTCTCTCAGTTAAGGAGACAGAAGCGGGAGTACAGAGGACCAAGGCAGCTGAGTTCACAGAGCAGAGGACCAGAGAAGAGAAAGCTGCACACAGGGAGAACTCCAGAGGGACCCCTTGAGTCTTCAGCTAAGTACTGATCAGCACATCCCTGGGGGACAACGGTCCACAGCCAGGGAAAGAACAACCTGAAAGGTTAACAGGGAACAAGAGCCGGAACGGAAACAAATCAGGAATAATTCCTGTTCCTATCAACAAGAGTGAAAAACACCATAATTCATGGGGTGAATTCTCTACTTCAAGTAGAGTACTCAGAAAAGTTTTGCTTCAGTAGTGGGGAAAAAATTAGCCCTAGATTAAATGCCACTATAGTCCCGCCTAAAAAAAATCTTAAAACCTTGAAGAATTAAAATTGTTTCTAAGTAACTTTACTGCATCCCAAAACAAAGATCAAGCATATTTAAAGAAAAACAAGAATATCCAGCACCAAACAAGGTAAAATTCACAATATCTGGCATCCATCTACAATTACCAGGAAAATATGACCTATAATGAACAGCAAAATAAACCAACTGAAAACAACCCACAAATGACACAGATTAGTAGACAAGGACATTGAAATACTTATTATAACTATCCCCTATGTGTTCAAGAGGTGAAAGGAAAGATGGAATATGTTAAAGACATGAAATATGCAAGAAAGACCCAAATTTAACCTCTAGAGATGAAAACTATAGCATTTAAGATGAAAAGTACATTGGATGGAAATAAAGGCAGATAAAACACTGCAGAAGAAAAGATGGGTGAGCTTGAAGACATAACAAGAGAATCCATGTAAAAATCAGAGAGGGAAGCTAGAAAAAAGACTAAACATGAAGCTGACAAACAGGGAGGCAAAGTTGAGAAAATGAAAGAAAGATGTGTACAAATCTGGATCCAACCATTCCTGAAGCTAACCCCTAGACTTCTCAGTTACATGAGCCAATTAATTCCCTTTTCTACTTAAATCAAATCTGAGTTCAGTTTCTGTCATTCACAACAAAAGTCCTAATGCGCCCCTCAAAATTTAAATGTTCTTGAGGACATTTCTGAGGTTATTAGTTTGTATCCTATATGATATAGATCAAAACACAATGCTCACAGACCTGCACAAACATATCTGTTGAGGCTAAGAAAAATTCTCACTCTTCAGGACAAATGACTCATTCTTTCTAAATCCTGAAAGTGAGTCTAGAGACAGGTAGCACTGTACTAATCTTCCCCATTAAGAAGAAGGAAAAAAATGTCCTACCCTCACATAGAAATCTACAGAATACATTCCACTAACACACTTACATCTTAGAGGTATGACTCCATAGACTCAGGCTCATAATTAATTCTAAAGTAAGGCAATCTTATAAAAGTAAATATACCCTGTATGATCTACTTTTGCTCCTGAAGTTTATCCTTTAATAAGCATTCTTTTCTGGTTTTAAAAAAAAAAGAAAAATAACCTAGTTATGTAGTTACCAAATTTTTAAAATACTTACTAGTGGTTATATGTTTTTATCTATACAAATATTTCTGCAATCATACGACACATCACCAATACAAGGCAACAAAAGAGAGTATCCCCTGAGAAGGGATGTTTGGACATCACCAAACATTCCAATTTAAAAAAAAAAGTGAATATTTTGTTTAAGAAACTAAGCCAGGAACAAGTATTCTCCACAAAGTTCTCAAAATAATTGTTAAAGTTTTTTTCTTTTTTCTTTTTTTTTTTTTTTTTTGAAGTGGCGCAATCATAGCTCGCTGCAGCCTCATACTTCCTGGGCTCAGGTGATTATCCCACCTTAGCCTCCCAAGTAGCTGGGATTATAGGCACATGCCACCATGCCCAACTAATTTTTTGTAAAGATATGGTTTTGCCATGTTGCTCAGGCTGGTCTTGAACTCAAGGGATCTGCCCGTCCTGCCCTCCCAAAGTGCTGGGATTACAGGAGTGAGCGCCAGGTCTTCAAAAAGTTTTAATAACTGTTTTTCTTAATTGATAATATATTAAAATAGCAGGAAGTATTTCTGGAAAACCAGTATCATGGTTTGGGTTTCAGTATTTGGAATTCTATCATTCATTCATTCATTTTACAAATATTGATATAGCACCTGTCAAACACCAGGTTCAAGGATCAGCAAAGATTTTGTTTCAAGCAAAAGAATGACTCATAATGAAAATACCAACAAACTGGTCACCCTCAAACAGAACCACCAGTTTTGTCTTTTATTTGCAATGACACCTTGCAAAAATCACTCTACCTCTCTGGGACTCAATTGCTTCATGTGTAAAATAAGGCATTTAAAAAATGATTCTAAAATCTGGATGCAGAAGTCCACCTGGGGAATTTTACAATCTCCACACTCCTAGATACATTCCTAGGCCACCTGAATCACAATTTGGGGGAAAAGCGAAGAAATCTGTCTTTTAAACAAGGTCTCCAGGCTGACTTTTCCCTTTTACTTTATACCTTGCTATATTCTATTTTTCTCTTTAATCATGTGATATTTATAATATAAAGTTCATTTAAAAAAATTAAACAAAATAAACTCCTACAATTAATCTAATGAAGGCTATCCGCAGAGCAGTAATGGAAGTATCAAATTAGACTAAATTCCCTAAGGCCTTCAAATTCTGATTCTACTTGCACTAGCTTTTTTTAAATTACGTAAAACCAGGAATGAAGTATGAAATACATGTGCCTTTCTATATCTTATTTAAAGCTCCACTTAAAAAAAAATTTATTTATTTTTATTTTTTTATTTTTTAGATGGAGTTTCACTCTGTCACCCAGGCTGGAATGCAGTGGTGTGATCTCAGCTCACTGTAACCTCCATCTCCTGGGTTCAAGTGATTCTCCTGCCTCAGACTCCTGAGTAGCTAGACAGGAATGCACCACAACATCCAGTAATTTTTTAAAATTTTTTTGTAGAGACGGGGTTTCACATGTTGGCCAGGCTGGTCTTGGAACTCCTGACTTCAAGTGATCTGCCCGCCTCAGCCTCCTGAAGTGCTAGGATTACAGGTGTGAGCCATCATGCCTGGCATCTAAAGCTTCACTTAAAAAAAAAATATTTTTATAATTTAGGAAAATACAGAGACTAATACACAGATACCCAGAATTAACTGTTAACATTTTGTTATATTTGCTTCTGATTTTTAAATGAAATAAATAAAACTATTTCTGATGATACAGATATGGCTGAAATCTCCTTTGTACCCTCTCCAATCTCCTTTCCCTCTCTTACTGCCCAGAAGCAAACACTATCATGAACTCGATAGATATTTTTCCAGCCTATGTTTTATTGACTTTTTCATTTAACTTTTTAAAATCCATAAATGTTGATAAGCCAGCTAATTCAACTGCAATCTACTATTTGATTCATTCAATCACTAAGTCAACAATTATTTACTAATGAGTGCCTGCTAAGTAAGTGTCAGGCAGCTTGTCAGACAGTCTGGATTCAAGAGTGAAGTGAACCAAACACCAAAAAAATCTTTCCTTGTGGAGCTCATATTATACTGGAAGACACACAATAGCCACTATAACTCAAACAGTAGATATAATGTATTAGATAATGGTAAGTCCTAAGAAGAAAAAAGTAAAGCAAGGAAAGAAGATAAGAAATGCGTAGGAAGTGAGGTGTTTGGCATTTTAGTAATGAGGCCAAGGAATGTTTCACTGAGAAGAGTCCTTTCAATATCGACTGAAAAGAAATAAGGGGGCTGGCCAACGCTCTGGGGAAAAGCATTCTAGGCAGAGGGAAGGGCAAGTACAAAGTGGAAGTGGGCCTGGAATGTCTGAGGAACAGTGAGGATGCCAAGAGGCCAAGATAAAGTGAACCAGGGACAGAGCAGGAGCAGTGAGGTTGGAGAAACAACAAGTGTTCAAGACGGGGACAGATCACACAGGTCAGAGTAACAACTTTGATCAAGTGAAAATACCACATTTATCTGCTGCTTTATCAATAGACATGTAGGTATTTGCAGTTGTGTGCCATTAAAACAATGCTGCAATGACCAACCTTGCATATCAAACCATGTGCACATTTGCAAGAAATTTTCTAGAGCACACACACTCAGAATCAAGTAACTGTGGAGTCTATTATAGTGCTCCCTGACTTGGTTGTAAGCAATCACACTCCCACCAGTTTACTGGGGCTTCCTGTTACTACACATACCCACCAACACCAGACTATCAGCCTCTTTAATTTCTGCCAATCTGAAGGACTCAGACAATATGACATTGTAATATTTACTCACATAGTGGGTTCTGTGTGGAGGCCCTCTATTCTGCACTATTGGTTTCATTCTTTTATCTGTGTACCAAATCCCTACAATTTTAATTACTAGGAAATAGAAATAGTTTCTTTATTATTATTATTATTATTATTATTATACTTTAAGTTTTAGGGTACATGTGCACAACGTGCAGGTTTGTTACATAGGTATACATGTGCCATGTTGCTGTGCTGCACCCATTAACTCGTCATTTAGCATTAGGTATATCTCCTAATGCTATCCCTCTCCCCTCCCACCTCACAACAGGCCCCGGTGTGTGATGTTCCCCTTCCTGTGTCCATGTGCTCTCATTGTTCAATTCCCACCTATGAGTGAGAACATGCGGTGTTTGGTTTTTTGTCCCTGCAACAGTTTGCTGAGAATGATGGTTTCCAGCTTCATCCATGTCCCTACAAAGGACATGAACTCATCATTTTTTATGGCTGCTTAGTATTCCATGGTGTATATGTGCCATATTTTCTTAACCCAGTCTATCATTGTTGGACATGTGGGTTGGTTCCAAGTCTTTGCTATTGTGAATACTGCCACAATAAACATATGTGTGCATGTGTCTTTATAGCAGCATGATTTATAATCCTTTGGGTATATACCCAGTAATGGGATGGCTGGGTCAAATGGTATTTCTAGTTCGAGATCCCTGAGGAATCGCCACACTGACTTCCACAATGGTTGAACTAGTTTACAGTCCCACCAACAGTGTAAAAGTGTTCCTATTTCTCCACATCCTCTCCAGCACCTGTTGTTTCTTGACTTTTTAATGATTGCCATTCTAAATGGTGTGAGATGGTATCTCACTGTGGTTTTGATTTGCATTTCTCTGATGGCCAGTGATGAGCATTTTTTCATGTGTCTGTTGGCTACATAAATGTCTTCTTTTGAGAAGGGTCTGTTCATATCCTTCGCCCACTTTTTGATGGGGTTGTTTTTTTCTTGTAAATTTGTTTGAGTTCATTGTAGATTCTGGATATTAGCCCTTTGTCAGATGAGTAGGTTGCAAAAATTTTCTCCCATTTTGTAGGTTGCCTGTTCACTCTGATGGTAGTTTCTTTTGCTGTGCAGAAGCTCTTTAGTTTAATTAGATCCCATTTGTCAATTTTGGCTTTTGTTGCCATTGCTTTTGGTGTTTTAGACATGAAGTCCTTGCCCATGCCTATGTCCCGAATGGTATTGCCTAGGTTTTCTTCTAGGGTTTTTATGGTTTTAAGTCAAACATTGAAGTCTTTAATCCATCTTGAATTAATTTTTGTATAAGGTGCAAGGAAGGGATCCAGTTTCAGCTTTCTACATATGGTTGGCCAGTTTTCCCAGCACCATTTATTAAATAGGGAATCCTTTCCCCATTGCTTGTTTTTGTCAGGTTTGTCAAAGATCAGATAGTTGTAGATATGTGGCACTATTTCTGAGGGCTCTGTTCTGTTCCATTGGTCTATATCTTTGTTTTGGTACCAGTAACATGCTGTTTTAGTTACTGTAGCCTTGTAGTATAGTTTGAAGTCAGGTAAGCATGATGCCTCCAGCTTTGTTCTTTTGGCTTAGGATTGACTTGGTAATGTGGGCTCTTTTTTGGTTCCATATGAACTTTAAAGTAGTTTTTTTCCAATTCTGTGAAGAAAGTCATTGGTAGCTTGATGGGGATGGCACTGAATCTATAAATTACCTTGGGCAATATGGCCATTTTCACAATATTGATTCTTCCTACCCATGAGCATGGAATGTTCTTCCATTTGTTTGTATCCTCTTTTATTTCATTGAGCAGTGGTTTGTAGCTCTCCTTGAAGAGGTCCTTCACATCCCTTGTAAGTTGGATTCCTAGGTATTTTATTCTCTTTGAAGCAATAGCGAATGGGAGTTCACTCATGATTTGGCTCTCTGTTTGTTATTGGTGTGTAAGAATGCTTGTGATTTTTGCACATTGATTTTGTACTCTGAGACTTTGCTGAAGTTGGTTATCAGCTTAAGGAGATTTTGGGCTGAGACGATGGGGTTTTCTAGATATACAATCATGTTATCTGCAAACAGGGACAATTTGACTTCCTCTTTTCCTAATTGAATGCCCTTTATTTCCTTCTGCGTGATTGCCCTGGCCAGAACTTCCAACACTATGTTGAATAGGAGTGGTGAGAGAGGGCATCCCTGTCTTGTGCCAGTTTTCAAAGGGAATGCTTCCAGTTTTTGTCCATTCAGTATGATATTGGCTGTGGGTTTGTCATAGCTAGCTCTTATTATTTTGAAATACATCCCATCAATACCTAATTTACTGAGAGTTTTTAGCATGAAGCGTTGTTGAATTTTGTCAAAGGACTTTTCTGCATCTATTGAGATAATCATGTGGTTTTTGTCATTGGTTCTGTTTATATGCTGGATTACATTTATTGATTTTCATATGTTGAACCGGCCTTGCATCCCAGGGATGAAGCCCACTTGATCATGGTGGATAACCTTTTTGATGTGTTGCTGGATTCGGTTTGCCAGTATTTTACTGAGGATTTTTGCATCAATGTTCATCAAGGATATTGGTCTAAAATTCTCTTTTTTTGTTGTGTCTCTGCCAGGCTTTGGTATCAGGATGATGCTGGCTTCATAAAATGAGTTAGGGAGGATTCCCTCTTTTTCTATTGATTGGAATAGTTTCAGAAGGAATGGTACCAGCTCCTCCTAGTACCTATGGTAGAATTCGGCTGTGAATCCATCTGGTTCCGGACTTTTTTTGATTGGTAAGCTATTAATTATTGGCTCAACTTCAGAGCCTGTTATTGGTCTATTCAGAGATTCAACTTCTTCCTGGTTTAGTCTTGGGAGAGTGTATGTGTCGAGGAATTTATCCATTTCTTCTAGATTTTCTAGTTTATTTGCGTAGAGGTGTTTACAGTATTCTCTGATGGTAGTTTGTATTTCCATGGGATCAGTGATGATCCCCCCTTTGTCATGTTTTATTGTGTCTATTTGATTCTTCTCTCTTTTCTTATTAGTCTTGCTAGCGGTCTATCAATTTTGTTGATCTTTTCAGAAAACCAGCTCCTGGATTCACTGATTTTTTGAAGGGTTTTTTGTGTCTCTATTTCCTTCAGTTCTGCTCTGATCTTAGATATTTCTTGCCTTCTGCTAGCTTTTGCATGTGTTTGCTCTTGCTTCTCTAGTTCTTTTGTGATGTTAGGGTGTCAATTTTAGATCTTTCCTGCTTTCTCTTGTGGGCATTTAGTGCTATAAATTTCCCTCTACACACTGCTTTGAATGTGTCCCAGAGATTCTGGTATGTTGTGTCTTTGTTCTCGTTGGTTTCAAAGAACATCTTTATTTCTGCCTTCATTTCGTAAGTACCCAGTAGTCATTCAGGAGCAGGTTGTTCAGTTTCCATGTAGTTGAGCGGTTTTGAGTGAGTTTCTTAATCCTGAGTTCCAGTTTGATTGCACTATGGTCTGAGAGACAGTTTGTTATAATTTCTGTTCTTTTACATTTGCTGAGGAGTGCTTTACTTCCAACTATGCGGTCAATTTTGGAATAGGTGTGGTGTGGTGCTGAAAATAATGTATATTCTGTTGATTTGGGGTGGAGAGTTCTGCAGATGTCTATTAGGTCCGCTTGGTGCAGAGCTGAGTTCAATTCCTGGATATCCTTGTTAATTTTCTGTCTCGTTGATCTGTCTAATGTTGACAGTGGGGTGTTAAAGTCTCCCATTATTATTCTGTGGGAGTCTAAGTCACTTTGTAGGTCACTAAGGACTTGCTGTATGAATCTGGGTGCTCCTGTATTGGGTGCATATATATTTAGGATAGTTAGTTCTTCTTGTTGAATTGATCCCTTTACCATTATGTAATGGCCTTGTCTCTTTTGATCTTTGTTGGTTTAAAGTCTGTTTTATCTGAGACTAGGATTGCAACCCCTGCCTTTTTTCGTTTTCCATTTGCTTGGTAGATCTTCCTCCATCCCTTTATTTTGAGCCTATATGTCTCTGCACGTGAGATGGGTTTCCTGAATACAGCACACTGATCGGTCTTGACTCTTTATCCAATATGCCAGTCTGTGCCTTTTAATTGGAGCATTTAGCCCGTTTACATTTAAGGTTAGTATTGTTATGCATGAATTTGATCCTGTCATTATGATGTTAGCTGGTTATTTTGCTCGTTAGTTGATGCAGTTTCTTCCTAGCCTTGATGGTCTTTACAAATTGGCATGTTTTTGCAGTGGCTGGTACCGGTTGTTCCTTTCCATGTTTAGTGCTTCCTTCAGGAGCTCTTGTAGGGCAGGCCTGGTGGTGACAAAATCTCTCAGCATTTGCTTGTCTGTGAAGTATTTTATTTCTCCTCACTTATGAAGCTTAGTTTGGCTGGATATGAAATTCTGGGTTGAAAATTCTTTTCTTTAAGAATGTTGAATATTCGCCCCCACTCTCTTCTGGCTTGTAGAGTTTCTGCCGAGAGATCAGCAGTTAGTCTGATGGGCTTCCCTTTGTGGGTAACCCGACCTTTCTCTCTGGCTGCCCTTAACATTTTTTCCTTCATTTCAACTTTGGTGAATCTGACAATTATGTGTCTTGGAGTTGCTCTTCTCAAGGAGTATCTTTGTGGTGTTCTCTGTATTTCCTGAATTTGAATGTTGGCCTGCCTTGCTAGATTGGGGAAGTTCTCCTGGATAATATCCTACAGATATTTCCAACTTGGTTCCATTCTCCCCGTCACTTTCAGGTACACCAATTAGACGTAGATTTGGTCTTTTCACACAGTCCCATATTTCTTGGAGGCTTTGTTTGTTTCTTTTTATTCTTTTTCTCTAAACTTATCTTCATGCTTCATTTCATTCATTTCATCTTCCATCGCTGATACCCTTTCTTCCAGTTGATCGCATCGGTTACTGAGGTTTGTGCATTTGTCACATAGTTCTCGTGCCGTGGTTTTCAGCTCCATCAGGTCCTTTAAGGACTTCTCTGCATTGGTTATTCTAGTTATCCATTCATCTAATTTTTTTTCAAAGTTTCTAACTTCTTTGCCATTGGTTCGAACTTCCTCCTTTAGCTCGGAGTAGTTTGATCTTCTGAAGCCTTCCTCTCTCAACTCGTCAAAGTCATTCTCCGTCCAGCTTTGTTCCATTGCTGGTGAGGAGCTGCGTTCCTTTGGAGGAGGAGAGGCACTCTGATTTTTAGAGTTTCAGGTTTTTCTGCTCTGTTTTTTCCCCATCTTTGTGGTTTTATCTACCTTTGGTCTTTGATGATGGTGACGTACAGATGGGTTTTTGGTGGTGGATGTCCTTTCTGTTAGTTTTCCTTCTAACAGCCAGGAGCCTCAGCTGCAGGTCTGTTGGAGTTTACTGGAGGTCCACTCGAGACCCTGTTTGCCTGGGTATCAGCAGCAGTGGCTGCAGAACAGCAGATGTTGGTGAATCGCAAATGCTGCTGCCTGATCGTTCCTCTGGAAGTTTTGTCTCAGAGGAGTACCCGGCCGTGTGAGGTGTCAGTCCGCCCCTACTGGGGGGTGCCTCCCAGTTAGGCTACTCGGGGGTCAGGGACCCACTTGAGGAGGCAATCTGCCCGTTCTCAGATCTCAAGCTGCGTGCTGGGAGAACCACTACTCTCTTCAAAGCTGTCAGACAGGGACATTTAAGTCTGCAGAGGTTATTGCTGTCTTTTGTTTGTCTGTGCCCTGCCCCCAGAGGTGGAGCCTACAGAGGCAGGCAGGCCTCCTTGAGCTGTGGTGGGCTCCACCCAGTTCGAGCTTCTGGGCTGCTTTGTTTACCTACTCAAGCCTGAGCAATGGCAGGCGCCCCTCCTCCAGCCTCGCTGCCACCTTGCAGTTTGATCTCAGACTGCTGTGCTAGCAATGAGCGAGGCTCCATGGGCGTAGGACCCTCCGAGCCAGGTGCGGGATATAATCTCCTGGTGTGCCGTTTGATAAGCCCATTGGAAAAGCGCAGTATTAGGGTGGAAGTGACCCAATTTTCCAGGTGCCATCTGTCACCCCTTTCTTTGACTAGGAAAGGGAATTCCCTGACCCCTTGCGCTTCCCCGGTGAGGCCATGCCTCACCCTGCTTCAGCTCACACATGGTGCGCTGCACTCACTGTCCTGCACCCACTGTCCAGCACTCCCCAGTGAGATGAACCCAGTACCTCAGTTGGAAATGCAGAAATCACCTGTCTTCTGTGTCGCTCACGCTGGGAGCTGTAGACTGGAGCTGTTCCTATTCAGCCATCTTGGCTCCACCCCTACCGAAATAGTTTCTTATTTCTATTGGCCATTCAGGATTACTCTTCTGTGAAATGCTTACTTGTTTTACTGGCCCATTTTCTACGGGGTTTCTTATTTACTTTAGGAATTATGTGCATATTCCAGCTGTAAATCCTACCAGTTATATATGTGGCAAATTATCTCCTCTCAAACTACTATTTCATCTATGGTGCCTTTTGACATACACAAGTTTTTAAGTTCGATATAGCCAAATATATCAAGATGGTTGTCTTCACTGCTGATTTGTGCACTGTGTGTTAAGAAATCTTTTCCTGCCTCCTATAAAGACAGCCTCCTATACTTCCTCCCCAGTTTTAAGTCATTTTTCACATTCAGGCACACCCACCCAGAATACGCAGAGATGACCTCTCAATCACTAAGGCACCCTGAAGACTCAAGATGCCCACAGGCCACCTGTCCTCACGCACAGCCTGTCAGTGCTGTGGCTGGGTCCCCACGCTGATCATGGATCTGATGACTCCCCTTTCACATTCTGGAGCTCTACGTAATTTCATATAGCATTTTTATGAACAAACACACCCTATAAACAGATTTTTCACAATGTTGTATGGCATTATTTGCTCAATATAAAATACAGAAGAAACCTACCTTTGGCCAAGTGTTCTTCAGAATAGTGGCTCTCTTTCCATCACCGAGTGCATTTCTAAAAGGAAAAACAAGTATTTAAAAATTTTCACTCTTTTATAGTAAAAGTATTATATCTTGCATATGTGTACTTTGTGAATTTTCCATGTATATTATCTAGTCAAAAGATAATTTTAATTAAAAAAAATCCATATAATATATGTCCATTATAGGAAATTTGGAAAATACAGAAAAATAAAACAAAGGGAAAAAGTCACCCAGAGTCACAATCACAACTACCCAGGAATAACTACTTTTAATATTTCTGAAGTATTTCTTGCACATTTCGACATTGTACCTATGCATAGCATTCTTTTGTTTTTTTTGAGACAGAGTCTCGCTCTGTCGCCCAGGCTGGAGTGCAGTGGCGTGATCTTGGCTCACTGCAACCTTTGCCTCCCGGGTTCAAGTGATTCTCCTGCCTCAGCCTCCCAAGTAGCTAGGATTACAGGCACATGCCAGTACACCCGGCTAATTTTTTGAATTTTTAGTAGGCACAGGGTTTCACCATGTTAGCCACGATGGTCTCGATCTCCTGACCTTGTGATCCACCCGCCTTGGCCTCCCAAAGTGCTGGGATTACAGGTGTGAGCCACCATGCCCAGCCAATAACATTCCTATTTGTATGTTTTTCTGTACTATTTCTGCATGTCAGTAAGACTTTCCAAATGTATCACTACCAGGTCTTTCACACAACATCAGTTAAGCTACACTGAATAGAGCATGGAAGCTAGACCATAAGACCCAGGTTAGGTCTAATTTAATCACTAATTTTCTTGGGGCTATTAGGGAGTTATTAACATCTCTGGGCCCATTTTTCTCATCTGTAAAATGTAAATAATTCTGTTCTACCTGTTCTGAGGTAGATATTAAATTAGATACTACATTATTAAATGTACTTTCATAACCTATCAAGAACTAACAGATCCATACCACAGTCTATCAGTTTCCTGGCTTCCTTATCTTCAATGACTTCCACCTCTAGCCCAACTCAGCCACCCATCACTGCACCCCTGGAACTTAGGGTGTTCAAACTCAAAACTGTTCAAACTTCAAACTGTTCAATCACTAATTCAGGTATCCACCTCTCACTATAACCTTGCTTATCCCATTTAACTTGTTCAATTGTTCCTATCTCCTCAGGGTACCCAACTCACTGACTTATCCACCTTCTTTTTTCAACGTAGATTAATATTTGCTGGTTCATCATTTCACATTCATATTTATGCTAATTCATCACTCTTAAAGAGATTACAAGGAAGAACAAAACTAGATAACTTATACTACCAGATATCAATACCTACTAAAAGGTTACGTACAAAAAAAAAAAAAAACCAACTAGATAAGGATAGACAACCTGACCAACAAAATAGAACAGAGAAACTAGAAATGGATTCTTACACATAATGACCTGATTCGTGACAAAGGTGATACTGCGGTACATGGAGAAAATATACTCTTTTAATAAATGGTGCTGGGTCAATTGGACATCCATATGGATCTTTTTTCTTTTTTTTGAAACAAGGGCTCACTCTGTCACCCAGGCTGGAGTGCAGTGCCAGTCCCTCTCACTACAGCCTTGACATCACAGGCTCAAGCGCTCCTCCCACCTCAGCCTCCTGAGTAGCTGGGAATATAGGCACATGCCATCATGCCTAGCTAATTTCTGGCTAATTTTTGAATTTTTTTGTAGAGACACGGTCCCACTATGTTGCCCAGGATGGTCTCAAACTCCTGGGCTCAAGCAATTCTCCTGCCTTGTCCTCCCAAAGTGCTGGGAATACAGGCATGAGCCACCGCACCTGGCCCATATGAATCTTGAACACTACCTCACACTAAATACAAACACCAGGTCCAGATGGACTGCAGATCTGTACATCAAAGTTGAACAATTAAACCTTTAGATGAAACATAGAAAATCTGGTGACCTTTGAATGGGTAAAGATGATAAACAGAACACAAAAAGAGCTTATCACAGAGGAAAAAACTGATAAACTGTACTACATTAAAATTAGTAACTTGTTTGTGAAAACATCAACAGTGAAAAGGCAAGCCACTGAATGTGAGAAGATATTTGCAATACATATATCTGACCAATGACTCATATTCAGAATACAAAAGAAAAACTCCTAAAAATGAATAGGGCATTCTACTCAAGAGAAAAAAATAGCAAAAGACTTCAACAGGCACTTCACAAAAGAGAATATCCAAATGGTCAATAACCTTATGAAAATCTGAAACATCCTTAATCAATTTATGAAAATACAAATTATAATCACAGCGGTATACCACTACACACCCACCAGAATGTCTAAAATAAAAGATGAAAAATAGTAAGTGTTGAGGGCACAGAACTGAAATTCTCATATGCTGCTGTAAGAGTACAAAATGATACAATCACACAGGAAAGCTAAATGCATATAAGCATACCCTCTGTCCCAACAATTCCACTCCTTAATTATACACTCAACAGAAATAAATACATATGTTCACAACAATACTACCTGTAAAAGCCAAATAGGAGAAGCTACCCAAATGCCCATCAACAATAGAATGGATAAAATGTGGTATATTCATGCAATAGATGAACACTTTACAACTACATGCAACAATATGGATCTCAAAAACGATGCTGAAAACCAAACATAAAAGAACACATAGTATATTATTTCATTACATTGTACTAAAATAGGCAAAATTAACCACTGGAAGCCAGGATGGTAGTTCTCCTGGGGGAGGAGATGGATCATGACTAGGAGGAGGGTCATGACTAAGAGGAACTTCTGGGGTACTGGGGTTGTGATCTGCATGCTGGTTACAGTTGTTTGACTTCTGAAAATTCCAGCTGCACTTAACACTTGTATACTTTTCAGCATGTGTATTAAGATTTTTTTTAAAGGACATAAGACAAAGTTGTCCTTCTTCTGCTAAAGATGTCTGAATTACAGCAGCCATCCTACATTCTGAGGGGACAGCCTGAGGACCAAGTCACACACTGAGGCTGGAAAAATCTAAGTCTCTGATGACATTGTTGAGCCACTGAATATACAACCCTAGTGCCACCTTCTTCTGGAACTCTTGAATAAGGTAAGTTTTCTTTACCATTTAAAGAGACTCACCCTGGGTCTCTCTCCCCAAACACCTTTAAAAGCTGCCTACGCTAGCTGTCTCCATTTCCTTGCATTTCTCAACCCCATCTAATTGGCATGTTTCAAGCTTCCCACTGACAGCTCCCCCTAAGGTTAGTGAATGATGTCCATGTTGCCAAATCTAAGTTCCACTGTAACTGGCTTCTCAGTAGCCAACAGACACTGCTGACCACTCTTTTACTTACTTCTATGACACCACACTTAGTCTTTGTTCCACCTCTCTGGTCACATCTTAATAATCTCCTGGGCAGGCTCATCCTTCTCCAATTGGCCATATGTGTTCAAGGCTCAATCCTGATTCCTCTCCTAGTCTCAGCCTAGGTTCTCTCTAGGCCAGTGGGTCTCAACCGTGACTGCACATTAGTACCATCTGGGGAGTTCCTAGAAGCCCAATGCCCAAGCTTTACTCTAGGTTAATTGAATCAGAATCTCTGGGGTGGGTGGTATTTGTCAAAGTTCAGTGATTCCAAAGTGCAGTCCAGGTTGAGAAAAACTTCTCTGTAAGCAGTCTCACCCACATCTACAACTTCAAATCATGGAGGCTGGCTATTCCAAACATGTTTCCCATCCAAACCCTCCTTTGAGTTCCAGACCCATATAACTCACTACCTACACAACATTGGAATTTGGATGCTTCAAAGGCACTTCTTTCTTTTTTTTTTTTTTTTTTTTTGAGACGGAGTTTTGCTCGTCGCCGAGGCTGGAGCGCAATGGCGCTACTTTGGCTCACTGCAACCTCCGCCTCCCACGTTCAAGCAATTCTCCTGCCTCAGCCTCCCGAGTAACTGAGATTAGAAGCACCTACCACCACGCCCAGCTAATTTTTGTAGTTGTAGTAGAGAAAGGGTTTCACCATGTTGGCCAGGCTGGTCTCGAACTCCTGACCTCTGGTGATCCTCCCACCTCGGCCTCCCAAAGTGCTGGGATTACAGGCGTGAGTCACCATGCCTGGCCTTCAAAGGCACTTCGATTCAGTGTCCGAGAGTGAAGTCCAGTTCTACCTCCTACAAATTTATTCCTCTTCCAGCAATCCCAATGTGAGTGAGTAGGCCCATAATCCATGATGCTGCTTAAGGCAGAAACGTCAGAACAGTTCCAACCACCTTCACTCTCAAGTTCCAACACCAACCACGAGCAACTTCTGTCAGCTTCACCTCTAAACTCTTGAATCCTTCTACTTTTCCATTCCCACTGTCAATATTCTGCTGGAAGCCATCATCTCTGGCCTGGGCTACTGCAACAGCCTCCTAACCTACATCCACACTACATCCCCTTCAGATCCATTTTCACTATGCTCAAATTTTTTTTTTAAGTGCTAATCATGCTCTCTCTCCTCAGTTTAAAATCCTTTACTTTCTTATTGCTCTTAAAGGCCAAAAGCCTTAACACAGCCTACAAGGCCCTCCTTGGCTTAGCCTATGAACATACTACCCTCTCCTCTGTATTCAGGCCATCTAGCAACTATCAGTTCCACAAATGCAACAAATTCCTTCCCACTACAAGGCCCTCACAATGCCAGCCCACTGTCTGAAACACAGAGGCTGTTTTTGCTCATTTCTGACATTATCCATCAACAGAACCCCAATATTTGTTGAATCAATGCTGAACATTACTTATAATATATAGCACTACAAACAGCGTTATAATAGCATATATTATAAATATCACAATTAGTATATGAATGCAATTAATATTAATACTAATAAAATTTCACATTTACTGGCATATGACCACATCCTACAACTAAGGCAAAGTGGGCATAGTCAATTACATGATGCTATTGCTCATCCAGACCACTGCAGCCCAGGGTCTAAATAATCAGGTTTGACTTTTGGTAGCAGCAATCCCCTGTGCAAGAGATGTATGAAAATGGGACAAGACTCCAGATGCAAACGGTTATTTACTCTTGAAGACTGTGTGACATGGTGAGTATTAAACAGAGTAAGAAAGAGAGTTCTAGTCCAGGTGCTCCAACTTATTGCTCTTACATAGGGAAGTGTTTTTATTTCTCCAGCCCCTCCCCATTACTGCATATAAAATATGCTACATTCTGCCCTAAAAGATGATGCTTGTAAAGAACAGTTATTCCCTCTCCCCTAGTTTCCATGTGGATTTGCTAATTATTCCTGAACTCTTTCCTCTCCCCACCCTTGGCTAACATCCCCAGATGATGAATAATAATTTATCTAATGGTGAGGGAGGGACACTAATCATACATGGCTTCACCTCTTCTTTTTCTCACTCTTTGGAATCCTTTTATTTTTTTAGACATGGTCTCACTCTATCGCCCAGGCTGGAGTGCAGTGGCGCAATCTCAGCTCACTGAAACCTTTGCCTTCTGTGTTCAAGCAATTCTCTTGCCTCAGCCTCCTGAGTAGCTGGAATTACAGGCATGCACCAACATGCCCACCTAATTTTTGTATTTTTAGTACAGACAGGGTTTCACCATGTTGACCAGGATGGTCTCAAACTCCTGACCTCAAGTGATCCATCCGCCTCAGCCTCTCCAAGTGCTGGGATTACAGGCACGAGCCACTGCACCTGGCCTTACTCTTTGGAATCTAAAACACCAGATTCCCTTTTCTTCCAGGCTTAAAGTTCCCAAGAGCCCAGTTCTGTCTGACTGTGGGTGAATTATTAGGTTGGTGCAAAAGTAATTAGGGGTTTTGCCATTATTTCTAAAAACCACATTTACTTTTGCACCAACCTAATAGTAACCAGCCCCTTGACTATCAGACTTAAGGCCTGTTCTCCAATTGCATCAGTAATAAAGGCAATATTTGATCACCATTTGCCTGTCTTTTCCATCCATCTTTTAACTGATTCTGGACTTGGAAGGGAAAGGAGATGCTATTTATTGACTCTCTTAAACCATACCATAAAAAGTATGCAAGAATTTTGCAAGCCATATAAGGGATATTCCTTTTTTCCTCAATTATAATTATTTTCAGGATATGACCAGATCAATAAAGAAATAACAACTATTCCCCAAGTTTCCAGATCTTCCAACTAAGGAACAAAAGCAAGATTCAGGTATAATGGTCAGTCACTGACAAATATGCAGTGAGTAATAACCACGGACTGAATAAACATACATTTTAAATAAAAAGTGTCTGTAATTAAAATGATATGTTCTTTCATTCATATATCATGAGTAAAATAAATTTATCAGAAATGTGTCCTACAGATATATTTGAACCTGAGTGTAAAACATAAGTAAAAAGATAATCATTGCATAGGTATATATAATCTTTAAAATGGAAATCTACATACTAATATATCTATAATTTAACATTGTAAATAAAATAATCTATATACTAATATAAACTAATATATATATATAAACTATATACTAATATAATACAAACTAATGGATTACATAGGCAATCCATTCAGTAAAACACTGTGCAGCCATGAAGAACAAGGTAGGTCTCTATATACAGATCCAAAACAAGCTCCAAGACTTAAATGTAAAAAAAAAAGCAAGATGTACAACAGTGTATGTAGTATGTTCCTACCCATTTAAAGAAAAAGACATATACATTACATTAAACCAAATAAAACTGCCTATATTCTGACTTACAAAAATGGCAATTTCATCTGGTTCAACATAAATGCTTGTATAGGCATAAAATATTATGGGAATACACAAGGATCTGAAGAGATGAATCAGAGGATGGGTCAGAGCTGGCGAGTGTACCTTTTCCTACTCTGTTGCTTACCATGTGCATTTGTTACTGTTTTTTTAAAAAGGGGGTATACCCCAAAGAAGACTGAAAAAAGTAAATGTTTTCTTCAAAAGCAAATTCAGTGGCTCTAAGTAAAAATAAAGAGCACACACCAGAGGGCAGAGTGAGGAATAATTCACCAAACCAACACACACACACACACACACACACACACACACACAAGAATTTGTGAA
This sequence comes from Homo sapiens, assembly GCF_000001405.40. NCBI lineage: Eukaryota > Metazoa > Chordata > Mammalia > Primates > Hominidae > Homo > Homo sapiens. Next base: position 37,101,339 of record NC_000021.9, on the reverse strand, counting down.
ATTCTCACAGAAACATACAGTGCTTTATATCTCTAGTCTTCCAGAAATTTAGGGGGGAAAAAAAGCAACAAGAGAAGAGTTAGTTAAAGTCTATCTGTCTGCTACCAATCACAGTTGGGATCTGATGGAAGGCAGTTATCATGTGATGGGTAAATACTTAAATGAATACCAACAGTTCAAGTAAACACCAAGTTTAAAAATACATGAGTTTCCAAAGCAATTCAAAAACGATTCAAGCTAAGCATTCACTTTCTCCAATTAACATTTGCCCTTACACAGTTCATCACATCCCACCGAAGAATCTGAATTTTCCACGAGTCTCACAAGAATGAACTGAACACTAAGTGGGCAAAGCCTAATCATGTACATTACATAAGCTGTTGGAACTGCAGAAGGTACAGATATGACTGATTCCTTTGTCCAGATTCTTGACTAAACTGAAAAGTTCTGATTACTATAATTACAATGATCACTCTCAAATGCCCTATAGTTACCAACTCATATTTGAAAAGTACACTTTGAGAAGGAGCAGAATAAAACGGACATCTCATCTTCTAAGCCAGGTGTCCTGGGATAAACACAATCCTCAATGTGAAGATTTGAAGGGGAGAGGCTGCGGCAGGAGTGGGGGCGCAGGAGGCAGCGCAGTTCCCCAACCCCTGCCTCATTCCAACCCCATCTCCTGCGTTTTCCAAGCGCAACATTCGCAGGCCCAGGGGGGTTTTGAAAGGCTCTTGGCCTAACTTATATTCACCCAAAAGTGGTTGGATTTACAAACTGTATGACTATTTTGGCATTAAAATCATCACTGCCACTGCCACCAGAAGGAAGCATCTGTTTCCCCATATATACCTCACCTCAGGCTTCCCCATGCACACTTCACGCTTCTGCAACTGGCCTTACAATACTTATATTTCTCTTTTCAAGATCATTGTTCACTATTTTATCCTTGATGTTTAGTGGTCACTGTTTCTGTTCTTTTTCTGTTCCTTTTATCATGTGCATTTTAATTACATTTTGTTTTACTTTTTATCAAATATTTCAAGTATACATAAAAGTACAGAGAACATTAACAAAATGAACACCCATGTACCAATGGCATACCACCTTAGCAAGAAATTAACATGTTGCCATATACTTCAGCTCTTTTTGTAGTAGTTTGTTACAGTTGACACCCACCGTGTACCACCCCTCCCAACTCCAATCCCTTTTCCCTCCTTCTCTCCCCAGCCACTCCCCGGGTGTTTAACATGCCCATGCATTTTTAAACATTGTTAATACACAGTCTGTATATATGCATATTGTTTTGCATGTTTTTAAACATTAATAAATGGCATCACAGTGTACAAATCATTCTGTGACTTGCTTTTTCACTCAACATTGCGTTCATTTTAACTGCCATATAGAATTCCATTGTATGAATATACCATATTTATCCATTCCCCTATTGATGGCCATTTAGGTCGTTTTCATTTCTTTACTCTTACAAACAATGCTATCATGAAGGCATGTACATATCTTCTTGGGTACACATTTGAGAGTTCAGAGGATATGAGCCTAGAAGTGGGTTGCAGAGTATGCACATCTTCACCTTGTCAAATTGCTCTCCAAAGTGATTGTACCAATTTACACTTTCTCCAGCTGAATATGAGAGTCTCCTTTGTTCCACATCCTCTCAAACACTTGGTATTATGAGATTTTTAAGCTTTTGTCCATCTGATGGGTATAAATGAGAAACTCGTAGTTTTTAATCTACATGTCCTGGAAGGATAATCATTTCCTCATAAACGTTTATTGACTATTTAGACCATTTATTTTTTAATTTTTTCGACTTTCACATTCCCTTTTATTCTATCACCACCTTCCCATAGTGATTAATAGTAGAGACTCTACATCCAGGCTGCCTGGGTTCAAATTCTGGCTCCATCACATCCACCTAGTGTCCTCAGACACTTTGCTTGGCCTCCCTATACCTGTTTCATCATCTGTAAAAAGGCAGTAGCACCTACCTCACGTAGTTGTGATGGTTTTACGAGTTAATACACATTAAATGCTCAGAACAGTGATAACCATGTTGTAAGATACAGTATTATTATTTTTACCCTTTTAGATATCAATCTTGCCAAAGTTCTTTTTTAAATTGAATCTCTTTTTCATTTAAAGTTTCAACTTATATTTTCTAATCTTTCAGGATAAATTAATTATTTCAGAAGTTTTAGCATTCAAGACTTTAACCCTTTTATTCCTTTCTAGTATTAAATTGTCCCATTTCTGTTCTCTTTGGACATCTCAATTCTTGCTTCAATGACAGCAGATAAGAAGTCTGGCCTTCCAGAACAGCTGAGGAGTGCATCCTCGCCAAACTGGGGGAGGGTGGATGCTTTACCCCCAGCTGTCCCTGCAGCTGCTCAGCCAGATTTCCACAGCAGATCCAGCATCCCTCTGCTTGGGAGCTTCAAAACATCTTAATCTCAGTAACTCAGATAAAAGTCTTTCTCAGGCATGGGTCCTCCTGTGTCAATGGCACATCTGAATTACTGGCAACGTGTTCTTTCCTTAAGTCACACCATCTAGTCACCTGATCAGGAGTTATATATACTATGGACTCTGAAAACATTATCCCTACATTACTGAGCAAATCATATAGACAATGTGTGAGGAGGTAGGAAACACCAGCAAAACCAGTGTGGTAAAACACTTCGTGAATAAAATAGGCATCCAATATATATTGGTGATTGCCTAATAAGAAACAAAGGAACAATGCTGCTGACCTGGCTTTAGTGAAATGTAGATGGTATTAAACCACAAGCTAGACCATCAGCAAGGAGGTACAAGGATAGATCCACAAGCTGCTCTTGGCCTTTACCTCACCAAACTACCTAGCTTCTGTACTTCTACTCTGATTCACCTCCTGTTGCAGCAAGGTATTAGAAGGATCTTCCTTGTGTGTCTAGCATTCAACACTCATGAAAGAGAGCAGAAACACCCTGGTGTGCCTCTCAGCTCTCAGAAGTGGAAAGTGGAAAACCTTCTGCCAGGCAATATTTCAGACAGGCACCTCAATTTTCACAAGAGGCTAGCCAAGTTGCCAACCTATTCATCTGATCTTGAAAGCATACAAATTCACCTTCAAACAGCACAAAATAAATGCAATTCTGGACCTAGCCAGTAGCAATAACCTAAAGACATGTGCAGCTCATTTCTTGTCAGAACCCGTTGAGGACAGTGGTATTGATGGAAGACTGTGTCAAGCCCATCCATTCCTCTAGTCTAGATAGCCTCGGTTTATCCACGGCTTAAGCCATCTAAAAGCTGCATAACGTTAATACAGCGGTATTCTCCAAGGTGGTTGGATTACTGGTGATTTTTATTTTCTTCTTTTTAAACTCTTGTATTTTCCAAATTTTCTACCATGAGAATGTGTTCTGTTTACAATAAAAGAAAAACACAATAAATGTTATTTTTAAAGCTACATGCTTAGAGTTTACTACCTTCCCCACTCCCACCCTCCCATACAAGCGCTTTCACTGAAAAACAACTGATAGCAGACTCTCAGCTTTCATGAGAAAACTTCACAAAAAAAGTATTTGTGAAACCCAAAACTGTGCTTTCAGGGAGTTTTTTGCTATGCATAAGATACTGCTGAGATTATTCTCTACTCCATCACTCAATTAATATTACAGCCCAACTTCTTTCAAAACTAAATACTAGGAAAACTGTTTCACCTGACCAATTGGTGTCCTGTTTCTTTATGGACAATGAGAATTAAGTAACTTGTCAAGTTTTCCCATTTCATTTTGGGTAGCTGAAGGTCAGAGGCAAATATGAATTATAACTAATACCTATGCAGGACCTTATGCCTATGTAGCTTGGTTCTGAGAATCCCAGATTCCAACTTCGTTTTCTGGTTTGTTTTATTTTGAATATTCTTCTACTGTGTGGATGTATTCTTGAATTCACCCTACACCTTTCTTACAGTAAGGCAGGACAAAATTAAATATAATAGTCTACCTGCTCAATATTAATGCTCAATATATATAATTTATGTTCTAAAAATTTTATACTGGGGAACAATAAAATCATGGTGCAGTATCTTTCTCAATCTTTCTTAGCTAATAAATAAAAACTCAGCTCAAATTCAATATAAGGAACTGGAATTAATTATGACTCCACTCTCATAATATTAAATTTATTTGCTTTCTTTCACTTATGAAGGATATTTACTTAATTTTTTATACCAGGATAAACAGAGAAAAGATGAAAATGCTTCTTTTATACTATATGGATTAATTAACAGAGCATAAAGAGGTAATATAGGTGCCACAAACACAGACTTTGACATCATCAGATAAAATCTGTGTTCAAATCTTGGTATCACTATTTACTAGTGGTACACTTTGGTCATGTAAAATGTGGACTATAACATTACCTACCTATTACGGGTGCTGTGAGAACCAAATAACATATGCAAAGCACTTAAAATAATGCTTAACATATGTCTGCACTCAATCAGAATAGCTGCTGCTGTCACTGTTGTTATTATATATAAAGCCTAAGCATACTCTTTTAACCACTTAAGTATTTCTGCCAAAGAACCAGTCAAGGATTTTCTTGTATACCTGAAAAACAGAAACGTTTCCCAAAAATGGGTATTTAGCATAATAATTCAGTGGTTGAGATATTTTAACCAACTTACCTAAACTGTCCAGTACGAAGAAAACAAAGAGCTCGGTTACCATAAAGAAGGTAGTTTTCAGGTCTTAAAAAGATACAATGTTTAGTCAGTAAAGCACATTACACATGAAACAAATAAAAATCACGTAGAAAACATAAGGCATGAGAAAACTTTTTTTAAACTTTACATATGTGTGGCAAAGCAAAAAGAATATAGGACCTGGAGTCTTAACTGGCGAAGTCCCCGTTCCTTCACTTCTTACATAAGTAACTTTGTTTGAACCAACCTAAACTTCCCTATATTCAAAATGAAGATAACTCTAGTTGCTCTAACTCATAGGGCTGTTGGGGGATCAAACGAGACATATTAAAGAGCTAGCAAACTACAGAGTAACTCTAGAGGATAGGATTACTTATATAATAAGTCAGGACTATGTCGTTTTGACAAAGAACTGAGAAAGGAAGCCTACAGTAATTGCAAATTAAAATAGCTTCATTTGAACTTTTGTTTTTTAGTTTTATCTGACTGTGTGGTGAAACGTATCTCCCTTTCCTCCACTTCTTCCTCAAAAGAATAGGGCAGCAGCCTCTCAGAGGTGGTACACTAACCGGATTCCCTCATTCCCTGTGGAGATGCACAAGGGAGGAAAAAGAGCAGTGGCTACAGAGCACCCTTCAAAGGCTGCTACAATATTAGGCGGCCTGACTGAGACAATAGGCGCACAGTTATGAGGCACATCTGGAGGAAAGCTACAAAATTCTAGCAGCTGAGCAAAGAGAAGACAAGGTAGAGAGCATGTATGCATTCTCTCAATTATCCTGTAAAAGTTCCCTCTTAGAAAGCAAAAAACCCTGAATGGGTGGCATCTTAACTATTAAGAACTAATCCTTTAATCCTTTTTGACCAGTTAATAACTTGGGAGGACTTGGTTGATAGCAAAATGAGAACAAGACAAAAGAGGTAACTCTGTACTGGAAAGTTTTAAAGAAAATGGAACAGAAAATTCACCATTTTGCCTGACTTGCTTGAGTTATGCTACTACGTTAGCTTCATATACCCAGGCCATCTCCAATGCTTCCAACACCCAAGGATGAGAAAATCTATTCTGCACAAGTTGGAAGATACTCTCCAATTCTCCGTCTTGTTTTTATTTCTTCTGACTACCATTCTAACTTGATGTGCCATAGAAAAAGCATCTCTTTTGTTCTATTTGCTCTTACCTATATTCAATGGCTCTGGTGTAATAGATAATAGCTATATCAAATCTTTCTTTGGAAAACTCTTCATTTCCTTTCATTTTCATTAGTTCTCCTTCCTGAGAAACCAAGGTGAAAGAAGACCCATCAATGACCTCCAAAAATCATCAAGAACCCAATACCTAGTAAAAATGGATCTGGATTTCTATCTTCGATATCAGAAATAACATAGGGGATTATTTATGTAGAAAATGAGATTACAATACCCAATATTTTGTTACATATATATATACACACCCACTATACACACACACACACACACACACACACATATTTTTAGAGACAGGGTCTGTCACCCAGGTTGGAGGGCAGTGGTGCAATCACAGCTCACTGCAGCCTCCATCTCCCAGGCCCAAGGGATCCTCTCATCTCAGTCTCCCAAGTAGCTAGGACTACAAGTGCACCCCACCATGCCAAGCTAATTTTTAAAAATTTTTTGTAGAGACCAGGTCTTGCTATGTTACCCCAGCTGGTCTTGAACTTCTGACCTCAAGCAATCCTCCCACCTCGACCTCCCAAAGTACTGGGACTACAGGTGTGAGCCATCATGTGCAGCCTCGGTATATATATTTAAATAAACCTGTCTTGAATGACTCAACACTAACTTTGTTAGAGAATATTAAAAAGTAAACAAAACCATCACCTTATGAATAATTGCTAAAATTTTGTGCGGTATTTGGCAGACCCACTTTTAAATATACCTTATCTATAAGGCTAAAAAATAGATGCAAAGTAGAATTTTAACTTTAGGTTAGCAAATGTGATGTTATTCAAAAAGCCTTAGTGCCGAAAAACATATATAAATCAATAACATAGAGGCAATGCTGATTAGATTAATTGCAAAGCATGAGTTGGTAGGTTAACGAGAATATATATGAAAGGTGCTAGAGAAAAAACTAAAACTTTTCATTTCGAACACTCAATTTTTTAAAAATAAACTAAATCACATCATATCAACAGCATTAGGGAATTCAATACAACATTAAATATTTTCCCAAATTCCTTTTATAAAATTGAGTTAAAGTCCTATTTCCTATGAATGAACAGTGTAGCACATGAATTACATCTCAGCTGTTACCAAAGAAAATCATATTTCTTCAACTCATTAAAGACTAAAGTTTTTAAAAACCAAATTTTCACTTTCAATTAATGGTTTTTAAATCATTAGAGAACTCTGATCAAGATATTAGTTCTTTCCCTCAAATATGTCATCCAATTTTATGAATTGTATATTGTCAGCAGTTTTATTAACTTCCTCTGAGTGTTAAAAAGTTCTAATGGGCAAATCTTAAAATATATTTATAATATTCATTCTCACCTCTATACAATCCATACAACTTTGAGTTTTAAGTTCTTCAAGCAAATTGCAGTCTTCCATTACAATTTTAGTTATGTGGTACTTGTCTAAATTTTATTTTTAGGAGAGAGCAAGAGAGAACATTTGTTTAAAAAAAAACAAATTGGTATTGATAATATTCTAATTCTTGAGTTAGGTGAGTCCACAACGGTCCTATATTATTATTCTTTCTAAATAGCACATGTTTCTTGTAACCTTTTATGTCTATTAAATAACTCAGTAAAAAAATAAACTGATAAAATGTTGCAGAAAACATCAGTTATTGCTTGCTATGAATCTAATCTCACCTTTTATTTCTAGCAATAAAAAACCTTTATTTATTATTATATTAGTTGTAATTGTATTTACAATAAATGCTCTGTCATAACATATTCCAAATAGGCCACATAATTACTTAAGTCAATTCAATAAACACTGTCAAGCATGTATGGTGTACCATGCACAATATTCAATAAAAATGCATGAAAACAAAAACCTGCAAAACTACTTTCTACAATCTATTTAATATAAAGATTGAGTATCTCTTATTCAAAATGCTTGGGATCAGAAGTGTTTTGGATTTTGGATAATTTTGGATTTTGGAATATTTGCATTATACTGGGTGAGTATCCCAAATCCAAAAATTCAAAATGCTCCAATGAGCATTTCCTTTTTTTTTTTTTTTTTTTTTTTGAGATGGAGTTTCACTCTTGTTGCCCAGACTGGAGTGCAATGGCATGATCTTGGCTCACCGCAAACTCCGCCTCCCGGGTTCAAGCGATTCTCCTGCCTCAGCCTCCCGAGTAGCTGGGATTACAGGCATGTGCCACCACACCTGGCTAATTTTTTTTGTAATTTTAGTAGAGACGGGGTTTCACCATGTTAGCCAGGATGGTCTCGATCTCCTGACCTCGTGATCCACCCGCCTCGGCCTCCCAAAGTGTTGAGATTACAGGTGTGAGCCACCGCGCCCAGCGAGCATTTCCTTTGAATGTCATAGCGAAGCTCAAAAGGTTTCAAATTTTGGGGTATTTCAGATTTTGGATTTTTGATGCTCAACATATTTTAAATAAATACTTTCAAAAGTTTTTATTTAGTATTTTGACTCTCATGAGTAAAATGTTACAATGAGAAGTTATTTGAAACACTATTATTATAAAAATTTAATAAACTAATTAAGATGCAGTAAGTAACTAAAGTTTATCGGGCCTCATTTTCTACATTGTAAGCTATTATATAAAAAGGATATTTTAAAGTGGCAAAAAAAAATTTATTGCAACAAAACTATAGTTAAGCCTCTAGCCAAACATATTCATTTCTAAAGTGAAAAGAGCACCTAAAATTTAAGATTCAATAAAGGACCTAAGAAAGTCACCAAATAAAGAAATTCTAAGGGACAGAGTAAGATTACATGGAATAAAACCTGGGCTTTGAGATCAGAGAGATCTGACTTATCTAGTCTTACCTACTACTACCTACTACTTACTATACTGCAGAAACAACACTTAACCTCTCAAAGTCAGTGTGCTCACTGCTAAAACAAAGATAGTAACAGCCACCTTGCAGAGCTATTATAAAGAAAATAGAATGTAAAAAATCAGCTATAAGCCTAAAGAGGTGTACCTAGTACAAGATACTGCTTCTCTACTTCCACCATAAAATCTAGCTTATAATTAAGGGCCTCCAAAACAATGAAGAGAACAACCTCTATCAGTGTAATACACCCCAGTGTCTAATAAACCTATGAGAAAGATGTGTCTTCATTTAATTCCTTTCTAGCACTTAAGTCAATAGTGCAAAATTTGCCTTTATCTCAGCAGAGATGGTAAATTATTGGTCATCATCTACTGAAAAGCCAAACCTTTCCTGTTTCAAGATTCCTATAACTATACTATAAAAACACTGCTAATATTCAAATGCTTTAAAGAAAAATATTTCACAAAGTAAAAGAAATATGTAAGGCAGTTACCTCATACATAAAAGAACAACAGATTCATGAAGAAAATAAAAATCATAAGCTTAGCTTCAGTGACTTTTTCTTACAAAGGAGACTACCCAGTTGTGGTCTCTTTGAGTATTACATATAACAACTTACAATATCCATTCAGTGAAAATTTTTAAAGTACAATGTCATAAAAATAATTAAGACAGAAAATATAGAATAAAACTACCAGTTTGAAATTCTCTTTTTCGGCCAGGCACGGTGGCCCACGCCTGTAATCCCAGCACTTTGGGAGGCCAAGGCAGGCAGACCACGAGGTCAGGAGATCGAGATCAACCTGGTGAACACGGTGAAACCCTGTCTCTACTAAAAATACAATAAATTAGCCAGGCGTGGTAGCAGGCGCCCATAGTCTCAACTACTCGGGAGGCTGAGGCAGGAGAATGGTGTGAACCCGGGAGGCGGAGCTTGCAGTGAGCAGAGACTGCACCACTGCACTCCAGCCTGGGCAACAGAGCAAGAATCTGCCTCAAAATAAATAAATAAATAAATAAATAAATAATAAAAAAAAGAAATTCTCTTTTTCAGCCATATATAACAAAATAAAAACTTTTTTTAAATTCTAAGATAAATCAGAAATCACTTAACTACATATCTCATTTTCCCAAACACCTTTAAAAACTGAGTCAAGTAACAATTTAAAGCATTTATACTTACATTCAGTAAAGAAAATACTTAACATAGGCCAACAATTGTCAATTGATCCTAATTTAGTTAGAATTGTTACATCGCCTGCATATTTTATCCAATTCAGAGCTTCTTCCATTGCCAAGATTTTCTGTTTCAAAAGAGAAATGAAGAATGGGGCTTTGGTTATTAATTCTAAATTTGCATGTGGCATTATAAATTCATCTTATGCAAGTATTTCAGATCCTTACTACAAAACTGGTACAACCACTTATTTTTTGCTACTCTGGCATGTAACTTAGAGTAGACAGACTCTGACATATAAATTAACAGATACTATGGACTCATATATGTTACCTCTTCAGGTGACTTCAGGCCACCCTCAGAGCTCAAGATGCTTCTGCAATTACTACAGACCTGCAATTTGAGGTCTACAACCTGGCCAGACTGCCTGGGGTAGCAGGCAAGTGCAATATAACAAGGTGGATGAGGGTTCTCAGATCTCATCTACACAAAGACTTCCATCCTTACCCCAAGGTTAAATTTATAGATTAAAGTTCTCCAAAGGAACTACATATTTTACGTGGTCTGTGGCAAACAGAAGAATAAGGAGATAAAGAACAAGAGGAAGATGTGGCTGGGCAAATGGGCACTCAGTGCAGTGATCTCCATGAAGGATCAAGAATTCACAGAAATGTTATTTGTACTTCTAATGTCTAAAGTAACTTCAAAAATTAAAGTTAACAATGGGCTTAAGGTAAACATAGATGTTTATGGCATCAGTATCATTAAAAATTGGTTTAACATTGAATCTGGAGATTACCTAGTAATTATATAACAAAAAATATTCATACCAGAGGCCTAATAATTTCATTTGGGGAAACATAAGCCAGGTAAATAATCTAAAAGAGAAAAAGAATCAACTTGTAAAATAGGCTCAAAATTACACTATGTACATGGGTAAAAAAAAAAAAAAGAGAGAAAATGATCCAAACCCCCAAAATGAGGAGTCTCCTTAAGGAAAATATAGAAGTCAATACTACCAAATACCACATATAGAACATTGAGTGTATGGACCCAATGCAAGGGGAAATGAGCAGTGAGATGACTGCCACTCATCCACAGTGGCTGTGCCAGTTTCAGTGTTTAACACTTACATTTTCTATTTTACAACCAATTCTCAATAAGCCTCCAATAAGGAATGAATCATTCTGAAAAATAAAAAAAGGACATATTTTTTCCTTATTCAGTCAATTCTACTTGAATTTTCTAACGGAAAAATGGCCTACATTTTAGGAACACTACTATATGTACTCAGTAGTACACTTCCGACAAGCATTTACATGACCAAGTTACCCCTTAAGATCTTAAGACAAGAATTCCAAAATAGTCTCCAATAGGGTTCTAGCAGTAAAATAACTTAGTATAATCTTTAGACATGTGAATTTTTTTTTTTTTTGAGACAGGGTCTCACTCTGTCACCCAGGCTGGAGTGCAGTGGCGCAGTCTCAGCTCACCACAACCTCCACGTCCCAGGCTCAAGCAATTCTCCTGCCTCAGCCTCCCAACTACCTGGGATTACAGGCACGTGCCACTACCACCCGGCTAATTTTTGTATTTTTAGTAGAGGTGAGGTTTCTACAGGCTCACACTGGTAATCCCAGCACTTTGAGAGGCCGAGGCGGGTGGATCATCTGAGGTCAGGAGTTCGAGACCAGCCTGGCCAACATGGTGAAACCCCGTTTCTACTAAAAATACAAAAGTTAACTGGGCATGGTGGCAGGCGCCTACAGTCCCAGCTACTCGGGAGGCTGAGGCAGGAGAATCGCTTGAATCCGGGAGGCGAAGATGGCAGTGAGCCAAGATCTCGTCACTGCACTCCAGCATGGGCGACAGAGGGTGACTCCATCTCAAAAATAATAATAATAATAAAGTTCATTGCACTTAATTTTTTTTATAAAGGTACACTGGTTTGTATGTTACTGCAAATAACTACTGCAGAAAATAAACATCAGAATGCCCTTTCTAAATTTAATAGTACCAAGAACAACACTTGACTCCATAACCAACTGAAATTTAAAAAGCTATCCAATAGCTTTCAAAAAAAAATTAAAAACCACAAAAACTCTCAACTTATCTCAATAGCATAATGAAGGACACCTCCTCAAATCTGCCCTGATAAAGTCTACCTACCCAAAGACAAAATATTTGTTGATGGTGATGTGATTTTATATCAACAGATAGAGCACATCACTTTCAGAACCTGTGGCAAAGGTTTTCATGAACCCATACCCCACTTTCTGTGACAAGTTCCAATTTCTATCCTTTAATGACAAGATGCAGTCCTGGTCCCCAGCGTAGAACCATGACATCAGCCATCTCCCTGATCTCTCAAATACTGAGCACGCACTGATGGACAGCAGATTTATCTCAGGTTAACCAAAACTAAAACCATTACCTGTTAATTGCTATAAATTAGTCATTTGAGCCTAACACCATATAAATGCTTATATTATTTAAACCAAGGGCTCGGGGGAACCTACATTCTACCACTTACAGCAACTTTCTTTGCCAAATCCACAATATCTTCCATCAACTCAAGATGTTGTAGTTTCTTCAAATTTATCTCAGAAGCACGTGAATTGCTTAAAGACAAATTTATTTTTTAAAAGATTAGATTCTCATATATACAAATTCATTGAACTTTATGCTTAGCTATATATCTCAAACCATTAAAAAATAAGTTCTCTTTTTCTTCACTCTAGGTAACAATAACTAAGCTATTTATTAAATGAACAAAATACTGTATCTTTTTCCTCTCTTCTGCACTATAACACTGATACTTATAAACACCCATGTTAATTCCTCCTGACTCAGCTTCCAGTCTACCATCTAGTACTATTCAGAATTTCACTGATTATGTTACAATTATTCATTCATATCCAAATCTCAAGTATTTGTTTTTTCCACCCTATTACACAAACGTTGAGCAGCATACAAGAATAAGACATAAGCCTTCCATTGAACTTGCATTTCTTGGTATTGGGTAACATGTTTATCACTGTCCACACAAAATGAGCAACATATAGTAACTTACTTGGCGTCCACACAGGGATGCAATCGTGATATTACGGAACTGTTTTGATGTTGAAACAGAAGTGGCCAGAAGATGTTTATTTTAATGGCATCGCAATAATCTTGCAGGACAGAAATTGGTTTACTACACCATATACTGCAGATGTCAAATTCTTAATTAAAAAAAAAGTTTAAAATTAATGTTTGTGCCTCATTTTTTTAATGAATCAACACTTAATAGTAAAAAGGCAAAAATGGATATGGAGAGGGAAGAAATGAATGAATGAAGTATTCTAGCCTGTTAAATGTTAAGAATATTTAAGTGCTGGCAAAAACTCTATTTTAACAAAGAAAAGTTCTGATTTCTAGTGAAAAACTAGTAAGAATACATTTTTAAAAGGCATATAAATCTGTTGTATTGCTATGACAGGATGGATGGACCTCCCTTTGTAGTCTTTCCATAAATTAACATTAAAAATACCAACGTACTCACCCAAATTCCTCTCACTTTGGATATAATCTTTATATTGCACACCCTAAAAAGAAGAAAATTATTTTGATTTGTGTCTAGTAAAATGTTCTTGATTTTTAATCTAAGGATTATCAGAACTAACCAAAGAACTTTCAGTGGGCATTTATTTATATGCTTCAAACACATCTTCAGCCAAAGAGTCTTAATTTGAGACCCGTTTTACAGTATTACCTGAGTTTGCTTCTATGGCTCTCCCCAAGAGCTTTTCTTATGCCCTGTCAGAAAACCACCTTTTGCCACCACTCATTCTCTGGCACTCCACAATCTTATTTTTGAGCCAGTGCTTACTTTCCCTTCTCAAATCAACTTTTCAACAGCATGTGTACCTCCCTGTCAAAACGCACGTACCACAAAAACATCTTTACTCAGATAGCCCTAAACCAGAAAACCTTCAATACACAATGTCAAAAATGAAAAATTAGCAAACCTACTTACCACCCCATCACAGTAAAGCTGAGTCACACGAACATAATCATTGCTCATAAATTCAGCAGCAAAGACACAATCATCCACGTGAGGGCAATCTTCTAACAAGGCATAATCCGCCACAGTGAAATCTCCCTCAGCAAAATTGTCCATGGTGCACAAGTCTAAGGAGACAACACAAACTCAAGTCAGTAATTAAATCATTTGAGATAACAGAAGAAAGTTTTCCTGGCTTCTATGGTATATTAGAAAAATACTTGGAACCTATGCCCAAGGAAATAACTCCTATCAGAACACTGAGCTCCGAAAGATTCTCGTCCCCATTCTGCTGACTTTTCCTCTCTCTCCAGATAATTTAATCTATTTCTTCCTTTCCTCAGGTTCACATATTCACCATCTCTACTCTAAGTTAACCTGTTTACATGTCTCCTTTAAATAGAGGATCATCAAGGGCATCTTATTTATCTTTGTATGTGCCTAGCACATGGTAAGCTCTCAAATAAGTGTTTGCTGAATGAAGAAAAGACATCTTCCTGTTGCTGCACTTGTACCCTACCTGCTTTTACTGCATTCTGTGAAATATGCCATTTCATCATACACAAACTGTTATATTCTCAATCTCCTGGCCTAACCTAAATCCTGACTCCACTGAGAACTTTCCTATCAACTGCTCATATTCTCCTATCCATCTCAGTGTGTTTCTGTCTTGGGCAAAGGAGTAGGGCTAGAGTGGTACAGGGTAAGTCTGCCAATCTCCTAACTCCCCAAGGCGGCATCCAGACCTTCCATCCTCCTATCGACTGCTGCTTCTAATGCTCTCACAACTACTGCAATACACAATCAGCACTGCTAAATCGCAAAAAGGAAAAAACCCTCACATTATCAAAAGCCATGTTTTAAAAATACGTATTTCAATGGGGGGCAAGGGGGATTGGTGGTAAAGTTTCAGACTAAGGGTTTTTTTTCCTGAAGAATCTTCAATAATAAGGATTTTTATAGTTATCAGAGAATAGCTACATAGGCCAAACATCACTGAAAAATGCACCATTTTATTACTTCTAGCTCTTGCCCATATAATGGCTTTCTTTTCCTATCATCACCAGCGCATCATAAACACTATTACTTGTACCTATCACTTCACCATTATTATCCTACTATTATTAGGATAAACCAAGTTTCTTCTTTCCAAAGCAAGAACACTACCAGTCCTTGAAGTTCAAATCTATTTATTTAATCAATCCATCTCATGATGTCCAATTTGCTGTATGAAAACTTCACAATATCACAAGTGAAGAATAATAACAATCTTCCTAGCAAACTATTTGTACTATGTGTCACATACTGTACCAAATGTTTTACATGCATTATTTCACTAATCTTCACAGCAATTCTTCTTAGCAGGCACAATTATCGTTATCTCCACTGTACAGATGGGAAAATGCTCACTTAAATCAAGTAATTTGCTCATGTCACCAAGCTAGGAAGGATTCAAATCCAGTCTTTAGTTGCCATAGCTTCTGCTCTCAAACACTCTCTTTTACTACATCTAATTTTCCTGTCATTGTCACCTATTTATCTCTTGGTTACTGTCACGTTTCAAGATCACTGGCAACTAGTTCAGTGTTTTTCTCTTTCCTCCAAATTCTATCATCATCCCAGCCACATCGAGGTCCATGCACACAATACCCTAGCCTTGTAGTTTAACAACCTCCTCAACTAACATGATCTTCACTGCCTACCTCACTAGGCTCTCCCACCCCAGGGGGACACCTCAGATCACTACCTGGGTCGAAACCAGTTCTTAAATCTTTATTAGCTCCTCTCTGACCATAGCCAAGAGTCATTACGGCTCATGTCTTCCTGATTTCCTACCACAGCCATTCTTCAACTTCATCAAGAACTCTTCATTTTTCACCCATCTGAATCCTCCATTCTCATTCACTGTCAGTTTCCTAACAATTTGGTTTCCACTTCGACCATTCAAGGGAAACTGCTTTCATTAGGATCATTAATGACCTTCCACAAAAGACTGGTTATCTATAATGTCTAGAACCTGACCTATTCTGCATGAATATTTCTAGAGTTTAAAAAATTTAACTCTAAAAGTGAACAATGACCAGAAAACATAAGATACTGGAGCACCCAAACTATAGCACATAATATGAGGTATATGCTAATCTCACTTGTCTTACAAATTTTTTTGGCATAAAATACAGAAAGAGCCAAGAACTGTCACAGCCCACACATCATGGCATCAATTACAATACAATTAATGTGCTCATACCTGGCAGACTGATACTGGTCATTCAAGCCTAGCGAATCTCACTGATAACACACACAGCACCAATTGTACTGTAATTACGACACTGGGGTATATTTTATTTTCTATTTTGTTTTGGTTTGTTTGTTTGTTTGTTTGAGACACAGTCTCACTCTGTCGCCCAGGCTGGAGTGCACTGGCACGATCTCGGCTCACTGCAACCTCCACTTCCCGGGTTCAAGCGATTCTCCTGCCTCAGCCTCCCAAGTAGCTGGGACTACAGGTGCCCACCACCACGCCCAGCTAATTTTTGTATTTTTAGTAGAGACAGGATTTCACCATATTGGCCAGGCTGGTCTTGAACTCCTGACCTTGTGATCCGCCCGCCTCGGCCTCCCAAAGTGCTGGGATTACAGGCGTGAGCCACCGCACCCGGCCTTGTATTTTGTTTTTAACTAGAGAGGCAATGTGACAAAGTGGTTAAGAACAGGGACTCTGCAGCCAAGACTCTGGGCTTGAGTCCTGGCTCTCTTGTTTCCTTGGGTGTGTGATCTTGGGCAAGTTACTTAACCTCTCTGTGCTTCCTCTGTGTTTCCTCGCATATCAAATGGGGATAACGATACTACCTACCTGATCAATCTGTTAATACATGTAAAGAGCTTAGAAGAGTACCAGGTATATGGGAAATGCTATAAATACCAGCTATCATTAACATTAATGTTAGATGAGTATTTTTAAAATCCACTGTTTGGATGCTTCCAGCTAAATAGTCTACCTTAATTGCTAAATCCAAAGAGCACTTTTCAGCTTACAACTTACTTGACGCTGTGGACCACTTCCTCCTCAGAACTCTTCATTTGGACTCCAAAGACCATCTTCTCCTGGTTTTCCTCCTATTCGTCTGGCTGCTCTTCCTCAGTTTCCTTCATGGGTTCTTCTTCTCCATTCCCCGCCACCCAATGTCAACTCTCTTTTCTTCTCACTCTTACTCTCTCCTTGGGTGAATTTATCCACCACACCCATGACTTAACACAGCACTTTCTGAACTTGCATCGTTTGCATAGCTTCACCGTGATTTTTGCCATTTCCATGTATCACATATATTTTTAGTTAATATTTCCCTTTTATTGAGCTCACTTGGCCTAAGTGATAATGTCCATGATTATCAAAGGTTAGATGTGCAAGTTATGTTTCTCATACACATTAAATTCCTATCTATTAAAATTTTTTCAAGTGTTTATCTATGTACCAGTTTAAATTATCTCATATGCACTGCAGTAAACAATGGCTTCCAAAATTCCAAATGCTGAAGACTCCCAAATCCTTCCAGGCGGGGTTGTATCTCTTGACTTCTAGACCCTACTAGAACTACTACAGGATCTTAACCAAGATGTCCCACAAGCCCCTCTGAATCAGGAAGTTCAAAAACAAACATCTTTTCCTCAAAAACAAACATATGAAATGAAGTTCTTTCCTCTTTCTGTATGCTGTTTATCAGTTAATTGTTCTACATGTCATTTTACTGCCCAAACCTAAACCCTGGGAGTCAACCTAGACTCCCCAGTCTCCTTCAATATTTCTGTCCAATGGACCACTAACTCTTGTCATTTCTGCTTCCCTAAGAAATCTAAAATTAGCACACATATACTTCTTCATGCCCAGTGCCACTGCCTTCACTGTTTCTCCTCTGAACTAATTTAACAAGCAGTCTCCTAACTGGTCAGACTTGCCTTCAATCTTGGCATCCTCTAAAACTCTGATCATATCACTTTACTGCTTAAAACCATGCAACAGCTTCCCTTCAGCTTGAGAATAAAGTCCAACTTCCCTAATATAAGCATAGAAGACCTTTTGTGATCTTGCTCCTGCTTTTATCCCCAGTCACTCCACAACACACAACCTAGAAGCCAGTCATACCCAACTGCTTGTCCTTCCTAAACAAAACTTATTCTGCAACCACCTAATGTCTATTAGTTCTTAATACTCAATTTCAGGAAGCATTTCCTGATCTTCCCACTACCATCAAGTTGATTTTTGCACCTCTTCTCTGTAAACAAGAGCACCCTGCCCATGTCTCTGACAGCAGTTTTCACATTGTTTGACCATCACAGGTTTATCTCTGCAGGGTCACTATGGATCCAGAGGATATATTGTGCAATCCATTTGCCATCTGTACTGCTATTTACTTAATACTTTTCTTTAGGATAACTCAAATCTTAACTTAGATGTAAACTAGTTTTAATGGAAATGTTGGTATCACCAAGAAAGCTTGCTTGGTACCATAAAATTTTTTATAATACAATCAAACAAAAATATACTACTAAAATTAAATATTAAAATAAAGAGCTTCTGATCCCATCAGTTATGGTCAACTATACACTCTGGGGGAATGTACTGTTGGGAGGAAAAAGGTATATCCTAGATTAAAAAAAAAAACACTTTTTGGATGTTTTTGCTGAGCTCATAGAAATAGGGGAACATGTGAAGGCACCCTCTCCACGCAAAAGCAACAAACCTTGAGCTAGAAATTAAACCTGGCTACAGTTTAGTGCTACAAGTAGTGGTGCCAAGAGCAGTAATAGGATCAGGACACTGAGCCCTGGGCCAGAAGCAAAATGTAGGAACTCAAAAGTGATGCCAGCTAAACTTTCTGGCTCCCAGACAAAGCTGATAGAAATGCTTTCAGAAAGCAAGCATCCTCAAATTAGACTCTCAAGATCACCACAAAGATCAAACAGAAGTTCATAATCAATGATCACCAAACACATGAGGTGACAGCTACATTGAGGAGAGACAACAGAAAAAAAAACAAAAAAGCAATAAATTTAGACATCCCCCTCCTCAAGGATATCAGACATTGGGAATGTCTGATATAGTCTACAGAATAGCTAT
This sequence comes from Homo sapiens, assembly GCF_000001405.40. Taxonomy (NCBI): domain Eukaryota; kingdom Metazoa; phylum Chordata; class Mammalia; order Primates; family Hominidae; genus Homo; species Homo sapiens. Next base: position 37,082,258 of record NC_000021.9, on the reverse strand, counting down.
AGAGTCACAAAAATCAGCATATAACATGAGAACATGAAGAATGACTGGACATATCAAAAAAGAACCAGGCAGAACTTTTAGAAATTAAAAATGCGGCCGGGCATGGTGGCTCATGCCTGTAATCCCAGCACTCTGGGAGGCCAACGTGAGCAGATGACGAGGTCAGGAGATCGAGACCATCCTGGGTAACACGGTGAAACCCCGTCTCTACTAAAAATACAAAAAAATTAGCCGGGCGTGGTGGCGGGCGCCTGTAGTCCCAGCTACTCGGGAGGCTGAGGCAGGAGAATGGCGTGAACCCGGGAGGCGGAGCTTGCAGTGAGCTGAGATCGCGCCTCTGCACTCCAGCCTGGGCGACAGAGAGAGACTCCATCTTAAAAAAAAAAAAAAAAAGTAATTAAAAATGCAATTGTTAAAAGAAAAAAAAGAGACAGGATGGGTTACAGAGGATATTAGGCACAGTTGAAGAGAAAATTGGTGAACTAAAATATATGCCTTATGAAATTATCCAGCACTGTAAATTCTGGTAAAGAGAAACAAAGAGATAAAAAATATGAAAGATAAAGAATAAGTGATCTGGAAACAGTTTAGTGTATATATATATCCAGTTAAAGTTCCAGCAGGAGAGAAGAGACTAATGAGACATAATATTTAAAGAATACAGGGCTCAGAAACTTCTAGATCTCATGAAAGACAAAATGCAGAATCATGAAACACATGCATCCAAAATAGGATAAATATAATCTCTATCTAGACTTAGAAGTGAAATGATGTAACACAAAAGACAGAAAATCCAATGTAACTAAAAGAAAAATGATATTTTCTTCAAAAAACGCATAAATAGGCTGGGTGCAGTGGCTCACGCCTGTAATCCCAGCACTTTGGGAGGCTGAGGCGGACAGATCACGAGGTCAAGAGATCAAGACCATCCTGGCCAACATGGTGAAACCCCATCTCTACTAAAAATACAAAAATTGGCCAGGCATGGTGGCAGGTGCCTGTAGTCCCAGCTACTTGGGAGTCTGAGGCAGGAGAATCGCTTGAATCCAGGAGGCGGAGGTTGCAATGAGCCAAGATGGCGCCACTGCACTCCAGCCTAACAACACAGCAAGACTCCACCTCAAAAAAAAAAAAAAAAAAAAAAAAAAAGGCATAAATAAAACTGGCAGCACACTTTGTATAAGCAACAGCAGAATAGTATTCCTACCCTACTGACAGAAAAGAAACACCAACCTACAATTGTACATCCATCAAAATGATCTGTCAAGAACAAAGGTAAAATAAAAATACTTTTAGATTTTTTTTAATATCTAAAACTGAGTCAAACACCAACCAAGACACCTGGAACATAACCAATTAAAAGACAGAAGTTGTCTGGTGAGATTAAAAGAAAAATCCAGTAGTATGTCCCTTATAAGAGACACTTAAAATGTAAGGACACTAAAAAAAATCAAAGTAAAATGAAAGAAAAGAATATTCCAGGTAAATTAGCACCAAAAGAAAGACGGGATCAGACAAAAAGCCTCTAAGACAAAGAAGCAAACTTAGAGAAGATCACAATATAGTAAAGGTTCGAGCCACTAGGAAAAAAATGTTAAGCTTGCATGTAGCTAATAAAAGTCTCAAAATACAGAAGAACAAAAATTGTTAGAACTACAGGAAATCTGTTAGAAACTAGTAATGGTGGAATATTGCAACACACTTCTCTCAGTTAATGATAGGATAAACCAAAATTAATAAGGATAAAGACTATCAGAACAACACAAATAACAAGCTTTACCTAATAGACACTTAACAATTACAGAATATATACTCTTCACAAGTGTACACAGAACAGTTCTAATAATTCACTATGTACAAGGCCATAAAGCAAGGGCAAAAAAAAAAAAATGCTAAAAAGATAAAATATTCTCTGGCAACACAAGTAAGAAATCGATAATTAAAGGAAAACAATATAGACACATTTGAAAATTTAAAAATGTCTAAGTAACTCATAAGTCAAAGAAAAAATCAAAATAGAAATTGTAAAAATACTTAGATTTGAAAGTTAATGAAAACACTATAAATTAAACTATGTTAGATAAGCAAAAATGAACTTTGAGGAAGTTTACAGTCTTGCATGCTTATACTAGGAAATCGGAATGGTTGAAAATTAATATTAAGTGTGTAATTTAAGTGAAAAAAATAGTAAAATAATAAACTGAAAGTAAAATGAAATAATAAAAGAGAAAAAAGATCAATGAAATAAAAAACAAATAATAGAACAAATTAGGCCAAAAGTTAATCCTTTGCCAAGATTTTAAAAATGGACAAACTTTTACTAAGACTGATCAAGAAAGAGAAGTCAGACATAAATAATATTCAACATGAGAAAAGGGGAACACATATACAAATAAAACAGAGATTAAAAAGAGAATTAATGCCATACCACGAGCGGTGGCTCACACCTGTAATCCTAGCACTTTGGGAGGCCGAGGTGGGCAGACCACTTGAGGTCAGGAGTTTGTGAAGAGCCTGGCCAACATGGTGAAACTCCGTCTCTACTAAAAATACAAAAAAATCAGCCAAGCATGGTGGCGCACGGCTGTAATCCCAGCTACTCAGGAGGCTGAGGCAGGAGAATCGCTTGAACTCAGGAGGCAGAGGTTGCAATGAGATGGCACCACTGCACTACTCCAGCCTGGGCAACAGAGGGAGACTCTATCTTAAAAAAAAAAAAAAAAAAAAAAAAAAAAAAAAAACCATACCATAAACTTGATGAAAGGACAAATTTCTAAAACTTACCAAAACTGACTAAAAGAAATAGAATACCTGAACAGTCCTATGACTGTTCAACTGCTAATTACTACTAAACCTCCAAGAAGAAAACATTAGATCCAAATGACCTTATAGTTAAGTTCCACCAAGCTTTTAAGAAACAAATCACTCCAATCCAAACTCTCCCAGGGAACAGAAAAAGAGGAACTATTCTCTAACTCATGGTATAAAGTCAGTGTAACTTTAATACCCAAGTCAGATAAGACAGCCAATAAAGAAAAATGAGAAGTGATTCTAGCCATAAACAGACACAAAAATCTAAATAAAATATGAGCAAACTCAATCTAGTAGTTCATAAAAATATAATCTATAAAGACCAATTTGGGTTTATCTCAAGAAAGAATATAAAAGAAAATGAACAGTTTTAAATCTATAAAACGGAATTCATTACATTTAACAGATTAAAGAAGAAAAGACACAAGATATTCTCAACAAATGCAGAAAAGCATGTGACAACTGAAAAGACTTCCCTAACTTAATCAAAGGTATCTACAAAAATTCACAGCAAATGTTATTCTCAGCTGAGAAATATTCTCTTTAAAATTGAGAACAAGAACTCTATGCCCACTATAATCGCTTCTAATGAACAACCCTAATCACTTCCATTGAACGTAAGTATAAAGTATGCCAGCACATTTAAGACCAAAAAAATGAATAAATTAAAAGCAAAAATAACTAGAAGAACTAAAACTGTCACTATTTGCAAATGATATAATTATCCACACAGAAAACACAAAGGAATTTCAGAAAAAATATTAGAAGTAGTAAGTTTATCAAGTGGATGACTAAAGGGTCAATATTTTTAAAAATTCATTAAATTTCTATTTAACAATAAGTTAAAATATTTACTAACAATAAATAAGTTAAGATAGAATCTTTAAGAACACCACCATTTATAATAGCAACAAAAACAATAACATCAGAATTAACATATGAAAAAGTGGAAGACCTCTATGGAGAATATTACAAAACTACACTAAAACTTTACATAAATAGAGATACATACCATATTCTTAAAAATAAAAAGGATCAAAATCTTAAAGATTTCGATTCTCCCCCAAACTGATTCAATTAATTCTAATTAATACCTACAGGGTTTTTCATGTCATGTAACAAGCTAATTCTTAAGAACAAATGACCAAAAATAGGTGAGATTCAAGTCCTCCCCAGATACCGAGATTTCAGGTAAAACTATAGTATTAATGATTAAGACAGTGTGGTATGAACACAGAGACAGACAAGGTGACAAGTGACACAGAAAGGCAAGCCAAAAACAGACCCATGCAGGTAGTAACTAAACATGTAAAAGAGATGGCACAGCAGACCACTGGTGAACAGAGGGCCAATTCAATACATGGTACAGGGATAATTAGAACCACACAGGAGAAAAAAAAAATCAATGTGGATCACTATCTCAGAACATACACAAAAATCAATTCCAGATAAATTATGAACTTAAATGTGGAAGACATCATTTTAAAACCTCTAAAAAGAAACAGAGGAATGTCTTTATAAGCCCAGGGCAAGAAAGGTTCCAATCAGATTATGTTAAAATTAAGAACTTCTGTTCACCAAAATACACCATAAACAGTAGAAAGACAGGCCACAAACCAGAAAAAGATATTTACAACGCACATAATCGATGTTACCAGTTTTAAAAGACAACTCATCAGAACAAAGGGTAAAATATATGACTAGATATTTCATAAAAAGGAAACAAAGACAGTTCATAAACATACAAAAGATGCTCAATCTCATTAATAACAAAAAATGCAAATTAAAACCACAATGATGCATCATTTCATACCCATTCCATTGGCAAATATTAAGTCTGACAATAACAAGTGTTGGAGAGGTTGTAGATCAACTGTAACTCTTACACACTGTTGATCAAAGTATATAAACAGACAAAACTGCTGGCCAAAGTACAAACTGATACAACCCCTTCAGAAAGTAATCTGACATTATTTTGTAAAGCTGATCATTCATACCCCTTGATCTAGCAATCCCATTTCTAGCAAACAGCTTACTATAGTGATACGGCAGTATTTCTTTCTCTTTTCTTTTTCTTTTGCTGCTGAACAAATTAACATGGTGGTATTTCAACCTTTTTTTTTTGCTCGCAAACCACCAAAAGTGCTTTTTAAAATTGCATACCCTTTACCCATTAAGATGACATTTAAAAAATATCACCATAAGATTAAATAATTGCAAAGGGTGAATTTCTAGAACATCACAGTAACATTTTAAAGTAAAACTGATTATCTCATTCTTTTAAATGTATAATTATTACCAGCATATGGTTGGCCAAAAAATATACCCTGATAACATAAAAAAAAAAGCAACTTTATTGGAAATATCTCTCTTAAGGAAATGGATGGGGAAGTGCCAGGATTAAAAGAGGCTTTCCCTAACACTATAGTGGTATTTTAAATTATCCCTTTGTAGGCCAGGCGCGGTGGCCTGTAATCCCAGCACTTTGGGAGGCCGAGTCGGGCAGATCACCTGAGGTCAGGAGTTCAAGACGTGCCTAGCCAACATGGTGAAATCCCGTCTCTACTAAAAATACAAAATTAGCCGGGTGTGGTGGTGCGCGCCTGTAATCCCAGCTACTCAGAGGCTGAGGCAAGAGAATCACTTGAACTTGGGAGGCAGAGGTTGCAGTGAGCCGAGATCGTGCCATTGCACTCCAGCCTGGGCAAAAAGAGCAAAACTTCACTCAAAAAAAAAAAAAAAAAAAAAAAAAATCCCTTTGTTTTCCCCAAGGGAGTTTTCCCCCTTTGGGCAATGCCATAGTAAGATTCCACAAGAACCTGTGGTTTGCCTGTCTTATGTAAAGTGCAATGTTAGAAACACAAGGTAAGAAAGTAGCACTAGCAGGAGGCCTCAGGCATTACCATTTTTAGGAAAGAGTACCTATGGAATGTAATGATCTAGAAACTGATTCATTAACATCATTTGTACCCACACATTCCTTAGCAAATCTTCATTACTCCTCTGGGGCTCATATACCCCAGTGTGAAAATTAGAAAAATTCTTACAACTGTGAACCAAAAAGTATATAACTTCATAACAGCAAAACCTAGAAACAACCAAAATGCCCATTAACAGAAGAATGCATACACTGTGTTATATTCACACTTGGAATATTACACAGCAGTGAAAATTAATGACTTACATCTATACCCAATATTAGTAACTCAGAAACATAACATCAAGTGAAATAAGCAAGTCCCAGGAAACTATACCCAATATGATTTTTTCCACTCAAAAACAACAGAAACCATACAATACATTTTTGAGGGATGTATACATATCTGATAAAATTATTTTTAAAAACAAGGCATAATATACACAATTCAGGATGGTAGTCACCTCTGGAAGTAAGCACATTCAATACTGGTCATTTTGATTATTGGATTGAGTGGTGAATTCATAGGTGTTCATTTTATTGTTCTGCTATACAGCTTGCATATGTTTTACATATATTTTGAATTTATCAAATACTACAATAAAATGGAGAGGAAAAGAAAAATTTTTTAAACATTCATCATAAGAAAAAAAATACTTTTAATTAAATCACCTCACCTGCCACTAAAGAGGTACATATTTAACATATCATGGAAATTCTATCTATACATCAATCATAGGATCTGACATACATTAGGTATACAACAAATGTTCATTGGAATTAATCTTATGAGAACCAAAGGAGATAAAGACTAAGCCAATTAGCTATAAGAGATAAATCCATAGGCTGACACAGGGCTACAAGAGAAGCCAAGGTGGCTACAAGCAAATTTAGCAGCAACCAAAAGTCATAAGGAAGCTGGTCAGTAAAGAGATGGCAAAAATGTAAAGTCTCATAACATAAAGTGTTAGCAGGGTTGTGAGGAAATTGTGTTCTCACTCAACACCAGTGACAGTGAAAATTGGTACAACCACTTCGAGAGCTTCTGTGATACTTGGTTAAATTGAAGACGCACATAGCCTACAATCCGGCAAATCTACTACTTAGGTGTACTTCCTACAGAAACTTCCAAATGTGTGCACAAGCAGACAAGTACAAAGATATTTATTGCAGGACTGTTTTTAAGAGTCAAAAACTGAAACAAGTTCAAAGTCTATCAACAGGGGAATGTATAAATAAATATGGTATATTCATACAACGCAATTCTATACCAGCAATTAAAATGAATGAACCAAAGATAACACAATCATTCAATTTGTTCATATATAAACCTCAAAATATGATGCTGAGCAAAAAAAAAAAAAGCAAGTTGCAAAAAGGCATGTATATTTTAATGCCATTAAAGTTTAAAAACAAACAATAATATATATTGTGTATGGATTCACCTTGATCAAAGTATAAAATATGCAAAGTAAAGATATACACAAACCTCAACGCAGTGGCTATCTCTAGAAAAGGAGGGGAAGGAACTGAGAGCAATTTTATTTCTTTAAAAAAAAAGAGTATCTGAAGTAAATTTGGCAAAAGATTAAATAATCACGTCTGTAAAATCTGAATCATGGATTGGTTAGCTCCCCCTCTGTATTTGATATCTGAAATATTCCAAAAATTAAAAGAAAAAAAGGAAAATTAGACAATAAGAAAATTGGGCAGAACAAAGACACCAAAACGCAGCCCTTGAGCGCAGAGCACGAAACCTTGAGCAATCGGAGCAGTAGCTGGGTCTCTAAGGGGTTTGAAGTTTCTTACCCTAGGTATCCTTATACTATATCCCATTTTCCTTAGGATAAATCGCAAATTTCTTGCAACAAAAAATGTCCTAACTAGAGTCGTAGTTATAAGGAAAAGGCTCTCTCCGGAGGAGTAAAATCTGTAAAATTTCTACCTTGTTTCCCTCGCCAGGATCTTGGGCAAAATGGAAAGAGATTTAGGTGAATGCCATAAAATACTCTATAAACCATTAAATATCATCAAGAACGCCTAAGGACCGCATCGCCCAGTAGGAGAGTGCATATATTTTGAAAGGTCTCTGCAACTGAGGGGGTTTTGGCGTCCAGGGCGCCACTGGAAAAGGCACGGCGCACTGGTACCAGCCCAAATTCACCTACGTCTCGGCTTCATTTTTTATCTTTGATCCCCCTATTCTGTCTCCTGAACAGGCTGGCTGAAGAGGCCACACTGGCAGCGTCAACACTGCGGAGCAGCTGGCCAGACTCGATCCTGTCCACCCCCCTTCCCATTAGCGTCTGTGGGAGAGAATGCTCAGAAAGAGGCGCGGGGGCGAGGGGAGCGGCGAGGTTACCCCCCTCCTGGGTCCGTTCCGTGGGGACAGGCCCTGGACTGGACTGCCAGTTCACACGAAAACAGGTGGCAACAGAGTCGTGACACGCACACACAGCAAGGGGTGTGCACGAACGTTCACGCTCACCAACGAAACCTGCACACAAGAGATACCCACTCGACAGAATTAAATCCGCACACAAGAGATCACGCACTCAACAGGACCCATGCGCAGACACTCTGCGTCACTCGGAGACACGCAAGGACGCACACTTGCGCGAGCAAGGCTCTAGGCGGGGGTCGCAATTGCAGAAGGCGCGGCCACGCGCGCTAGGGGACGCGCAGCCCACAGACAGGGGCAGTAACACAAAGGGGGGCCACCTGCAAGGCCGAGAGCGCCCACGCAGCCGCCAGGGAGCGCGGACACCGACACAAAAGGGGCGACGAGGCGACACGCGAGCGCCTCCACCCAGCGGAGGTGTCAGCCACGCACCGGCCGAGGCACGGGCAGCGGGGGGTTGCGCACAAAGGGACTACTCACACCCTCGCACCGGCATCCCAGGGCCTCGCTCGCGAAGGGGCACCAGACCAAGGGGGCAAACCCACTGGGGTAGGCAATGGCGGCCACACCCCCTCATCGCGCGGGACCCAACCCATGCAGACACAGTAGGCACCTCAGCGAGGGACGCGAGGAGACGCGCACACACCCACACTCACCACACACCCACGGAGGGGGTGTGGAAGGCCCCGCTCCCCCGGCATCTCGGCTGCAGCGGGACAAGGTGACACATCCGGGAGCCCGGCAGCGCGCCGGGTGTGCACTCACCCGGGCCCGCCGCCCGCGAGCCTCGGACGCGGGCAGCAGCAGCAGCAGCCGCCGCCGCCGCCGCCGCCACCTCCGGCCCTCCACGTCAGCCGACGGCGGGAGGGAGCGGGTGGCGGCGTTGAAGCGAGGTGCGTCACGTGGGCTGGCAGCGCGCGTGCGCAGTCGCACCCCACCGCCCCCTCCTTCGCCGTCGCGAGCCGCGGGATCACGCCCGCCCCCGCGCTCGCTGGCTCCCACCCGGGGAGGGTCGTTGTGCGCCTGCGCCAGGGTGGGGGTTGCCGTCGCGCCTAGGCCTTTCCCTCAGGTTTTCCTCTTCCCCACTGCGGCTCCCCAGTCGGCGCTTGCGCGGAGAACTCAGCGCTGAGGTGGCCGAGGTGTCGGGAGGGGCCTGGGTGGGCGTATGAAGGACCCGAGGTCGAGGGCCCCCCCATACCCCGCCTCGAATGAGAAATAGAAGTCTCCACGAATGGGCAGGGCCCGGGGCCTGGGCGCCGCGACCTAGTAGGCCCGCATGCTGGTGGGCGCCGCGCGAGCCTTGTTCCCTGCCCTCCCCTCCCACAGGGAGGCCACGCTTGCAGAGCTGGAGCGCGCGTCTATCGCCCCAGAACCCCCCTCCCTGCCCTATCCTCCGCCACCCCTTCTGTTGCGGGGCGCGCGCCAGCCTGGGTGTCTGTATGCGCTCGAGGCGGGGGCGCGGGTTGCGGACGGAGGCGCGGGAGGCGGTTCTGCGCGGCGGGGGCCGTACCCGCGGCGGAGCGAGGAGGCGAGAATGGATCAATGGTGCCACGGAGCACATCGCTGACGCTGATTGTGTTCCTTTTCCACAGATTGTCTAAAGCCCCAGGAAAAATGGTGGAAAATTCACCGTCGCCATTGCCAGAAAGAGCGATTTATGGCTTTGTTCTTTTCTTAAGCTCCCAATTTGGCTTCAGTAAGTACTTTCCTGATGGATGGCCAGGGGCTTTTTCTGGCGTTCAGTGACAAGGGAAGAATACATTGGTTAGACTGTGCACACATGAACTGTTGATTCTTTCTCCCTATGTCTCTTTTTAAGAAAATCTGAAGGGATCTCGTGTTTGCTGAGTGTTCCGTGTGCCAGCACTAGCCTAGGAGGTTTTAGTCTCTACAAATATTTATACAGCACCAGACGCGATGGCAAAGTGGATAAAGCCTGGTCCCTGCCCTTAAGGAGGTCGTGGTCTTGTGGAGGAGACAGATGGGTAAATCTACAGTTAATGCTCAGTGTGATGAGTGTCAGGGAGCACGGTGGAGAGACATTGAAACCAGACTGGAAAGTCAAGGCTTTCTACAGAGGCCTTTCCCCCTGGCACTGATGCTGATTAGGAAAGAGTAAGAGGGAGGGAAGAAGTGGAAAGGCCTTGAATGAGGGCGTGAGAGGGTTTGGACCCGAGGAGCTTGTGATGTCACCAGTGTGCCCTGCGGGATCTGGGGAACAGGAGAAGTAGGCCAGAGAAGTCGGGTTGAAAGGTGTGTCGTTTGCGTCCTGGATCTCCCTTAATTTAACCCCATAACATTCCATTTTACAGATAAGGAGACTGATGCTCACTAAGACACTAATATGCCCACTCACACAGCAAGTCCCAAGTCTCTCCCCAAAATGATTTGAGAATTTTGAGGCACACAAAAGGGAGAAAATTGAGTGCCCGTGATCCAACGTTCTGCAACTGTTTGGAAACCAGGAAAGTGGAGGAGTGGTAGTACTTCTGAACCCTAACTAAAATATATCAGCCTGCACCATCAGCACAGCTTGCAGATGAATGTAATGGCCAGGCTATTAAAACTGAAGTGAAGTGAAGAAGTTACAACTGAGTTCGAATTCTGACTCCTCCACAGATTAGCCATGTGAGCTGGGACCCTCAGCAAATTTTTTGAGCCTCAGGTTCCTTATCTGTAAAAGGGTAGTGATAATGATGGTTATTAAATGCTTATGACGCATGAAACAGTTCTATGGGGTAGGTTCTGTTATTACTGTCCTTTAAAGATGAGCATCCTGTGGTTTCAGTAACTTGCTCAAGATTGCAAAGCTACTAAATAAAAGCCTTCTAAATTTGAACCCAAATACACTGGCTGACTTCACTCTGCTGCCTCTTCTGACTGTTGTGAGGATTAACGGGGGTAATTTATGTAAAGCACGTAAAATAATGCCTAGGAACAGTTAGGGACTTAATAAGTGTTAGCTACTGATGTTATTGTTAGCACTTTTGTAAATCCTTGTTCAAAGAGTATGTCAAGGATTAGAAGCTATATGAATAAATAAAAGCAATCACTTTAAGGCTTAAATTCTGGCCGGCCTGGTGGCTCACGCCTGTAATCCCGGCACTTTGGGTGGCCGAGGCAGGCAGATCATCTGAGGTCGGGAGTTTGAGACCAGCCAGACCAACATGGAAAAACCCTGTCTCTACTAAAAATACAAAATTAGCCGGGATGGTGGCGCATGCCTGTAACTCCAGCTACTCGGGAGGCTGAGGCAGGAGAATCGCTTGAACCCGGGAGGCGGAGGTTGCCGTGAGCTGAGATTGCACTTTTGCACTCCAGCCTGGGCAACGAGCGAAACTGTCTCAAAACAAAATTAAATTCCATCATACCCACAACCAAAAAGTAATTCAAGTATTTATTGGTGCTTACCATGTGCCAGGCACTGTTACAGGCCAGGAAGGACCAAAACAGCCAAAAATGCCCTGCTTTGAGTCTTCATTCTCATGCCGGGGGGAGATAGTCAATGGGCAAGTTAAATAAGAAAAACGTATATAGTATCAGGTGATAACGTACTATGGGGAGAAATTAAGCAAAGGGAAGGAGGATACGAAGTGGAAGGAGGGCCTTCTAATGTGCTTCTATGTCATCTTTTATTACTCATTCGTGAGCACTTGTAACAATGTAGTGAAAATACCAATTTTCTCTATTCACCACTAGATTTTAAGTTTAGGGAGGGCAGAAGCCATCTCTTTTGGATTCAATATTGTGTCTCACACACCTGACATACAGAATTCTGTAATACATATTTGTTAAGAAAAGAATGCATCATCACTGATGTAGTAGGTAGTTAAAATTTATCTTTGCCGCTTACCTTGGGTAGGTGATGTATCCTTTCTAAGCTTCCATTTCCTCATCATTTAAAATTGCATACTTGCCTTGGAGGATTGTCTTGGAGGATTATCTTAATGCATACAGAATGCTTGGAACTGTGCTTAACCCACAGTGAGTGCTCAGAACTTAGCCATTGTTGTTATCGTGGGATAACAGTAAAGAGTGCCGAGATTTCGGATTGAGGGAAATAACATTGTACTCTGGGAGATAGGGCAGAAGCTCAGTATGTGGTGGATGAGAACTAGGGTAGGTAAATTTCCCTTTGAGCAATTAAATGTCTATAATTACTTCAACCTTGTGGGGATGAAGTATTGAACACTTACTGTACCTAAAGCAAACTGCTAGGTAATAAGGATTACAACAATTGCTAAGCCATGATTTGTATCCTTGAATTGCTTAAAATATAATGTGAGTTAAGATATTAAAAAAAAAGACTAATACAGTAATTATAAGTATTATAAGAATTGTGCAAACGAGCTAGAAGAACTGAAAGGAGGAAAAAATCATTTCTGAGTTAATCAGGGACACTTCAAAAGAGCTTTTCTGTTTTATCTGAATCTTAATAGATTGATAGATTAGATGTATGTCTTACTGACTTCTCTTCCTCTTTTTTTTCTTTTTCTTTTCTACAGTACTTTACCTCGTGTGGGCCTTTATTCCTGAATCTTGGCTAAACTCTTTAGGTTTAACCTATTGGCCTCAAAAGTAAGTTTAATATATTTCTTAAATGAGGATATAATTAATGCTGTTTTGAGGAGTCATATCATTTCTTAAACCTACCCAAATCTTAAATATTTGTTCTCTTAAAATTCATGAATAGCCATATAGAAATTGAAAGCTTTTTAAAGATCGCTATTGATACATCTCTAATTAAAGATGGTAGCATGAACACACATGTTTATCTCCATCCATTTCCTCCAAAAATCTTGTTAAAATGACCCTACAGGAAAAAAAAAAAAAACTGAAGATACAAACCACAGAAACAATAGTATAGCAGAAAAGAGATATCAACCACATTTTGGAAAGTGGATTGTGATAGGTGAGAGGTAACTGCCTTTGTTTCTGTGATTTTCACGTTGCTGAAGTAGGGAAGCCAGCAAGAATATTTGTGCCTTAGAACTCCAGAATAGCTCAGACATTGGGGTACCAGGTAGCTCTTTAATTCTGGGTTGAACTGAAAACATGTTTAAAGACCATATGAAGTCTTCAGCCTTCAAATCTCCCTCAGCCCTCAAAGCTGGGAGGCCTGCCCTGCCCTCCCCTGCAGAAAACAGGAGTTTTACTCTCTGGCAAGGTTAAGTAAGAGTCTCTAGCATGGGGGCCACTAAGTCTGAGTGTGGGAATGCGGCATCTTACTGAAAACAGGGAAGTAAGTGAAAATCTACATGGCTTAATGAGAAGATTTACCTCCTGCTCCATCTTCCCTCTTGGGGCTTCGAGGCTTATATCACCCTACTGCTCACAGAAAAAGATAGATAGTTCTTTCCTGAGGAAGCTGACCAGCCCGAGAGAAAGGATCTATAATTTCTGACATTTAGAGGACCCCAGTGAAGTGGCCAAGTCTCTCAGAGTGAGGCTCACCAGTTGACCATCCCTGCCCACATACACATAGTGCTTCCAACTCACTTGTTAGCACTTCATTTTTAAATATGAATGGACTACTCTAAGTTACCAGACATTAAAAGAAAGCCTCTAGCATGAAATGAAAAAGCAGAAAATTAAAGGGAATTTGAAGGAAATAGAGATAATGCAGGAAACAGAAAAAAAAATTTAAATAACATAAAATTCTCAGAGGTAAGAAACAATTATAACTATGAAACAAGAACAGAATGCTATGCAAACAGGAAATTACTGTATTTGGAAATTGTAAACATGATAACCAAAATTAAAATTTTAATTGAAAGACTGGAAAATAAAACAAAGGTAATCTCTAGAAGTTAGAACAAAAAAAAATGAAAATATAAGAAAGTATAATCGTTAAAAATTCAAACTATTAGAAGTTCCAGAAAGAGAAAATAATAGAGAACAAATCATTTAAAAAAAAAAAAACATCTGGCCAACATCTCAAGACCCCATTTCTACAAAAAAATTAAAAATTAGCCAGGTGTGGTGGTGTGTGCCTATAGTCCCAGCTACTTGCAGGGCTGAAGTGAGCTCAGCAGATTGAGGCTAGTGATCTGTGATCATGCCGTTGCACTCCAGCCTGGGTGACAGAGGGAAATGCTTTCTCAAAAAGAAAAAAAAAACACTCAATGAAAAATAGCACTCCATGTACATAATGATACTGAGAGGCATAATAGAGTCCTATCAGAGAATTTGAGGCTCTGGTATTGGTGGATTCCTGGGAAACCAAGTGAACAGACAAAAAGATGTAATTATTCCAGAAAAAAAAAAGTTGTACAAGAAAATATATAATAATAATGTACTAAGATCCTCAGTTGCAAAATTGTTTATGTAGGTACAATTATTTCTAAAACCTGCTGCTATAATGAGAAATTGCAATGTAAGTATAGAAGAGGATAGGAGGAGGTTAATTCCTTATCTCCATATTAGGAAGCCTAGAGAAAATGTCTGTAATGGAAAAAAATGAGGAAATAGTAATATGAGCATGTTTTGTAGCAATGAGGAGGTAAGTACCAGAAGACAGCTCAAGTGCTCAAAGCATTTCTTTTTGGAGAGTGAGACCCCAGGGTTGGGATGGTGGGATAGAGGACTGCAGTTTTTCACTGTAAGCCTTGTGGAACTATTTGTCTCTTATGTACACATATTACTTTATAAAATTTAAATTTAAAAAACATGTTGGCTTTGTGACCGACTCTTGAGAATTACAACTTTTTTAAAGTGTCTATTATGTACTTTAATATTCTCTTTGGCAGATATTGGGCAGTTGCATTACCTGTCTACCTCCTTATTGCTATAGTAATTGGCTACGTGCTCTTGTTTGGGATTAACATGATGAGTACCTCTCCACTCGACTCCATCCATACAATCACAGGTAACTTTATATAAAAGGAAAGTGCTGGGGCAATGAAAGAGTGGAGTATTAGCACTTTTACCCAGAAAAGCAACAAAGAACAGGCTGCAAAACCCATGTTGGTGGTGCGCGTCTGTAATCCCAGCTACTTGGGAGGCTGAGGCAGGAGAATCACTTGAACCCAGGAGGCAGAGGTTGCAGTGAGCCAAGATCCCACCACTGTACTCCAGCTTGGGTGACAAGAGTGAAACTCCATCCTAAAAGAAAACACACACACACACACACACACACACACACACACACACACACACGGACAGTAAAAAGAAGCTACTAAGAGAAATAAATACAAACTTATATAAAAGGAAATATTTGCATGAAGGAATTAAGTTCTGATGAATACACACTAGCTATATTCATGGAGGAAATAAATTATAATTAATTATAGCACTGGTTAGCAGGTGTATGTTCCCATAAAAACCACAAGTATATGCTATATGTGTCTATAATATGTTCCCATTAACTTTGCCTGAGAGAAGCTTATCCTGAACAGACACCGTTGATCAAGGGATAGTAAATAGTACATGCAGACCTTGTTCAGAAAAAGGACTTTGGGGGTGTGTATCCTCCTCAGGATCATTGTGTACTCCTTATTCCAATTAAGTGGATAAAAGAGCCACAACACGTTCGTCTGGTTTTATTTTTTTAAAGTTCTTTCAAGTCTAAAGATGAAAATAAATCAGACTCCTGAGCTTGCTTAAATTCTAGAAAGTAAAGTATTTTTTAAGTTCCCTGGTATGATTTTTCAACTTTTCAAAACCTTTATATATTAGCCTCTACAATGTATTTTGAAAATCAATTCTATTATTTTTAAGTGTCTTTCTAATACACTGCATTCCATGCATTCTTGATTGGAATTGGCAGCAAATAGGTAATTTGTGCAAAGAGGGGAAATTGTTAAGATTGCATGAATATTTATACCAAATGATTTAATAGTTTTGCCATGTTGATTTAAATACATTTTCAAGGCCTGGATATAATTCTGTTCCCGTGAGAAATGTGCAAATGAGACTTTAATCATCATTGTATGGTTGATTAAAATATTGATTTCTTTCCAAGTTAGAGATGAAAAAAGTACTTTACTGATGTTTTTATTTTTTTATTTTTATTTATTTATTTATTTATTTTTTATTTTTTATTTTTGAGATGGAGTCTCGCTCTGTCACCCAGGCTGGAGTGCAATGGCGCAATCTCGGCTCACTGCAGGCTCCGCCCCCTGGGTTCACGCTGTTCTCCTGCCTCAGCCTCCCGAGTAGGTGGGACTACAGGCGCCCGCCACCTCACCAGGCTAATTTTGTGTGTTTGTGTTTTTAGTAGAGACAGGGATGTTTTTATTTTAATTGGGACATTTCTTCTAAAGAGAGGATTTAAGTAATCATCTAATTATGTTAAACATGATGTTTGTCACTATCCAAACGTCAGCCTAGTAAACTATGTGGTGGGTCTCCATCAGACACAGAGACTGTAGAAGAAATTGCTTAGGTAAACAGAGCTTTTTGGTCTTTTCTTACAGATAACTATGCAAAAAATCAACAGCAGAAGAAATACCAAGAGGAGGCCATTCCAGCCTTAAGAGATATTTCTATTAGTGAAGTAAACCAAATGTTCTTTCTTGCAGCCAAAGAACTTTACACCAAAAACTGAACTGTGTGTAACCATAGTAACACCAAGCACGTATTTATTTATAAGTTTTTGCCATTATAATTTTGACCATAAATTAATTTGACCATCTCTCTTATTAATAGAGAAGTAAAAAATGTAAGTTGACCTTCTCTTAGATTATGTTCAATGAATATTGTAAATGTTCAAGTATTGTTAATGAATAGAATAAATACAATATTGCATTCCCATATAGCAGACTTAAAAAAAAAAATCAATGTCAGTATAATCAAGAAGTTCCTCCAGAGAGGCATTTATATTGTAATTTGCAAAGGGCAATGATGTCCTTCCTCCTGTTTGTCCTGAGGGGCCCAGAATTCAAACCCTTAGTTTTTGGGAAGGGTACAGTTAGTACTTGTGCCATCAGATTCATGTCTAAGACACAAATATTTGTTGAGTACTCACTGTGTACCAGGTATTTTTCTAGGCACTGAGGATGAAGTAATGGTAAGATTCTCTCTCAAAGAGCTTATAGTTTTAGAAGCAGGGTGAGGCAACTAAGCAAATAAACAAGGAAATATAATTTGATGAGTGCTATGCAAAGAATTAAGATAATGTATTCTAGAATGCAAAGGGATGACTAGTTCACATTGGGTGGTCAAGGAAGGCCTCTCA
Organism: Homo sapiens; assembly: GCF_000001405.40. Taxonomy (NCBI): domain Eukaryota; kingdom Metazoa; phylum Chordata; class Mammalia; order Primates; family Hominidae; genus Homo; species Homo sapiens. The sequence goes on along the minus strand of NC_000021.9, from coordinate 37,064,951 downwards.
GAGAGAGGCTGTTGGGATCTAAGTATAAAGCAGGTGAGGCAAAGACCATAAGGTGGGAAGGAACTTGGTTTGTCCTAAGAACAGAGAGAAGACTGGCATTGGGCATAGAGCATACCAAACAAGAGAGAATGTGGTCCCAGGTGAGCCTGGAGAGACCGGGCCCAGATTGTGAAGGGCTTTGTAGGCTGGTGTAGGAAGTGTGGATTTAAGTGTAAGTGTGATGAGTTTGAGGCACTTTAGGATCAAGCTGTTGGGAGTCTTGAAGGAAAGGAATGACATGGCCTGATTTCTGTTTTTAAAAGTCATCCTGATTGGTGAATGAAGAATAGATTCAGAGGAGGAGCTGGGAAGGGGACAATAACCATATCCTTACCCAGTAAGCATGAGATGGATAACATGAATCTGCTTTTCCTGTTCCCTAGTTTGTCCCAGTTCCTGTTATTTTATGGTGAGAGCATGTCACCACACTTAAGAGCAGTATAAGGGGACTGGATGTGGTGGTTCATGCCTGTAATCCCAGCACTTTGGGAGGTTGAGGCAGCTGGATCACCTGAGGTCAGGAGTTGGAGACCAGCCTGGCCAACATGGCAAAACCTCATATCTACTAAAAATACAAAAATTAGTCAGGCGTGGTGGCAGGCGTCTGTAATCCCAGCTACTCGGGAGGCTGAGGCAGGAGAATTGCTTGAGCCTGGGAGGCAGAGATTGCAGTGAGCCGAGATCATGCCACTGCACTCCAGCCTTAGCAACAGAGCGAGACGGTTACCTTGGCAACCGTCTCAAAAAAAAAAGAAACAAAAAAAAGCAGTGTAAGGGAACCAGCGAACTCCACCAAGTATAGAATGATAAATAAATCATGGTCTGTTTCTACAATTGAACACTACACAGCCATGCAAACAAGAATGCATTACTTCTCTACCTAATAATATGAATTAATATGGCCATAACATTGGGCAAAAAAAGCCAGACACAAAAGAGTAAACTACTGCGTGGTTCCCTTTATTTGAAGTTCAAAATCAGGAAAAACTAATCTATGGTGGCAAATATTAGAATAATGGTTACCTTTGGAGAAGAGTATTATCTAGGAGGAGGCATGAAGGAGCCTGCTGGTGAATTGAAAATGCCCTACATCTTGATCTGGGTGGTGGTTATGGTTACATGGAGGTAATACATGTTTTTAAAAAATCATTAAGTTATTAAGATTTCTGCTTCTGATGCAAGTTACACCTCAATAAAAAGGGGAAAAAAAAACAGTGCCTATGCCTACCTCCAGAAAATGTTGATTCATTGGTCTGGAGTAGAGCACAGGCAGGGGTAATTTTTTAACATCTTCCAGATGCTTCCAATATGCAGCCAGGGTCGAGAATGACTCCCTTACATGATTGGACTCCCTTACATGATTGGACTCCCTTACATGATTGGACTCCCTTACATGATTGGACTCCCTTACATGATTAGACTTAACTGAGTTTTGGTCAAGCAGGGCAGTAGCTGTAAGCTTTGGAAGAGAAAGCCAGCAGTTATCCGAGCGGTTCCCTCCCATCTGTGAGACTCTTGCTCATGTCAGCAGTATTCCCTTGTCTTCCCCTCGGACAGGTGATGGGCCTGAGACGGGTTTGAAATAGGTCAGGATAGAACCTTCATGGACTCTAGTGTTCTATTGCACATTAAGCCTCAAATTAACTTTTCATTCTGGTTTCCAACCACTCTGTCCTTACAGGTCATGAAAGGAACACCAATGTTTTGCAAACTATGGGCAGCAGTGTTTTTGAGGGTCATGATCAGTTTAGTGTAGCAATTCTCTATCTTTTCTTAAGATCTTAGGACCCCTTTATTCTTGTAAAGAGTGAGAGCCCCAAAGACCTTTTGTGTATGTAGATATATTTAAAAATTAAAATAGAAAATTTTTAAATATTTGTTTATAAATAATACGTTACCTTTTAGATATAAAATTAACTCATCACATAATGAGAAACAAAATTTCTGTTACAGAAACATTTCACCCAAATCATTGTAGTAATACTAAGCTGATTCTAAAAGGACAAATTTAACATAAACATATTCATGAGAAATAACTATTTTCTAAAACAAAAAAATTCAGTGAGACAAGTAGAATTGTTTTACATTTCTCCAAGTCTCTTTAATGTCTGGCTTCATGGAACACAGCCGTTTCTCATATCTGCTTGTGCATTCAGTCTGTGACATTAGCGCCTGTCACGAAGCCTCTGGAAAGCTCCGCTGCATAGTCATGAGAGAACGAGGATGAAAAAGACAAAACATCTCAGCAGTATTAGGAAAATAGTTTTGACCTCATAGGCCCCCTGAAATATGGTCTTGGGACCCCCGGACTTTGAGAACCACTGGTTAGTGGGCCTCCACTAGTGTGTGTGTGATGAACTAGAATAGAATATGTCAGTGCATTGCACTCAGTAAGGGTGAATATTTTGACTGAACGTCTGTTTCAACCACTTCAGAGCCTCTCTGTTCACCTCTTACTCCAGCCACTGATGCCCCAAACAGTTCATGCAAATTTAACCACATCCACATAGGTGCCTCTTATAGTACACTCTGGAAGGAGAGGGGTTAACACCCACAGGACCAGCCTGGAGCCCAACCTGGGAGAGGTATCAGTGGATATACACATCCTTCTTTCAGCCCGGAGGAGACAGTTCTGCACTGCATTCCATGAGCTCCTCAGAAGGTCTCATGGGATTGAACTGCGGTTGCCACGATGGTGGTGGACTCAGCCCACGTGCTTGTCTGTCTGATGTGTTTTGCACCCTCTGCCACTTGGCCCTGCTCTCTGTGGTCACTTTCCCAGTAAATTGCCTGCACACAAGCCTTTGTCCCAGTCTCTGCTTTCAGAACTCCAGCTGAGATGTTTTTTGTTTTTGGTATTTTTGAGACAGGATCAAAGCTGGAATGCAGTGGTGCCATCATGGCTCACTGCAGCCTTGAACTCCCAGGCTCAAGCGATCCTCCCACCTCAGCCTCCCAAGTAGCTATGACCACAGGCATGCACCGCTATGCCTAGCTAATCTTTTTATTTTTTTTTTTTTTGTAGTGACAGGGTCTCCCTGTGTTGCCCAGGCTGTGAGATGTTTTTGTTTTGTAAAAATTGTGCTTCTGCCATGATGTATAATGCATGTCCTAATTTAAGAAAAAAGTTTGAAAGACACTGTTCTGCAATGAGCCCAAATAATAGCCTAAAATACTCCAAATAGAAAGTGTCAATAATATAAAAATTTCCATATATTAACAAAACCTTCTCCAGTGATTCAACTCCCAGGGAGAAATAAAAGCCCAAGTATGAAATCACCTAATGAAAAGCCAACATAATTTAAATCCAAAATTCTGCTCCCCCTAATTTCTTGACCTGCCCTGTTTTAGTTAAAAGGATCTCAATCAGATGTTTGGGTTTCCTCAGGAAGCTGCTGCCTAGGCTGTCATAAGAATGGGAGTCATTCCTTAAGCACATTGACCCAACCCAAAATTTCTTGCATCTCCCAGTTTTTTAAAGATTCAGTAGGCTATATGAAAATGTCATATTAACAGTCCCATGCCCATGGAACTTTGAAAATCCAAATAAATCAACTCCTACAGCAATAGTGATGGAACCCAGTACATTGTATAGTACAGACCCACCAGCCAGTAACTAGAACAGACTTGATGGGACATGGGGAAAGGAAGACAGAAAACGGAAGAGGAAAGAGAGATTCTTCTTGATTCATCGTGCTGGGGTGCAGGTCAGGCTATGGCAGTTTTCATGGGTCTCAGTCACTCAGTTTAACACAATTAGGTTCATGGTGGCACTATTTACTATTTTGGGTTGGGAGGAAATGTACTTATCCCACCTTTTCTAGTCAGGAGAGTTTGTCATTCCATGGTAAAATAAATAAATAAATAATAATCCTAAATTGTCAATGGCTTAACATAACAGTTTAGTTTTCAAAGAACTGCACTTTGAGGTAGCCACCAAATCTGAACAGGGCCACATGGACAAGCACAGTGGATGTTTCAGTGATTACCTATCTGGACCTATGACTGAGGACCAGATATTCTTTTCCTCTCTGTGCCTCATCACCACTTAAGTCTCAGAGGTCAGAAATGCAATGGAAATCTCAATTAGGGACCAAAGGACTCACAGAGTGAGAAATGATGGCATTGTGGAAAATACAGTCTTGAACAAGGGCATTTGTGGACCAAGATTTATATTTTCACACAATGCAGGGGAAGTTAATGTCCAATAATTCAATACCTGCCTAAGGTTATTTCTGCAAATCCAGCATGCCCAAGCTCTGCTTGTATAGGTTACAGTCACAGGGGACCCTATGGCCAGGGCTGGAAGAAGCCAGCTAGAGCCTCACAGTGACTCAGATGCCACACTCCAATTGCACTGTAGTCAGCCCACTTGTGTCATAAAGCCTGTTTACACAAAGCCTAGCATATTAGAAGCAGCTGTGAGTCAGCCTGCTTCAGCTGCTGCTGCTGCCCCAAGAGGCCCATCTCTCCCTGTGATACTTTGGTTTCTAAGGCAACCTCTTTTGAATGTTCTCAGTGAATGCACCATGGGTGGGCACATCCTGGGGAAAGTTCAGTCACTCACTCCTCACCACCATTCTGTGAAGGACTTACGCACCTGGCAAGAATTAAAATGCAGTGTCTACCTTATTGCTGATGGAGCCCGATTTTCAAGTGCTGCATAAGCCTGAAGCCAAAATCATGCTTTCTTCCCTAAATCTAGACTTGGGGACTGATGTGAGGAGGACTGGGCCTGCAGACCTGGAGACATGGCCTGACCAGCTGCATGCTCAGGAGGTGGCAGGGCCAGGTGGATAGCAGACAACTCCATGCAGTCACTCTTGGCTCGTTTTCACCCATCGGCTAAGTCACAGCTCTTCCCAGGGGTATAAAGAATATGGGGGGTTGGGCGCGGTGGCTCACACCTGTAATCTCAGCAATTTGGGAGGCTGAGGCAGGTGGATCACCTGAGGTCGGAAGTTTGAGACCAGCCTGACCAACATGGAGAAACCCTGTCTCTACTAAAAACACAAAATTAGCCGGGCGTGGAGGTGGGCGCCTATAATCCCAGCTACTCAGGAGGCTGAGGCAGGACAATCGCTTGAACCCGGGAGGTGGAGGTTGCAGTGAGCCGAGATTGCTCCATTGCACTCCAGCCTGGGCAACAAGAGTGAAACTCCATCTCAAAAAATAAAAAAGAATATAGGGAAGACAGAGTGGCAGAAGTGGCTTCCTCACTACTACCCCAAAAAGACTGAAGTGTTGCAATTGTTGAGGCAAAAACATGATGGCTCCCAGACACTAGCCACTTGGGCTGTCTCCTGTTTTCCCCTATTTTAAACAATGAGTACAACAAACATCTTTTGTGGATAAACTTTATGAAATTGTGTCCTTGGGCTAGGCTTCTTGTATTGGAATTACTACAGGGTCAAAGAGCTTGAATGTTGATATGGTTCAGCTCTGTGTCCCCACCCAAATCTCATCTCGAATTTTAATCCCCACGTGTTGAGGGAGGGACCTGGTGGGAGGTGACTGGATCATGGGAGTGGTTTCCCCAAAGCTGTTCTCCTGAAAGTGAGGGAGGCCTCACGAGATCTGATGATTTAAAAGTGGCAGTTTCCCCTGCATTCTATCTCTGTCTCTCCTTCCACTATGTAAGACACGCCTTGCTTCCCCTTCACCTTCTGCCGTGAATGTAAGTTTCCTGAGGCCTCCCCAGCCATGTGGAACTGTGAGTCAATTAAACCTCTTGTTTATAAATTACCCAGTCTCAGGTAGTATCTTTATAGCAGTGTGAGAATGGACTAATACAAATAATACTAGTACAAAACAGACTAAGACACTTAATATAAAACACCAGAGTGATCTCCAAAAGGATTCTATCAGTTTACTCCCTGTAACTCACCAACACTGGGGATTACCCATGTACCCTTATGTATTGTTCCTCAAATTTGGAGTATACAAAATATCATGGTGTTCCATTTTTCCTAGTCTAACTGAATATGCTTTGATTTTCCACGGTTCATTATTAACAGACATTTCAGAGTCATTTATTGTGGGATTTCCTGACCCTCCTTTGGGTTACTTATGCTTATTCTATCAAAGAAAATGGAAGAGGATACTTGTTTTTAATCTATGGTATTTGCTGTCACTGCCATTGTGCCTTATCGAGGCTTATGGTTCCACCTCCTCCCTCCCCTCCCTCACAAACTGCCAAAGGCTCACAGGGCTTGGAGCTCTGTGTCCAAAGGACCGTGTCTCAACCAACCCGCTATTCAAGGCCCTCCTCCATGGGTGCTGCACACCAACTGTATTGGTCTCTGTCCACCTGTCCCAGTCTCAGCACCCGCAGCCATCACTGCTGGGTTTGGGCACACACCCTGTGGCAGAGGCTTCTGACATCTCTGTGTTTGTTCTCCCCATCTTCCTTTGAAATAGTTCCCCATTTTTAACGAGGCATGTGGTGGCCCAGAATAGAGCAACAAAAAGTAGGCCAGATGCCAGAAAGTGGCTCAGTAATTACCACTTGTCCCACTTTTGCTAAGAAATTAAGGAATGGTATGTAGTTTTAATTTGCAACTTGGAATACTAACAAAACTCAGTATTTTTATTCAAATAGTGGATAAAAACTCAGTATTTTTATTCAAATAGACAAACAGTGAATGAATAAATAAACAAATGGCACTTAAGTGGCCAACCTCCAAGGAGCAAAGTGAAAAGAGCATGGGCTTTGGGAATCCATTAGAACTGAGCTCAAGTCCCAGCTACACTACTTCCTGCCAGTGTACCTTGGGCAGGTTACATTACCTCTCTGAGCTCGGTTTCTTCATCTGTAAAACATCACTTATTGTGTAGGCTACTGGGAAACAGGAAGTATATAAAATGCTTAAAACTGTGCTTGGGCCACAGTCAGGCCTTGAGTAATGGTAATCGCTATTGTACCCCACACTTTTCCTCACTGTGTTCACCACTCTGGAAACTGCTTCATCTCCACCAATTCCTGTCCATCATTGTATTTGTTTCCTGGGGCTGCAGTAACAAATCGCCTCAAACTAAGTGGCTTTAAACAATAGAAATGGATTATCTCGCAGTCCTGGAGGTCACAAGACTGAGATGAGCTTCAGAGCCATCAAGGCCTCAGCAGGGCCAAACTCCCTCCGGAAGTGGGAGGGGACACTGCCTGGCCTTGTCCAGCCTTACGCTACATCACACAGCCTTGGTTTGTGGCTGCGTCTCGCCACTGCCTGCCTCAGTGGTCCTGTGGGTGCTCCCCTTCAGTATCCATCAAACCTCCCATGGCCTCTGTCCTCTAAGGACATGTTCTCGCATTGCTATAAAGAACTACCTAAGGCCAGGCACGGTGGCTCATGCCTGTAGTCCCAGCACTTTGGGAGGCTGAGGCGAGCAGATCACAAGGTCAGGAGTTTGAGACCAGCCTGACCAACATGGTGAAACCCCATCTCTACTGAAAATACAAAAATTAGCCGGGCAGGGTGGTGCACGCCTGTAATCCCAGCTACTCAGGAGGCTGAGGCAGGAGGCCTGGTATGCAGAAGGGCCCTCGATAAATACCTGCCCAGTGAATGAGTAAGCCAGGCAGAGAAAGTGGCGGTGGAGGTAAAGCACATCTTGGGGGCCGTCCACCCAGAGCCCTATGCTACTTGCCCTGGCTCTAATGGATGGACGGATGGATGGACAGATGGAGGGACAGAGGCCTTGGCATAATTTGGCTGACTTGTCTCTGAAGGTTGGAATGTAAATTTCTCTTCCACCCCTCTTCACAACAGCCGTGTGAAGGATCTGAGAGAAAAGAGACCATGTGGCTTGTGCAAAGTTAATGCGGGAAATGGAATGGGTTTTATACCATGCCTGCAACATTCACCCGAAAAATGGGGCCACTGAGCTGCTGGCATGGGCAGGAAAGTGAACGCATGTGCAGAGAAGTCCTTTCCATTAAAAAAAAAAAAAAAAAAGACAAGTCCCAAATAGTTTCACAGTTCAGCATTTTCTGTCCTGGTCGGCTGGGCGACTGGGACCTTTGTGCAGCTTCCTGACCCCAACTGCTTCCCATCACCCCAGCTCAGCTGGACCAACTCAACTCACAAATCTGGACACTGGGTCTCAAGTGCTCCCATCTTCCTTCTTGCTGTGTGAGGCCATGGGAGTGTTCACCCCCTGTAATAGTTTTCATGTTGCTGATAAAGACATACCTGAGACTTTATATAGGAAAAGGGGTTTAGTGGACTTACAGTTCCGTGTGGCTGGGGAAGCTTCACAATCATGGTGGAAAGCAAGGAGGAACAAGTCAGGTCTTACATGGATGGCAGCAGGCAGAGAGAGCTTGTGCAGCGAAACTCCCGTTTTTAAAACCATCAGATCTCATGAGATTCATTCACTATCACGAGAACAGCATGGGAAAGACTTGCCTCCATGATTCAATTATTTCCCACTGGTCTTTTCCACATGTGGGAATTATGGGAGCTACAAGATGAGATTTGGGTGGGGACACAGAGCCAAACTATATCACCGCCTAATGCTCTGTTTCCTCACCTGTTAGATGGAGACCCCTCTCTCCACTATCCCCAGGGCTGAATCAGGTGGAGTGGGTAAAACTCCTGGTATTCACAGAGCCTATCCCATGGTCTCACTGCTGCTCCCTCCATGTTCCCTGGCCCTACCCACACCCCCAGACGGGCTTCCATTTCTCTCCGAATGTACCCTGTGGTACACAACCTGGTCCAAAGGCAGACTCGGCTGTTTCATTTGTCTTCACAGGGACTTGATTGATTCATCTTGGGTCTCAGTGCCTACCTCAAGGTAGCTACCATATATATATATGGTTGTTGAGTGAAGAAGAAAAAAAAAATCAGACATTCCTATCAGAAATCATCAGATGTGTTATAATTAAATTGTAGGTGCAATAAGAGAAGTGTAAGCCTTTTTTCATACGTTAAGGAGTCAAATCATTGACCCAGATATTTTGAATTATCAGTATGGAGATCCTGTAACAACCTTAAATTACTAGAAAGCCATCATTGTTTACTATTTTCAAATTTTGGTAAGTCTTTTAAGATTTTTTTTCCCTGAGGTTACTAAAGCTTATGAAACTCATTTGATAACAACTTCAGCCCAAATTCCCCATCATTGTCTAACATGAAGATTAAATTTGGTGTGTGTGAAAGATAGATGAACTGCTACAGGACAAAAAGGCAATTAGAAATAATGGCCTCTGGCCACAAAGGCACACAAATTAAAGGACTGTCAACCCAGGACAGAGATTCTATCAGTGATGAATCTGGCATTTCACTTGACTGCTGATCTAGTACAATTATGGGAAAACTAACCAAGATGACCTGAGTGCACAGACAGACTGGGCCATCCGTCTCCCAAGTGAAATTTCCCAGTACCCAACTTCAGGCTTTGCTTTTCCATCACTGCTGAGTGGCAGTATGGTAGAGAGAGATGACCTTTACTTAACCTTGAGAATAACTCCACCTCTTCCTGGCCAAAATAGACAATGTATGTCAATGCCTGCTGACAATCCATTTACAGGAGTTATTGCATGTTTGGTCTAAGTTGATGATCTCTTTGCCTTTTCGAACTTTGTTTTACAAAATAAATATCTTCCATAGACCATCTTGGACACTATAAAGGACCACACACCAGCGACAGATGTGTGACAAATTTAAAAGGCAACTTTTATCTGTTTTGTTTTGTTTTAGGGTTTTTTTAACTCTAACATTCAGCCGAACTAATATAAAGAAATAACCAAGTTTCACCTGCCACCTTCTCACTGGGTGACACTCTACTTTCATTCCTTTAGGTATTTAGAAAATGTTTATTGCTGTCAGCAACCCAATAGATAAGTGATTCCAAAACAAATCCTGAATCAAGCACTCTTTTTAGACTTAACTCCTTCCTTCCCAAACATACCTGTGTAATGATTTGTTCAAAGATCTGAAGTAAACGACATCAGATCAGATATCCAATCCTTCAAAGAAAATGGTTTCAGTGAAGTTAAATCCCAAAACTTGCCCTCATTTTCACCTCTTCAGCTCATCCTTATCAGGAGCTTCTTGTCACCAATAAGATTAGTGGTAGTTCGTGTGTTGGACTAAATCAGATTTTTTTCTGTTGGGTTAATCAAGACAATGTCATGAACCAAATAACTTAGTGATTGAAAGGCACTAATGGCTCATGACCAGCCTGGCCAACATGGCAAAACCCCGTCTCTACTAAAAATACAAAAATTAGCTGGGCGTGATGGCGGGCACCTGTAGTCCCAGCTACTGGGGAGGCTGAGGCAGGAGAATCACCTGAACCTGGGAGGCGGAGGTTGCAGTGAGCCAAGATCATGCCATTGCACTCCAGCCTCAGTGACAAGAGCGAAACTCTGTCTCAAAAAAAAAAAAAAAAGGCACTAATGAAGCCCATCGGCTACACTCTCTACGAATCGATAGACTATTTCAGAAATACCCTTGATTAAAAGTCTCTAAAATTTTAGCTAAGGTCATTTCATGATTATAGTCTTTTAAGTCTACATAAGTAATGAAAATGGAATGTTACCAGATGGTTGATTTTTAAATATTTTTATTGTTTTAATAAGTATCACTTATTTTAGAAGTAATGTCTATT